>NC_000004.12:2667539-2974036 GCF_000001405.40 Homo sapiens
CCCTTTTATCATTATGAAATGTTTGACTACTGGTGTTTCTTAACGTCCGTTTTATTTGTTAGTATAGCCACTCCACCTTCTTGGGTTACTGTGTACATGTATTTTTTCATCCTTTTACTTTCAGTTTCTTTGTGTCTTTGAATCTAAAATTTGTCTAACATCTTTTAGTTGGGCCTTGCATTTTTATCCTGTATATGTCAGTATCTGCCTTTTTAAATATTAAACAAAAATTTTAGTGTACTATTTTAATTCTTCTGTTGATTCTTTTTTTAATTTTCTTAGTGGCTGCTGTAGGGTTACAGTATGCATCTCTTGTGAATGTCGTTATAAAAAATAAAAAGAAACAAAAATTAAAATACAATATGTATCTCTTTTTTTCTTAGAGACAGGGTCTTGCTCTGTTACACAAGCTGGAGTGGGGTGGCATCATCATGCCTCACTGCAACCTCAAGCTCCTGGGCTCAAGCAGTCTTCCTGCCTCAGCCTCCTTAGTAAGCTGGGACTATAGGCATGTGCCGCCATGACCGGCTAAGTTTTTTAATTTTAGTAGAGACAAGGTCTCCCTGTGTTGCCCAAGTTTGTCTCAAACTCCTGGCCTTCAGTGATTCTCCCGCCAGGAAATCCCAAAGTGCTAAGATTACACTTAACCAGTGTACCCAGCCACAATATGCATCTTTTTTTTTTTTTTTTTTGATACAGAGTCTCGCTCTGTCACCCAGGCTGGAGTGCAGTGGCGCAATCTTGGCTCACTGCAACCTCTGCTTCCCAGGTTCAAGTGATTCTCCTGCCTCAGCCTCCCAAGTAGCTGGGATTACAGATGCGCACCACCACGCCCATCTAATTTTTGTATTTTTAGTAGAGACAATGTTTTGCCACTTTGGCCAGGCTGGTCTCTAACTGGCCTCAAGTGATCCACCTACCTCAGCCTCCCAAAGTGCTGAGATTACAGGTGTGAGCCACCACGCCCGCCCACAATATGCATCTTAATTTATCACAATCTACTCCAGATTACTACTGACTTAATTCCAGTAAAATATACAAACTTTGCTCCGCAGGAGCTCCATTTCCTTCTTTCTCCTTTGTACTATTATTGTCCTATATATAATTACATTTGTATATGTTACAAACCAATAATATGTTTTAATTACTGCTTTATACAGCTTTATAATTTCTAGAGCAAATAAAAGAGAAAAATGTATTTATACAGTGCCTGCCTGCCTGCCTTCTTTTCTTTCTTTTCCTTTTCCTCTCTCTCTCTTTCTCTCTCTCTCTCTTTCTCTTTTCCTTTTCCTTTTCTTTTCCTTTTTCTTTTCCTTTTTTTGAGACAGAGTCACACTCTGTTGTCCAGGCTAGAGTGCAGTGGCACAATTTTGGCTCACTTCAACCTCCACCTCCCAGGTTCAAGCAGTTCTCCTGCCTCAGCCACCTGAGTAGCTGGGATCACAGGCAAGCACCATGGCACCCGGCTAATTTTTGTATTTTTGGTGGAGATGACATTTCGCCATGTTGGCCAGGCTGGTCTCAAACTCCTGACTTCAGGTGACCTACCCGCCTTGGCCTCCCAAAGTGCTGGGATTACAGGCATGAGCTACCACGCCTGGCCTGTATTTATACAGTGTTTTCTATTTGCTAGCTGGCTAGTCATTTCTGGCATTCTTCATTTTAAATTCTGCCGAATTTAAGTTACCGTCTTGTTTTTACCTTCCTTTAATATGTCTTACAGGACCAGTTTGCTAGCAGTTAATTCTGTTTTTGTGTAAATGTCTTTATTTTGCCTTCATTTTAAAAAATAGACCAGGCATGGGGGTGTCTCACGCCCAGCACTTTGGGAGGCAGAGGCGGGCAGATCACCTGAGGTCAGGAGTTCGAGACCAGCCTAGCCAACGTGGTGAAACCCCATCTCTTCTAAAAATACAAAAATTAGCCAGGCGTGCTATCATGTGCTTGTCATCCCAGCTACTTGGGAGGCTGAGGCATGAGAATTGCTTGAACCCGGGAGGCAGAGGTTGCAGTGAGACAAGATCGCGCCATTGCGCTCCAGCCTAGGCGAGAAGTGAGACTCCGTCTCAACAATAAATAAATAAATAATAAATAGAGTGGTTGTTTTTAGGAATAGCTTTAGACTCACAGCAAAGTTGAGTGAGAGCTACAGAGACACCCTATACCCAGGGTCCCCACACACAGCCTTCCCACTATCAAATTCCACACCAGAGTGTTACTCTTGTTACAGTCATCAGCTGTCAGACTGTTAGAACAAGCAGTCAGTTCTCCTGGCAGCCTGGCTTTCTCAAGAAGGTGTTTTAGTAGGGTCTGGGGTCATCCTAGGGACTTGGCCTTTGGCTGCAGGAAGCCTTAGGTGGTCATTGTGTGCCAGAGTTCTGCAGCTCTCAGTATCTCTTTGTTTTTATCCATCTTAAGGTTCACTGAGCTTCTTGGATCTGTAGACCAATGTTTCTCATCACATTTGGGAAGTGGAGTGTCCAGGTGTTATTTGGATGCTCTTCCCCCTTTCCTCTGGGACTTGGTTCTGCACATGCTGGAGTGCTGGCTGCTCTCCCACAGGCCTCTGAGCGTCTGCATACTTTCCCCTCATCTCTTCTCTCTCTTCCTAGATCAGTTCCATTGCTCTTCTTCAAGTTCACAGATGATTTTTCTGCCATTTTAAGTTTGCTTTTGAGCCCCTTTAGTGAAATTTTGGTTTAGCTATTGTACTCTTCACCTATAGAATTTATATTTTACTGTTTTTTTGTTTCTCTTTTTTTGTAGTAATTCCCTATATGTTGAATCTTTATTTTCATATTTTCCTTTAATTCTCTGAACATGTTATAACAGCTGCTTTGACATCTTTGTGTGCTAATTTAGTATCTGAACTCACTCCTGTTAACCGTTTGACTATTTATTTCCTGCATGTGGGTCACACTTTTTTTTTTCCAGACAAGGTCTTGCTCTGCCACCCAGGCTGAAGTGCAGTGGCATGATTACAGCTCACTGGAGCCTCGAGCCTGGACCTCCTGGGCTCAAACAATCCTCCCACCTCAGCCCCCCAAGTACTTGGGACTACAGGCACACACCACCATGCCTGGATAGTTTTTGTACTTTTTGTAGAGACAGGGTTTTGCCATGTTGCCCAGACTAGGCTTGAACTCTTGGGCTCAAGTGATCTTCCCACCTCTGCCTCCCAAAGTGTTGGGATTACAGGTGTGAGCCACTGCGCCCAGCCTAGGTCATACTTCTCTTTAATCTTTGCTTGTCTCATAATTTTTTGTTGAAAATTGGACATTTTAAATAATGTGATAATTTTGCATTATCATTTTTTCCCTTGAGGGTCCTTTGTTGTCTTTTGTTTGTTTCCTTGTTTTTGTTATTTCCTGGGCTTCAGTTGCAGGACCTGTATCTCCCACATTATGTGGCTGTGGGTGTCTCAGCTTACTTCTTCTCTTCTCCTTTTTAGTTTGGCTTCTAGAGGTCTGCCCTTTGTCCACCTGGCTGATTGGCCAGCTGATGATTTGGGCAGAGGTTGCCCATGCACCTTGAATCCACAGGGGCTCCATTGTTGGCTGTGGGGTGAATGCGCTCAGCACTCAGCCAGTTCTCAAGTCAGCTGTGTTGGCCCCTTCCTCCAGCCCGTGAGGTGTCCTCAGTGCATGCACTGTGCTCTCCTGGTCAGCCAGCGAGTTGTGGACAGCTTAAGAAGCCCTTCCGTGGCGCTCTCATTTCCAGGGTTCTCTCTGTTAGATTTCTGTCTCCTTTGCCACTCACCCCAGTTGGGACCTCAGTCTCAAGGGAACAGAGCTGCAGGCTTCCCTATTCATTCCCTTCTAAGTTCACTGCTTTTACTGCTTCACCCTCTGCCTGACCAGGCTGCTGTTTTTGGTAGCAGGGTTGGTTTGCGCTGACATCCCTGCAGTCACAGAACTCCTGTGCCCACTGCCGACCGAGTCAGGGGTGGAGTACAGGTGCAGGAAATGGAAAGAGTCCCAGACAAGAAAGCCAGACTTGCTGTTCTTCCTTGAAGTTCTAGCTGATTTGCATGAATAAATGTGTCGCGGTATTTTCCTTGGGCTGATTTCCAGAGCCTCAGAATGGTTGCCTTTGACAATTGTGTTCAGTTTTACATTTGCCCTGAGGGAAAGGAGCCACTGACCTCTTCACTCCACCGTAACCGGAAGTCGCGTCTCTGCTTTGTTTTGGAGAATCCATGTGTGACTACTTAGAAGCAGTGTGAGCCCAGTGGAGCACAGCCATCCCCTCTCTACTCTGTCGTCTTCACTAGTTCCCTTGTCCCTGCTCACATGTGGGAAGAGAGATTTTCTGCATAGGCATAGGATTCAGAACCAGTGGCTCTACCTGAGTCTGTCTGTGGAATGAGGTACACCTTTCTTCTCTGTGCGTCTTCTTCAGTCTCAGTCTCTTGGGGTCCCTCGTTTTCCTTGCATGGAAGGCCCTGGTCAACTCAGGGTGTCAGGAAAAGCCCACTTACCTTTGTATTTGCTTTGTAACTACTTGGCAGAATGTGACTGACTTTAATTCATACCATTTATTGTTTCACTAAATAGGTATGTTTTTTTTCTTTCCTCTTAGGCTGAACAAGCTCCAAACACTTGTGAATGTCATGTTTGTAAGCAGGAAGCTTCTGGACTGACACCATCTGCAATGACAGCCGGAGCCCTTCCTCCTGGCCATCAGTTCTTGAGCCCAGAGAAGCCCACACACCCTGCACTGCACCTTTACCCTCACATCCATGGACATGTGCCTTTGCACACTGTTCCACACCTGCCACGCCCTCTCATCCACCCCACCTTGTATGCAACGCCCCCCTTCACACACAGTAAGGTAAGTCAGGGCAAAAAGGGTCTGAAAGCTCACTCTTCACTGAGATCCTACAGGAGTACATAGTCAAACAAAGAAATCTGTGAATTAGCAACTTGCATAGGATAGCATCTGCTCTGGATAGGAAGGTCTCCAAGTGTTTCCTTTCACCATAATCTCTTAAGCACTGTAATTGTGAACCTTTACAGTTGTAACAATCATTAAAAACAACTGTGAAGGTCATAGTTCTTTTATTCAGAATTAAATAGAACAGAAGGATTTTTCAGGTGCTATTTCTAACAGGTTAAACCTAGGGAATATTTCCACAGGAGACCAGTAATCTACTTGTGATCTTCCAGGGCTTGCTCTTCTTCTTAATTTGATAGGTAAAATAATGTGAATACAACATGAGTCCTCTAACACTGGCTGGACTCTACAGGGTCTAAAATGTCTATGCTGCTTTAGCATTTAGAAATACACGAGCCTAAATAAAGGAAGAGCCCTAAGTGTGATGCCACAGAAAACTATAACGCCCTGCAGGTGATGGAGCACTGGGGAGGGGAGGGTACAGAAAGGAGAAGCTGCCAGAAACCCAGTGTGAAGAGCCCATTCAGGAAGTGGAGTGAGGATGTAGAAATAAGTTGATTTTTATGCATTTCTTCCCAGAGAACCTCATGTGTATACTTAGTATCTTAGACTTTACAGTGAAATTCTTAGGCTGGTTTCTTTCTTTGGACCTTAGATAGCTTTGCCTCTCTAGTTATTTTGAGCTTAACTTTACCAGAATGACTCACCGTAATTCTGATTGTTTTCTTTTTTTTCTTTGTACCAGTTATTCTTGTCCAAAGGTAGCTCTAATCAGTCAAAAATATAATTTATTTCAAACCCTAATTTATTATTTAAAACATTGCTTTTGAGCTGGAACAGAAAGGGAGGAGGACATGACATGGAATGATTTTTTCCAGACCACAGTTTTTCCAAACACATGTGTGTTTTCTCCCCTCTAGGGGTCACTGTGAAGTGGGGTACATGTAGCCCATAAGTGAGGTTTGTTGTCTCTTTGCTAGGGAGAGGCGTAGGTGGAAGATTAACAGACACAGGTTTAGAATAGAGTGTAATAAGTTTGCCACATCTATTGTAATTACTTGGCACAACCATCCAAATTCATGCTTAAATTTTGTTAGATTGAATATTGCTCAGTTTGAACTTTTAATGATGTCTTAATAATAGAATGCTTTTTAATAACATTTTTCAGGTATGTAGTCAGAACCAGGCTATCTTCATGGTCCGCCTGGTTTGTAGCCTGATTTTCTCTGGGTGTAAAGTGAGGAAGGTTTCCACTCCCTGCTGTAGCCTGAAGAGAGCTCTATTACCTAGTTCCAAGAAAAGATAATATTCTGTTAGATGTTTTTGCTGCTGGAAGCTATTCAAGAATTAGTTCCGAAAAATAAGTAAGATAGTAAAATTGATTATTACTAAAGACTGTGGGGCCCCTTTGGTTAAAAATTGATTATTTTCCCGGGCTTTTGGCCTTTTCTTAGGAAATTAGAGATCTATATATGGGTAAAAGAAGAAAAACATGTTTTAGGAGCATCATTTGTATCTAATATCTGTTCTCTTGATACCTGTTAAACTTTAATCATATAGAAAGATTTGAATAGAAAAGCAAATATGGAGTCAAGCCATATACGGTAGAGGTATAGAAACTTAGAAATTTATAACTAAACGTTATTTCTACCACTTCAGCAAACTGAAGACTATTCACTGATTCATTTAAAATATGTGGTGGCCATTATTATGTGGAAACATAAGATACAATTATCAAAATACTTCATTTGCATCTGGTATGAAAATGTTCGTTTCTGTAAACAAACTTGAATTGTCACTTACCAGGTCTTACAAGATTAGTTTGTGTTATTTGACTTAGTTTGGCTTAGTTGGATGCTGTTGACCACATCTGTGCCTAAATGCATAATGCGTTAGCAGCCCTGAAGGGGTCTCCTGGTCCACCAGTGAGTTGTGGACAGCTTAAGAAGCAAATGAGCTATATCAGAATTGCACAAATTTCAGTGACATTGGAGGAAGTTTCTTAGAGATAATCAACAGCAGGATTGTTGGGCAAGAAGTTCTGAATGTAGGGAGCAGAAGGTGGGTGCTGAACGTGGAGGGGGCCTTGTGTACTGTGTCTGCCATCACTTTTGCATTGTTGGGGCCTTGGGGAGTTTCTGCTGTGCTGGGGTCACAGTTTTTGCCTTTTGGCACATTATGTCATTGTAGTTGTAATTCTTATAATTCATATTTTAGGCTTTGTGGGTAAATATTTAGTACCTAAAAAGTTTAGCATGGGTACTATGAAAAATTTATTTTCTGGCTGGTTGTGGTAGCTCACGCCTGTAATCCCAGTGCTTTGGGAGGCTGACGTGAGAGGATTGATTGAGCCTGGGAGCTCAAGACCAGAGCAACATAGTAAAACCCTGTCTCTACCAAAAAAAAAAAAAAAAAAATTCTTGAAATTAAAAAGACTTGAAGACTAATTTCTGTTTTCAAGTGTCTCCATACCAGTGACATACCGAATTTATATATGGAGTATAAGTTATTTGAAAGTTCAAAGTATTGCTGAGAAAAATACAGTAATGAAATACTACATAAAATAAAAACTGTAAGTGCCAGAGAATTTAATTTCCAAATATTTGGGGATCTCCCAACTATCTTTTTGTTACTGATTTCTACTTTAATTCCATTGTGATCTAAAAGCATGCAGTGTATAATCTCTGGTTTTTTGAGTTTATTAAGGTATGTTTTATGGCCCAGAATTTGGTCTGTCTTGGTGAATGTTCCGTGTGAGCTTCAGAGGAATATGTGTTCTGCCGTTGTTCAGTGAAGTGGTCTTCAGATGCTCATTATGTCCAATTGATTGATGGTGCTCTTGAGTTCTGTCAGTCAGCAACTATGTTTTGACTGATTCTCTGCCTGCTGGATCTGTTCATTTCTGATTGCGTGCCCTTGAAGACTTCCATTGATTCATCGGTTTCTCCTTGCACAGTTCTATCAGCTTTTGCCCTACAAAGTTTGATACTCTGTTATTAGCGGCACACACATTGAGAATTGTTACGTCGTCTTGGAGAATTGACCCTTTTTCATTATGTAATGCTCCTTACTACCACTGGTAACTTCCCTTGCTCTAAAGTCTGCTCTGCCTGAAATTAATATAGCTCCTCTAGCTTTCTTTTGGTTAGTGCTAGCATGGTATATCTTCCTTCATTGCTTACTTTTTGAAAAGATTTATTATAGTAAAATATGCACTAACATAAAATTTACAATCTTAACCATTTTTAAGTGTAGAATTCAGTGGTATTAAATACGTTGATAATGTTGTGCAGCCATCATCCGTCTCCATAACTCTTTTCATCTTGTAAAGCTGGAGGTTTTTACCTGTTAAACAATAACTCCACTTCTCCCAGCCCTGGGCATCCATTATTCTACTTTGTCTCTGTGATTGTGACTACTCTAAGTACCTCATGTACATGGAATTGTACAGTATTTCTCTTTTTGTGACTGGCTTATTTCACTTAGCATAATGTCCTCAGCGTTTATTCATGTTGTCGCATATTGCAGAATCTCCTTCCTTTTTAAGGCTAAATAATACTCATCATATGGCTGTACCCTATTTTGTGTCTCCATCAGTGAACACGTGTTGTTTCCATACATTAGCTACTATGAACAGTGCTGCTGTAAACATGAGTGTACAAATATTTCAGGACCCTGCTTTCAGTTGTTTGGGGTGTGTACCCGGAAGTGGAATTGCTAGATCATATGGTAATTGTATTTTTAATTTTTGGAGGAACTGCCACCGTTTCCTACAGTGGCTGCACCATTTTACATTCCCACCAACAGTGCACAAGGGTTTCAGTTTCTCCACATCCTCATTAACACTTGTTATTTTCTGTTTTGCTTTTTTAATAGTAACCATCCTCAAGGATGTAAGGTGGTATCCCATTGTAGGGCTTTTTGTCTTGTGTAAATGACCACAGATACATTGTAGTTTTGATTTGCATTTCCTTAGTGTTTAGTGATGTTGGGCATCTTTTCATTGTTCATTGACTATTCGTATATCTTCTTTGGAGAAACATCTATTCAAGTCCTTTGCTCGTTTTTGAATCAGGTTTGTTGTTGTTGCATTTTAGTTCTCTTTCTATTCTGGATATTAGTCCTTTATCAGATATATGATTTGCAAGTATTTTCTCCCATTCTGTGGGTTGCCTTTTTACTCTGTCGATAGTGTCTGTTGACGCACAACATTTAAAAATTTTTCAGCCAGGCACGGTGGCTCACGCCTGTAATTCCAGCACTTTGGAAGGCCGAGGCAGGCGGATCACGAGGTCAGGAGGTCGAGACCATCCTGGCTAACACAGTGAAACCCCGTCTCTACTAAAAATAAAAAAATTAGCCGGGTGTGGTGGCGGGCACCTGTAGTCTCAGCTACTCGGGAGGCTGAGGCAGGAAAATGGCGTGAACCCGGAAGGTGGAGCTTGCAGTGAGCCGAGATCACGTCACTGCACTCCAGCTTGGGCGACAGAGCAAGATTCCGTCTCAAAAAAAAAAAAATTTTCATGCAGTCCAATTTGTCTATTCTTTGTTGCCTGTGCCTTTGGCGTTACATCCAATAAATCATTGCCAGATCCAGTGTTGTGAAGCTTTTGCTCTCTGTTCTCTCCTAAGAGTTTTGTTCTTTCCTTACATTTAGGTTGGTAATCCATTTTTTAGTTCATTTTTATATATGGTGTTAGGTAAGGGTCCAACTTCATTCTTTTGCATGTGGATATTCAGTTGTACCAGTACCATTTGTTAAAAAGACTGCCCTTTTCCTGTTGAAGGATCTTGCCATCCTTGTCAAAAATCATTTGACCATATATCTGAAGTTCCAGTTTTGGGCTTTCTGTTCTGTTCCATTGGTCTGTATGTCATGCTGATACCACACAGTTTTGATTGCTATATCTTTGCAGTAAGTTTTGAAATCAGGAAGTGTGAGTCCACCAGGTTTGGTGGGTTTTTTTGTTGTTTTGTTTTGTTTTGTTTTGTTTTTGTTTTTTTTGTAGAGATTGTTTGGGTTGGCCGGGCACGGTGGCTTACACTTGTAATCCCAGCACTTTGGGAGGCTGAGGCGGGCGGATCACGAGGTCAGGAGATCGAGACCATCCTTGGCTAATACAGTGAAACCCTGTCTCTACTAAAAATACAAAAAATTAGCCGGGCGTGGTGGCACGTGCCTGTAGTCCCAGTTACTCGGGAGGCTGAGGCAGGAGAATCACTTGAACCCGGGAGGCGGAGATTGCAGTGAGCCAAGATCGCGCCATTGCACTCCAGCCTGGGCAACAAGAGGGAAACACTGTCTCAAAAAAAAAAAAAAAAAGATTGTTTGGGTTATTCAGGATCCCGTGAGATTCTATATGAATTTAGGGTGGATTTTTCTATTTCTTCAAAATACATCATTGGCATTTTGATGGGGACTGCATAACTGCATTGAATCTGTAGATCACTTTGGGCAGTATGTACATTCTAACAGTATTGTCTTCTAATCAACAAATATGGTATGTGTTTTCATTTATTTATGTTTTTTTAATTTCTTAGAGCAGTGTTTTGTAGTGTGTGTTTGTTTGTTTGTTTGTTTGAGACAGAGTCTCCCTCTGTTACCCAGGCTGGAATGCAGTGGCATGATCCCGCTCACTGCAACCTCCACCTCCTGGTTTCAAACGATTCTCCTGCCTCAGCCTCCCGTACAGGCACGTGCCACCACGCTCAGCTAATTTTTTGTATTTTAATAGAGATGGGGTTTCACTGTGTTAGCCAGGATGGTCCCAATCTCCTGAACTCATGATCTGCCTGCCTTGGCCTCCCAAAGTGGTGGGATTACAGGCGTGAGCCACCGCGCCTGGCCTGTTTTGTAGTTTTTATGATACAACTCTTCCACTTCTTTGGTTAATTCCCGTTGGTGTTTTGTTTTGGTTTTGGTGGTTTTTTTTTTTTTTTTTTTTGAGACAGAATCTCACTTTGTCGCCTACGCTGGAGTGCAGTGGCATGATCTTGGCTCACTGCACCCTCCACCACCCAGGTTCAAGCGATACTCCTGCCTCAGCCTCCTGAGTAGCTGGGATTACAGGCATGCGCCTCCATGCCTGGCTAATTGTTGTATTTTTAGTAGAGACGGGGTTTCACCATGTTGGCCAGGCTGGTCTCGAACTCCTGACCTCAAGTGATCCGCCCGCCTCGGCTTCCCAAAGTGCTGGGATTACAGGCATGAGCCACTGTGCCCAGCCCTAAATTATTATTTTTGATGCTGTCGTGAATGGAATTGTTTTCATAATTTCCTTTTCCAACTGACCATTGTTAGTGTATAGACATGCAGCTGATTTTTGAGTGTTGATTTTGTATCTTCCTACTTTGCTGAATTCATCTATTCTAACAGACTGTTTTTGTGGAATCTTTGGAGTTCTCTACATTGTAAAATCATATCATCTACAAACAGAGATAATTTTACTTCTTCCTTTCCAGTTTAGATGCCTTTTATTTCTTTTTCTTGCCTGTTTGCTCCGGCTGAAATTTCTAATACTGTGTTGAAGAGAAGTGATGAAAGCAGGCATCCTTGCCTTGTTCCTGTTATTTAAGGAAAAGCTTTCATTCGTTCACCATTGTTTGCTGTGGGTTTTTCATATATGGCTTTTATTATGTTTTGGTAGTTTTCCTTCTATTCCTAGTTTGTTGGGTGTTTTTGTAATGAATGGGTGTTGAATTTGTCACATGCTTTTTCTGCACCAGTTGTGATGATCTTTGGCTTTTTCCAGTCTGTTAATGTGGCATATTAACATTGATTACTTTTTATACATAGAATTATCCTTGCATTCTGGGAATGAGTCCCACTTGGTCATGGTGTATGAATCTTTTAATATGCTGCTGAATTCAGGTTGCTAGTATTTTGTTGAGGATGTTTGCATGAATGTTCACAAGCGATACTCGTTTGTAGTTTTCTTTCTTTTTTTTTTTTTTTTTTTTTTTTGAGACAGAGTTTTGCTCATTACCCAGGCTGAGTGCAGTGGTGTGATCTTGGCTCACTGCAACCTCTGCCTCCCGGGTTCATGTGATTCTCCTGCCTCAGCCTCCAGAGTAGCTGGGATTACAGGCATGCACCACGAGGCCCGGCTAATTTTGTATTTTTAGTAGAGACAGGGTTTCTACATGTTGGTCAGCTGGTCTCGAACTCCCGACCTCAGGTGATCCACCCGCCTCGGTCTCCCAAAGTGTTGGGATTACAGGTGTGAGCCACCGCGCCCGACCCTGTAGTTTTTCTTACAGTGTCTTTGGCTTTGGTATGGGGATATGCTCAGGACATGAGTTAGAAAGTGTTCCCTCCTCTTCAGTTTTTTGGAAACTTTGAGAAAGATTGGTATTAATTCTTTAAATATTTGGTAGAATTGACTAGTGAAGCCATCAGGTTTGGGGCTTTTCTTTATTGGGTGATTTTTTTTTTTTTCTTTGAGACGGAGTCTTGCTCTGTCACCCAGGCTGGAATGCAGTGGCACAATCTCCACTCACTGCAACCTCCGCCTCTCAGATTCTAAGCGATTCCCTGGCCTCAGCCTCCAAAGTAACTGGAACTACAGGCACATGCCACCACACCCAGCTAATTTTTGTATTTTTAGTAGAGACGGGGTTTTGCCATGTTGGCCAGGCTGGTCTCAAACTCCTGACCTCAGGTTATCCACCCATCTTGGCCTCCCAGAGTGCTGGGATTACAGGCGTGAGCCACTGCGCCCAGCCTATTGGGTGGTTTTTGATTACCAGTTCAATCTCCTTACTAGTTACAGGTCTGTTCAGACTTTTCTATTTCTTTATGATTTCGTCTTGATAGGTTTTGTGTTTCTAAAAATTTTTTCATTTCATCTGTTTTATCCAGTGTGTTGGTGTACAGTTGTTCGTAATACTTTCTTTTTTCTTTGAAACGGCATCTCACTCTGTCACCCAGGCAGGAGTACAATGACATGATCATAGCTCATTGCAGCCTCAAACTCCTGGGCTCAAGCATTCCTCCTCCCTTGGCCCCCCAATAGCTGGGATTACAGGCATGTGCCACCACTCCCAGCTAATTTTTTTTTTATTGTTTTGGACTCTTCCAGAGAGAAGACAGGGTCTCACTATGTTACCCAGTCTGGACTGAAACTCCTGGGCTAAAGCAGTCCTACTACCTCAGCCTCCCAAAGTGCTGGGATTATAGGCATGAGTTACCAAGCCCAGCCAATACTTACTTACTTTTTTTTTTGAGACGGAGTCTTGCTTTGTCACCTAGGCTGAAGTGCAATGGCACCATCTTGGCTCACTGCAACCTCTGCCTCCCAGGTTCAAGAGATTCTCCTGCCTCAGCCTCCCATATAGTTGGGATTACAGGCGCCCACCACCATGCCCGGCTAATTTTTGTATTTTTGGTAGAGATGGGGTTTCACCATGTTGGTCAGGCTGGTCTCGAACCCCTGACCTCAGGTGATCCACCCACCTGGACCTCCCAAAGTGCTGGGATTACAGGCGTGAGCTACAGCGCCGAGCCCAGCCAGTACTTTCTTATAATACCTTTTATGTTTTTTTCTTAATTTTAATTTAATTTTCTGCTTTTTAGAGATATGCTTGCTCTGTTGCCCAGGCTGGAGTGCAGTAGCACGATCATAGCTCACTGGAGCCTCGAACGCTTGAGCTCAAATGATTCTCCTGTGTTAGCCTCCCAAGTAGCTATGATTACAGGTGTGCGCCACCACTCCCAGCCCCTTTTATTTCTGTGTAATCAATAATAATGTCCCCACTTTCATTTCTGATTATAGTAATTTGAGTCTTTTTTTTTTCTTACTCCATCTCACTAAAGTTTTGTCAGTTTTGTTTCTCTTTTCAAAGAACTATATTTTGGTTTCATTGATTTTTTTTTTCCCCTATTGTTTTTCTATTCTCTATTTCATTGATCATTAATCTCTGCTCTAAATTACCTTTCTTCTGCTAGCTTTGGGTTTAGATTGTTCTTTTTCTAATTCATTAAGATGTGAAGTTAGGGAGGGTTTTTTGTTTCATTTTATTTGTTGTTGTTATTGAGACAAAGCTTACTCAGTTGCCCAGCCTGGAGTGTAGTGGTGCGATCTTGGGTCACTGCAACCTCGACCTCCTGGGCTCAAGCAATCCTCCTGACCCATAGTCTCGTAGCTTGGACTACAGGTGTGTGCCACCATGCCCAGCTATCTATCTGTCTGTCTATGTATTTATTTACGTAGGGACGGAGGTCTCACCATGTTGCCCAGGTTGGTCTCAAACTCCTGGGCTCAAGCAGTCCTCCTGCCTCAGCCTCCCAAGGTGCTGGAATTACAGGCATGAGCCACCACGCCTATCCTAGTTAGGTTGCTGATAGAGATCTTTCTTGTTTTTTGATGTGTTTGTAGCTATACATTTTGCTCTTAGTGCTTGCTTTCACTGCGTCCCGTAAGTTTCAGTATGTTATGTTTTTGTTTTCATTTGTCTCTAAGTATTTTCTGCTTTTCTTTGTAATTTCTTTATTGATCCATTGGTTGTTTCCATCCCTTTACTTTTAACTTCTCAGGGTTTTTTTTTTTTTGGTTTTTTTTTTTTTTTGAGACAGAGTCTTCCTCGGTCGCCCAGGCTGGAGTGCAGTGATGCGATCTCGGCTCACTGCAAGCTCCACCTCCTGAGTTCACACCATTCTCCTGCCTCAGCCTCCCAAGTAGCTGGGACTACAGGTGCCCACCACCATGCCCGGCTAATTTTTTGTATATTTAGTAAAGACAGGGTTTCACCATGTTAGCCAGGATGGTCTCGATCTCCTGACCTTGTGATCCGCCCACCTCAGCCTCGCAAAGTGCTGGGATTACAGGCGCGAGCCACCTTCTCAGGGTTTCATATGTAAAGCAGGTTTCTTGTAGACATGTATAGTTGTGTTTGTTTGTTTTTTTATTTTTAGAGATGGACTCTTGCTATGTTACCCAAGCTGAACTTGAACTCCTAGCCTCAAGCAGTCCTCCCACCTTGGCCTCCTGAGTAGCTGGGACTATAGGCACATGCCACCATGCTTGTTGTTTTTTGATGTACTCTGATAATCTTTGTCTTTTCATTGGTGTATTTGACTATTCACATTTAAAGTGATTTTTTGATGTATTTAGATTAATATCAGCCATGTTTGTAATTGTTTCCTATTCATTATGAGTCTTTTTCTGCCTTCTCTACTTTTAATTAAGCGTTTTATGGTTTTATCTCCTCTGTTAGTATATCAATTTTATTTATCTTTTTTAAAATTTCTGCAGTTGCCCTGGAGTTTACAATATACATTTTGAACTAATCTGAGTCCTTTTTCAACTAACTAATGTAAAAAAGGTAACATTTAACAGATTACTCCCGACCCTTCCCTATTCCCTGTGACATTGCTGTCATTATTTTCACTTATCCACATGTTTATCACCCAGTACAGTGATGATGATTACTTTCAACAGTTATCTTTTAGATGAATAATAATAAGAAGAAGATATTTTACTTTGTCTTTATTCCTTCTCTAGTATTCTTCCTTTCTTTATGTAGATCCACGTTTCTGACCTTCTATCTGAAGGAAATCTTTTGACATTTCTTGCAGGGCAGGTCTGCTGGTGATGAGCTCCCTCAGTTTTTGTTTGTCTGAGGAAGTCTTTATTTCTCCTTCACTTTTGAAGGATAATTTGGCTGGACACATAATTCTAGGTTGGTGGTTTTTTTCTTTGAACACTTTAGAACTGTTTAACTTCCCTCTGTCCTTGCTGGCATGGTTTCTGATTTCTGACAAGATGTCCTCTGGAATTCTTTTCGAATTCTTTTCCCTGTTCTTCTGTAGGTCCACTTGCCCCCACCCAGCTGCTTTCAAGATTTTCTCTTTTTTTTTTTTTTGTTTTTTGTTTTTTGAGACAGAGTCTTGCTCAGCCGCCCAGGCTGGAGTGCAGTGGCGCCATCTCGGCTCTCTGTAACCACTGTCTCCCAGGTTCAAGTGATGCTCCTGTCTCAGCCTCCCAGGTAGCTGGGATTACAGGCTCCCGCCATCATGCCCGGCTAATTTTTGTATTTTAATAGAGATGAGGTTTCACCATGTTGGCCAGGCTGGTCTTGAACCCCTGACCTCAGGTGATCGCCTGCCTTGGCCTCCCATAGTGCTGAGATTACAGGCATGAGCCATGGCACCTGGCCAAGATTTTCTCTTTTTCTTTGGTATTCTGCAGGTTGAATAGAATATGTCTTCATGTAGCTTTGGGGGTATTTATTCCACTTGATGTTCTCTGAATTCTTTGGATCTGTGCTGTCAGTTGTTAATTTGGAGACTTTTTAGCTATTACTACTTCAACTGTTTCTCTAGTCTCTCCTTCCAGCATTCCACTTACCAGGTGTTATATCTTTCGAAACTGTCCCACAGGTTTTGGATGTTTTGTTCTATTGGGGATATTGTTTCTGTTTTTGTTTTTAATTCTTGTTTCTCTTTGCCTTGCAGTATGGGAAGTTTCTGCTGACATATCTTGCAGCTCCCTGACTCTTTCCTTGGCCGTGTCGTCTCCTGATGAGTCCATCACTGATAGTCTTCGTTTCTCTTAGATTGTTTTTATTGCCAGCATTTCTTCCCATCTCTCTGCTCACACGGCCCCCTTGTTCTTGCATGCTGTCTACTTTTTCCATTAGAGCCTTTGGCCTACCAATCATTTTCAATTTCCTGTATGATAATTGCCATCCATGTTATCTCCATGTTCCTGCAACCATTCAGTTGTCTCTCTCAGCCTCTGGTGAGATTGTTGTTAGACCTTCTTCTGTTCTGCATTCCTAACACTCTCTTGCATGTTTCTCATCTCCTTTTCTCCCAGTTCCATGTTCTGAGAACTTTTTTGGGATCAGTCCTCCAGTTAAGTGATTCTGTAGTGGTGCCTAGCCTGCCACTTAAGTCCTGATTCTGACTATATTTATTATTTATAAGTTTTAATTTACTTTTTTTTTCCAAAGATACTTAGTAGCTCTTTATATTCTCTTGTTCCTTGTTTTTTTTTTCTTTCTTTAAGCATTTCACACATAGTTACTCTGTGTTTGAATGAAACCTTGAGCATCCAGATTCGTTTTCTGCTGATATCACCTGTGATGTATTATTTCCTTTTGCGGATGGAGTATATTAGGAGGTTATGTTTTGCTCAGCTTACTCTGTGAGAACCACAGCCCTCCATAGTGGATGCTTCCCTGTGAGGGTTGGCGTCTGCTGATGCGAGAGCTGCCTGAGACCTGGGCTCCTCTTGAGGGCCTCCAGACTGCTGCCCCCACACGTCACTGTGGCGATGGTGTACGGCTGTTCCTTCCCCTCACCTCCACCTCGCTTCTCTCATGACCTCCTGATACTTCTTTTCATCCTTTGCCTTTGTCGATAGCAGTTGGTTACCAAAGTGTTCAGTGTCATTTCTCTCAGATCTAGAGCTAAGTAGCCCCTCTTACCTAGCAAGGCCCAGACCAGGGGGGAAGAACGGCCTTCAAGAGAAGAGCAAAGCCGAGCAGGTGCGGCTGCATTTTGCTGCTCCTTCCACGTGGCCTAGGAGTAGGAAGTTAACGACTACAGGGCCTGAATCTATACCGGAACCCAAGGCATGTGACTTTGAATCCTGGGTCTTTTTCATCCAACACGGAGGATGTACTGTGAAACAGTTGGTGTACTAAGAAACGGCCTAGAAGTGAAGACAGGGATGTCTCTAAGTCTCCACTGAGAACTTTGCAGTGGAGCATTTGCAGTGGCCACTGGGTTCTGGCCCTCAGGAGTTCAGTGTATCAAGTGGAGCCTGGTGACGTGGTGTAAGGGGAGGACCGGGTGCCAAGTAGCCTTGGTCCCTTGTTAGCTTCGAGGGCCAGGGTGTATCTTTACACTCCCTCTCTGGGTTACTTTGAGACTTAAGTAAAACCACTGGAAACGCATTTAATACAGTTAAAATATGATTCAGTTAAATATAGTTTAAAGTATAAGTGCAGATTTAGATTGGGCAGGTAAAGCTATGTGGATAATAGGGTCATAAATAGGTTGCAATATGGGGATCACATTGTGATCTTCGACCTGCATGTTCTTTTAGAGCTGAGATTCAGCTCTTCCAGCCTGAAAACTGGCACAGCCAAAGCAAAGATGGTCCTTCGCCTCTTTACCAATCTCTGGGAGAAATACCAAAAAACCTGTTAAGCAGAAATACAGAGAGTCTGTCATCTTAACCTTTTCGTTACTGGGGATACAACTGGAACTCATTTTTGCTCGGATGCTTAGTGTTGGGAACCTCTCACGTGTGGGCCTCATGACTCAGTCTGCGGCTCTTGCTCCTCATGTCTTGCACCCATGTTCCATGTCCGAGTGGGTGTGGGTGGTAGAGGACAGGCGAGTCACCTAGCTCCTGGATAAACTCAGTGTGTGCGCAGTGGAAAGCAGTTTGTTGTGTTTGCATATTTGTGTCAGAGCTTTCATTTAAAGCAACAGTTTTCCTTTTCTATGGATTACTTCTTTTGTCTCAAAGTGGATAAAAATGCAAAACTTCTGCTAGTTGAAGCTTTGTGGGTTTGTATAACGAGTGAAATTGGTGTTCTGATTCAATAGCGTAGTCCACGTTCTGAGAGAGTTACTTTACAGTTATATCATTGGTGGACTTATAAAGTCATGGTCCAAAAATGGTCTAGGTGACAGACACCTATTTTTTCCTGAAAGAAATCCATAAGCTATTGAGGTCAGTAGGCATCTTCTGCAAAAGCATTAAAGAAAATACAACTTTTTTTGTTACTGATCCCTGTTACTTTTGTCCCTACAACTGGGCTTCCGTTTTTGAGTGTGTGGGGTTCTGAATAGTGTGTAAATCAAATGCGTAGAATCATTGCCGTATGTTTCCAATATTACAGTTATATAGATGCATTCCCTTATTCCTCTAAGCTAGACACTGTTCAGCAAACACTTATTGAACACCCAATATGTGCCAGGCCCTGTGCTAGACTCTAGGAAGACAAAAATCGGTTAGTCTTGGCCCCTCTTTTCAAAGAGTTCACAGTCTAAAGAGAAGACAAAAACATAATCAAAATATCAAAATGTTGTGACTTACAGATGCTAGGCAGAAAAGTAACACCGAAGAGAGAAAATTTTAAATGAGCCCACGGGTGGTTTTGCAGAGGAGGTGATGCTGATGAAATAGGGTTTTGAAGCATAAGCAAGAGCTCTCTGAACACACATGGGTGGTGGAGCCCAGGCTCTCAGCCAGGCTTTTCAAACCTGAAACCAAACAACTCATGGTCGTGTCTTGAGGAGTCCAGGAGGCACTTAACGTAGCTTCAGAGCCCTGAGAGTGCTTCTAGTCATGGTTTACCAGCTGGGCCGGCACAATGGGACTGCTGCTCAAAGCTAGCAGTTTGGCATCTGTCACGGGCTTCTGCCTTTTACAAGAAGGTCCTCAAGACCAAGAAGTCTTCTACTTGTTACTTTTTGTCAATTACTTCTCAGCAAAGCAGCTCTTAGCTTATCGCTGCTTTGTAGAAATGGGTATCTATTGAAATACGTTTTTTTATTTTCCTGGCTCTTGTCCCATGGGGCTCCCTTACCAAAACAATGACTTCAGGCCCTTTACTGTATCCTGGGTGGCCCGTCTGGACCTGTTTATTCCTGCTGTTGAGTCCTGAGTGTCTGCTCTACCCTCCTCTCCCCCTTTGCCTTCCTGGGCCTGTTCCAGGTCAGTGGACTCGCTGAGCTGTCCAGCAGCCCAGAGGGGAGTGCTTCCTCTCTGCTCCGAAGCACTGTGGAAGAAGGGCAAGGTGGAAAGGTTTGGTCGGTTGGTCAGGTGTTTTGTGTCCAGGGACTCTATGTCTATATAAGTAGTCTCTATATAGTAGTCTCTAAGACTATTGTCCTAGAAAATCAAAGCAGTGCACCATCACACTCACTGAATACTTACTATGGGCCAGGCAGTGTGCTCAACTCTTACCATACCCCTGGAGGTAGGTATTTCCAGATTACAGATGAGAAAACTAAAGCACAAAAAGATTGAGTGATTTGCCTGAGGTCACACAGCTAGCAAAAGGGAGAGCTGGCATCCGAGCTCGCCAGACTCCAGAGCCCAAAGGCCAAGACGTGGGACTAGAGTTCAGATCTAGCTGTCACCTGACCGTGCCTCCTCATAGTGGAGCCAGCAGTGGTAGCTCCTGGACTAGATGTGCAGTCCCAGCTTTCATCTTGATAGCTCCAGAATTCCTCCTTTCCTTGCCACCTTCACTGCCATTGCTTCATCCTTTCTCATCCCCTGACTAACCTACTCGTCCTCCTTCCGCCTTCTGGTTCATCCACAGCATTGCCACAAATTGATCTTTCCACAAAGCTGACCAAATCATCTCACTCTGCTGTTTAAATCCCTCTGTGACTCCCCAGCCCCTTCAGAACAAAGTGGTACAAAGTTGTCTTTGGCCTGGCTGCTGCCCACACTCAACCTGGAGCCTGTCAGGGTGTAGCACTGTCATCCCTGTACGTGCGCCATCCCTTTGCTCCTAACCTCTTCCTGTCCTCCCTCTGCCCCAGCCAGGCCAGCAGGATTCTGCCGAACCATCGCCCATTCTTAAGAACCCTCCAGGGAACCCTCCCACTTGAGTTTAAAGAATTCACTACTCATTTCTGCATCCCAGAGGATGTGATGACCAGGTTGCCCATAACTGGGCACTTCTCCTCTCCAGCAGACAGAAGTCCTGCTGAGGGAGAACCGTATGTCTGCCCAGCATTAGCAAGGACTGGGGGAGAAGGGCCAGGACCCAGATGTCCCACCTCATCCTAGAGCGCATATAATTTGGGGAAAGGCAGACATCAAACCAACAGGCTACAAGTAGGTCTCGAATTATAACTGTGGTAAGTGCTAAGAGGGAAAATGACGGATTTTAGTGTGTTCAGTGGGAAGGCTCGCCTTGGTCTTGGGTGTTGGTTCCTGGGAGGTGACAGCAAAGGCAACGCCGGCTTCTCTGAGGAAGCGATCTTTAGGCCGAGGCCTGCAGGATGAGTGCGAGTGTGGTAGCGAGCTGAGGCTTGCACATTCTAGAGCATGGACACAGCACAAGCAGAACTTAGGGCCAAGAAGGTGAATAGGCGTGTGCCGGCCAAGGGGAGGCCTGTGTGTCCAGGGCTTTGGTGAGCAGGAAGGGTGGAGGTGGTGGGCCCAGCTCCCTTGGAACTTTGCAGGCCAGAGCCTTGGGAAGCCATTGCTGCATCCTGAGCAGGGGAGTGACATGCTCGAATTTACATTCAACAAAGATCACTCTGGCTGTAGTGGGGAGAAGGACTGGGAAGAGTTCGTGGTGCAAATGTGCAGGCTGTTGCACTGCGCCACTGTGAGAACATGGTGCTCAGGATCTCCTAAGGAGGTCAGCAGCCAGGGCCTGTTGCCTGGATAGTGGCTGAGGCAGAGGGAGGACCCAAGGGGGCCCCAGCCTGTGCAGGAGCAGCCAGATGGCTAGTGGCTCAATAAATGCATGGATGTTGGCTAGCCAGCTGGCCAGACCCTGCTCACCTTCCCTTGGTGCCTTCAACAATGGTCTGCCCCACAGGGCCCAGGGCGGGGCTTGCCAATGAGGCAGCTCCTTTGAGAACGCCCTGGTCTTTAGAGCACAGTATACAAATTTCTCTAGGTCATTAGATTTGTGCTGTACCTTGCCTGGGTATAAGAGGTCAGTGTAAGGGTTTTATCCATTTTCATCAGTGATTCCAAAGTTGACTTATTAGTGATGATCATTAAAATGCTTGCTGAGATTAAGCCGTAGAAACAGATCTTACGACGCACATGGCACACTCACATGTGACCCAGTAGGAATGTGAGAAGTTACTGAGTTGTCTAAAGTTTGTTCAGATATACTCCTCAAGGCATCGGTTGCTTTTCATATCTACATCTGGTTGAAATTTGACCTGTCGTGTACAGTCTCATAAATCAAGTCCATGTTTTGTGAGATGTGCTCCCCCTGGGCTGAGCTCAGCTCATGGCGAGCACATCCCATGAGGCTCATAATGAATTGTCTGTCTGTAGTTTAACTACTTACCTAGGTAAACAGAATATTAATTTTGATATGTGATTAGAAAATTTTTTTTTGTAGGCTTTACCGCCAGCACCTGTTCAGAATCACACAAATAAGCATCAGGTATTCAATGCATCTCTTCAAGACCATATTTATCCGAGCTGTTTTGGGAATACTCCAGAGTGGAATAGTTCTAAATTTATAAGTCTTTGGGGATCAGAAGTGATGAATGATAAGAACTGGAATCCTGGCACTTTCTTGCCAGATACAATTTCTGGTAAGGAATTTGTTAAAACTTTCTTGAAGTTTTAAAATAACCTGAGTAGACTGACATCTTTGCCGTAGTCTCCCGTGGAAGCCCTGGCGCAGCTGTAGCCAGCTGCTGCTCCACCACCTCTGTCTCCAGTGGGAGGCCCCTCGGGGCTGTCATCCTACTCCATCCTCTCGCATCTGCCACCAGTCGGTCCCACTGTGTGACAGAGCGGAGCAAGACTCTGGCTCCATGGCTGCCCGTCAGCCCGGTGAGCCACATGGGCGTGGCCTCAGCGCTGCTGAGGGTCTCGTGACCACGGTCGGGTGCCCGGCCTTCAATTCTCGAGCAGTGGTGACAGCCAGACCTCAGCCCCCCCGGTGCACAGGGGCAGGAAGAAAGTGCCACAGTTGACTTAAATCTGTGACTCACACTCCTTCCTCTGGTTACTGCATTGGCGCCACGTGGCATCTCTCCCCTTTACTAGCTCCTTACTCCCCAGCTGCCTCAGCCACTGAGGCCCAGCCGTTACTTCAGTCACAGGGTCAGGGGCACCTGAAAAGGGGCTGGTACCTACTCCTCATCTCTGTCTTCCTGCGGCCAGAGCTCCTGGCAGCCCCACACCCAGCCCCTGCATGTGCCAGAACAGCAGGCTAGACTTGACATCCTGATCTGTGCTTAGGAAGGATTTCTAGCTGTGTGACCTTGGGCAAGTTGCTTGGCCTCTCTGAGCCTCAGTTTCTTCATCTTCTTAGGATGGGAGTAATAGTACCAACCTCAGAAAGTAATTTTAAGACTTTACGTAACTTTGGAAAGCACCTAGCACAGGAATTGGCACATAGTAGGTGCTCAATACAATTTTTTCTTAGATTAAAAGCTAGTTGACTTAGTGTCATCCCAGTGGGATCCTGACTTCAGTAGCACCCCCAGTATCAAGTGTTCAGTCATCAGCATGTCTTTTAGGGTTTAGCTAAGTATGATTGCTGTCAGAAGCCTTAATTTTCCTGTTCTTCTTTGAAGGGAGTGAAATATTAGGGCCAACACTCTCAGAAACAAGACCGGAAGCCCTTCCACCTCCATCTAGCAATGAAACACCTGCAGTCTCGGATAGTAAAGAGAAAAAGAATGCTGCAAAAAAGAAATGTTTATACAATTTCCAAGATGCTTTCATGGAAGCAAATAAAGTTGTCATGGCCACGTCATCAGCCACGTCCTCTGTGTCCTGCACAGCTACCACAGTGCAGTCCAGCAACAGCCAGTTCAGAGTGTCATCCAAGAGACCTCCTTCAGTAGGTAAGGCTTGAAGGCTCACTGGCCCTCGGGGTCTGCAGGAAGGCTGGGCTTACTGACTTCTCGTCTTTGTAACTCATCTTTGTAACTGCCTTTTACTTGGCCTAGCCAGAGGCGTAAGTGTAATTAACTGCCCAAAAATGCTCACACACAGAGAGCTGATCCCCTAGGACTTTGATTAGAATTTTAGCTGTTGTGCTAGATTCCTCTGGGGCTTCGCTGCACTGTCTTGCTTTTGTCTCTGTTTCTGTTCTTCTGTGATTTGAGTTAGGGTCTCACTCTTGTTCGCCCAGGCTGGAGTGCAGCAGTGCAGTCTCAGCTCATTACAGCCTCTGCCTCTTGGGTTCAAGCGATTCTCCTACCTCAGCCTCCCAAGTAGCTGGGACTATAGGTGCCCACCACCACGCACGGCTAATTTCTGTATTTTTTGGTAGAGACGGGGTTTCACCATTTTGGCCAGGCTAGGAGGTCATTGCTTTCTGAGCATGTGGCAAGATTTCTCAGAAGCTGCTTTAGGAAAATGCTGAGCAGATGTGAGCTGACAGGGCTGCCTGTCACCCAGCCTAGGGTACAGCCCCTGGCTGTCACTTAGGGGGCCCAAAAGCAATAATGTGATCAGAGACCAATGGCAACTCAGTAGCTGGCTCGAGGAGGCCTCACTAGCCAAAGCTGGGACAGATTGAGCATTAAAAGGAATGAGGAGGCTGAGTGTGGTAGCTCCCAGCACTTTGGGAGGCTGAGAGGGGAGGGTTGCTTAAGCCTGGGAGTTTGAGACTAGCCTGGGCAACATAGTGAGACCCCGTCTCTAAAAAAAAAAAAAAAGTTAAAAAAACAGGAAGTTTGACTATAGCATACAAATAAAGTCAAGAATCCATAAGGATTGGGATGCTCAAACAGAGCAGTAGGGTGGGAAGCTCCTTCTTCTAAAAGCACACCTCCTCTAAATGTGTAAGAAGGATAAGAGTGGCAAGTCAGCATGCTGCACCCCCAGGGTAACAGCTGGTGCAAGTATGCAGCATTCATGGAGGTTAACAAGGGATATCAGTTTGGGGAATGGAGTATTTCTACTGTTCAAAAGCAGCACCCATAGGGTACTGACAGATTACAGCAGGATGATGGGCGCTTGTGTTAATCAATTCTCACACTGCTATGAAGAAATACCCAAGACTGGATGATTTATAAAGGAAAGAGTTTTAATTGAGTCACAGTTCCACATGGCTAGGGAGGCTTCAGGAAATTTACAATCATGGTGGAAAGCACCTCTTCACGGGGGAGAGAACGAGTACACGGCGAAGGGGGAAGCCCCTTATAAAACCATCAGCTCTCGTGAGAACTCACTCACTATCACTAGAACAGCATGGGGGAAACCATCCCCACGCTTCAGTTGTTTCCACTGGGTCCCTTCCACCACATGGGGGGATTATGGGAACAAAATTCAAGATGAGATTTGTGTGGGGACACAACCAAACCCTATCACTGGGTACCGACAGATTACAAAGGAATGGTGGGTGCCAGACTCTGGAGGAACCTAGCAGACAGTGCCATGCACACCACCATGAAACAGAGAGACACTGGGTGCATCCCATTGCCACAAACTCAGAAGGATCCAACGTAATATTTGCAGGATTTGTGCCCAGAACATTTTATCCAAATCTACCAAGACAAGACAAATCCAAATTGGCAGACAGGTAGCCTATTAAAAATGTTAAGTCTTGTGAAAAGAGAAAAGGGTTGGAAGAGGCTGGGTTAGTGGGAAAGCTATAATGGACATGTGAAGGAAATTGGAAAATGGAATATGGGTTATACCTTAGATGAGAGTATCCTGTCAGTGTTAAATGCCAGTGAGGTGATCATGGTATTCAGCAAAATGTCAAAAAAAGAGAGAGGGAGGGAGGGAGGGAAAGAAAGAAAAGAAAAGAGAGGAGAGAGAAGGGAGGAAATTTTTAAGTAAAAAGCTCGGTACAGTGGCTCACACCTGTAGTCCCAGCACTTTAGGTGGCCCTGGTGAGAGGATTGCTTGAGCCCAGGGGTTCAGGACCAGCCTGGACAACATAGTGAGACACTGTCTCTTAGAAAAAGGTGATTTTTTTTTTTTCTTTGAGACGGAGTCTTGCTCCGTCACCCAGGCTGCTGGAGTGCAGTGGTGCGATCTGTGATCCTCCTGCATCAGCCTCCCGCGTAGCTGGGACTACAGGTATGTGCCACCACGCCCAGCTAATTTTTTGTATTTCTAGTAGAGATGCGGTTTCACTGTGTTAGTCAGGCTGGTCTCGATCTCCTGACCTCATGATCCACCAGCCTCGGCCTCCCAAAGTGCTGGGATTACAGGCATGAGCCACCACGCCCGGCCAAGAAATTTTTTTTAAAAAACCAAACTGTCGATGTTCTGAGGAGTTCATACCGAAGTGTTCAGAGGTGAGTGTAACTTGCAGACGTTCGGCTAAAAAGTGTGTGTGCCTGTAAGAAATAAAGTTTATAAATATGACAGAATATTAGGTCGTGAAGATGAAGCAAGGTGAAGGATGAATGGGTACTCTTTGTGTGTTCTTTCAGATTTTCTACAGGTTTGAACATTTTTGAAACAAACTTGGCAGTGACTCTCGCCTCTCTAAATGCAGGTGACGTGTTTCATGGCATCAGCAAGGAGGACCACAGACACTCGGCCCCAGCCGCCCCGAGGAATAGCCCCACGGGCTTGGCCCCCCTCCCAGCGCTCTCGCCTGCTGCGCTGTCACCTGCTGCGCTCTCACCTGCCTCCACACCTCACCTTGCAAATCTTGCAGCCCCATCATTCCCCAAAACAGCAACCACAACTCCTGGGTTTGTGGACACACGCAAGAGTTTCTGTCCTGCACCCCTACCCCCGGCCACAGATGGCTCCATTAGCGCCCCTCCAAGTGTCTGCAGGTGAGCCAAGTCCTGACTGGGGACGTGGGAGCACTTTGGAAAATGGGTGTTATGCCTCACTAACACAGCTACAGAAACTCCCCTGGGACCATGCAGTGGAAAAGTCTAGTGAAATGCCGAGGGAATGCAGGGATGTCCCCAGCAGAGGCCATGGGTAGAGGGGGGCTCCCATCTCAGCCTGTAGTTTTGCAGAGGGAAGAGCAGGGGCCGTGGGCCGCCATGGATAGGTGGGCCAACTACGCCTAAACACTGACAGCATCGGGGGTGTGCATTGTTTTTTACTCATTGTATAAGTTGTATTTGTTATACCTAGGGTGGAATCAGAGGAAAATGAATGAAATGTGTATATAGTAAAAACACAATACAACAAACACTCAACAGGTGTGTTTTTTTGTTTTTTGTTTTTTTTCTCTGAGACAGAGTCTCACTCTGTCGCCCAGGCTGAAGTGCAGTAGTGCGATCTCAGCTCACTGCAACCTCCACCTCCTGGGTTCAAGCGATTCTTCTGCCTCAGCCTCCCAAGTAGTGAGACTACAGGCATACGCCACCATGCCTGGCTAATTTTTGTATTTTTAGTAGAGATGGGGTTTCACCATGTTGGCCAGGCTGATCTCGAACTCCTGACCTCAAGATCCACCTTCCTTGGCCTCCCAGAGTGCTGGGAGTACAGACGTGAGCCACTGCACCTGGCCAGACTTTCTTTTTAAGACAAATTCTGTTACCTTTGAACTCGCCTGTTTGAAGCTATACCCCTTTTCGAAGCCCCTTAGTATGGAAGCTGTGGTGGCAGGGGCAGTCTCAGAAGGAGTCATTGGAGAGACTACGTGTTCCTGTTCAGTGGCGCTCTGTGAGCACTTTGAGGGACCGCCTGCATGCATGCGCACACGCCATGTCTCCCACGTGAGCCCCTTGCTGCTTGTGTATGACTCCCTAGTAACCCTGGGACTATGCACCCTCTGCGCTGCCTCTTGTCTGTGAAATGGGCAGGACAGTGGGTGGTCATGTGCAACAATGTGAGTCATTGCCTCCCGGGCCGGCCACTTGCTGATGAGCTTGTATGCGGTTTTGCAGTGACCCTGACTGCGAAGGGCACCGCTGCGAGAATGGTGTCTACGACCCACAGCAGGATGATGGGGACGAGAGTGCAGATGAGGACAGCTGCTCTGAGCACAGCTCCAGCACCTCGACCTCCACCAACCAGAAGGAGGGCAAGTACTGCGACTGCTGCTACTGCGAATTCTTTGGGCACGGCGGGGTGAGTGCATGAGGTCAGCGCATCATGATGTGGGAAGTGTGCAACACACGGGCTCCTTTGCAGAAATTCTGTACTAGGTTGAATTCGGGGTATATTCCACTTCTAGGGTATATCCATTGTAAAGAAACAAAGAAAAATATATGCCCAAAGATTTAGCCATAATGATTTTTTTTCTTCATTTTTTACTTTGTGGTTTTTAAGGTAACTGGTAAATCAGCAGTGAGGTATTCCTACTGAATACCCATTGGTAGGAGGTTGTTAACCATGGTGTATCCATATGGTGGAACATTGTAGCCAGCGACAGCAGCGTTGTGTGTGTGCAGTTGGGTTTCTCTTGTTTGAATACAGAGGGCGTTGGTACACACACATACTTGTCCATCTTTCCAGAGCTGTGATTTAATTTATACAACCAATTATCACCCACTGTTTAAGAGGGATGGGTGACAGGAATAGCAGGGGCTTATAGTTGTTCTTTTTCTGCTTTAGCTCTGTTTGCATTTCCTAAAATGTTCACATGTTTTTATAGCAAGAAATTTGGCAGTAGGATTCAGGGCTTTTTTTGGCACCAAAAAGGAAACCCACAAATGGATGGAAAGATACTACAGACACATTTATTGACATGAAAAGATATTCACACCATGTTAAATAACAGGTAGAGGCCAAGCATAGTGGCTTATGCCTGTAATAGCAGCACTTTGGGAGGCTAAGGGAGGATCTCTTGAGCCCAGGAATTGAAGACCAGCTTGGGCGACACAGGAGACCCTGTCTCTACAAAAGATAAAGAAAATTAGCTGAGTGTGACAGCACACCCCTGCTTGAGCTCAGGAGGTCAAGGCTGCAGTGAGCTATGATCGCACCACTGCACTCCAACCTGGGTGACAGAGCAAGACCTTGTCTCAAAAATAAATAAATAAATAAATAAATAAAATACATTAATCAGGATTTGTAATTGTTTCCTTTTCAGTTTAAAAAATCCACTTATGTGCATAGCTATACATGCTTTATCAGGTTTTTCATGAATATGTAAAATTTGAGAGTAGGTATCAAAATGCCACTTTTGGGTGACTTGCTGATAGGTTTTTCTCTTTTTCTGCTGGTTGTTGTATTTCCTTATTTTTCACAACAAATATATACTACTTGAGTAATAAAACAGTTTATTTTTGGAGGTGTGGTCTGAAATTTATTATATTCAAAATTTTTAAAACTTAAGCATAACTTTGTTGTTTTTCTCAGCCTCCAGCTGCACCAACAAGTAGAAATTATGCAGAAATGAGGGAAAAGCTTCGCTTACGGCTGACCAAGAGGAAAGAGGAGCAACCTAAAAAAATGGACCAGATCTCAGAAAGGGAAAGCGTCGTTGACCATCGGAGGGTGGAGGATTTGTTGCAGTTTATAAATAGCTCCGAAACCAAACCAGTGAGCAGCACGCGTGCAGCGAAGCGAGCAAGGCATAAGCAAAGGAAGGCAAGTGACAGTTCTCAGCACCTGGAGGCGCCAGGTCTGAGGGCATTTGAAGGTGCCGTGCCACGCCAGTCTCTAGGCAGGGCTGAGCCACAGGAGGTCGGGGCTCTGACGTGTGTTCACTTGCCCACAACTTTGTTCTGAGAGCCAGCCTGTCTCTGGTGGCCTGAACTGGAGACTGGTAAAAAACTTAACTTTGTGTTTTCGGGAAATTACTTCCCCTTTTGTAGAATGGGTTTGTTCTTGTGCTGGCCATCATGAGGGCAGCAGCAGACACTCCAGCTTTATCTGCTGGAGAACCTTCTTTTCGAAGAAAGGAGCCGTCAACTGTAGAGATGATAGAAGAAAGGCCCAGGTGGGCTTTTGGGGCCTGTGGGTTCAGAAGTGTCTTTGATATGAGACTGGGGCGGGGCACTTGGCACAGGGAAGTCTTCTGGACTCAGGTCTGAGCATGTCCCCCATGCTGCTCTTGTCCCACTGCTGTTCCAGATGAAGACCAGCACATGGCATTGATTAGAGGGGAGGAAAATAAGTCTTCATGGGAAGACATGAGCAGTTCCCTCCTTACCAGAGGGCATGGTGTGTCACAAAAAGCAAATGTCAAATACAAAAAACGTTAGCCAGTCATGGTGGTGTACGCCTGTAGTCCCAGCTACTCAGGAGGCTCAGGTGGGAGGATCACTTGAACCTCAGAGGTGGAGGTTGCAGTGAGCCGAGATTATGCCACTGCCCTCCAGCCTGGGTGACAGAGTGAGACTGTCTCAAAAAAAAAGACAACTTTTTTCTCTTGGAGGATTGTCTAAATGCCCCTATGCTGGAGCAGTTCCAAAGAGCCTTCTGGTTTCAGCTCCCTAAAAGTGTCAGGCTCCAAGAACCAGACCTCAGTGAGCAGATGTGGGCTGCATGCAGAGGGAACTTGTAGGTTCCTGGGGTTCTGACAGTAGGACAGTGGTCTTGGGAAGAGGCCAGGTTTCTGTCTGCAGCATGGTCAGGCAAAAAGGTGAGGAAGAGGACGATCCCACAGTGGACCAGAGGGTGGGCCCGATGTCCTGTGTTGTTACTTGTATCTTAGCTGTTGTGATTGTTCTACCCTCAAGAGCTCTGCTCATACCTCGCAGTCCTACAGTAGATTTAGACTGACTATTGGGCCTGATTGGGAGGCTTTGGGGGAGAAGCCTTGTCCCGTGCCCCAGAAGACTAGAGACTGCTGGAGTGCAGAGAACACAGTGTGTCCTCCATTCAGGAGCGTCCAGCATCGGGGTACCCACGATGGTCCAAGGCCCTGAGACGTCCCATTGGGATTCACTGGAGGCCTCTGGGACGCCTTCCTGAGTTTTCAGGGTACTCTCCACCCCAGGCTCTTGCCCTCTGACCTTGCAGGTGGTCTGAATCCAGACTTGAGGCCCAGCTGAACCTTAGAGGCTGATGTCATAGGCCCTGCCCAGCACCCAGTCCCACCTCGAGGGACCACCTCCTGGTGCTTTCTACGCTGCACCCATTTTACAGAGCAGCTCACAGATGTGTGTTGAGGCTCACTGGCTGGCTGGTTGTTGAAGGGACAGCAATAGTTGACCTATGGACTCTGTCCCGTAGCAGGTCCAAACCGGGGGCCTGTGCTGGGGCAGCCGTTCTGCTGGAGACCAGGGCACCTGCCTTTACATGCTTGTTATTTGTCCATATATTGACAAGGCACGTGTGCTGGATTTAGATCAGCTCTGAGAGGATGCCAACTGGCCAGTGTGTGCCAGCGAGTGTCCTGATGGAGTTGGTCTCTCCTCTGCTCCCGTGCAGGCCCACAGCTCACTCTAGACACTGGACTGCAGGACCCATCCACGAGGTGGCTGCTGGGTGCTGCTCCTGACATACACATGGAGAAGGATGTTAAATAATTTTTACTTGAATTGTCAAATGAAATTTTTAATAACATACCATTGTTAAATTTTTATCATAATTTTTAAGTTTTTCAAAAGACAAGTCAATTTGCCTGTTTAAAATATTGTGAAAAATAATTTACACTTGGGGAGTACTTTTCTATTTCTCTAGGAGAAATGCTTTTGGCAGAGTTTCTCATAAGCCCCAGCATTTCTAAAGGTTGGTGGTGGGTGGAGCCGTGCTCCTAACACTGATGACTCTCATCTGCTTTCTGAACACAAAGAACAGTTTCCATTTGTGCCCCTGGAGTTTGTGTGCATCACTACTCAAATGCTGTCTTTACTTGGGATGAAAATTAATTTTCCATCAAGTTGGACAGTGAGTCATTTGCTCTGTCACATCTGTCACACTAGTGAAAATATATGGCACTTCTGTTTATCTGCTAGGGTGGGAAGAAGGAATTTCTAGTTCTTTACTACACATTGCTTTTTGTGGTGCCATCACAGCTCATTGCAGCCTCAACCTCCTGGCTTCAAGCGATTCTCAAACCTCAGCTTCCCAAATAGCTGGGACCACAGTCGTGCGCCCTCACATCCAGCTAATTTTGATACTTTTTGTAGAGACGGGGTTTTGCCATGTTGCCCAGGCTGCTCTTGAACTCCTAGGATCACAGGTGTGAGCCACTGCACCAGCCTGGTACACATTTCTTACATTCCCTGTTCAAGTGAATGCATTAGCCTTCGCCTGGAAAGGTGGGTTTGCTCAGAGTTCTGGCGGCACGTGTACAGCCTCAGTACTGCCCGGGCAGTCTGTGGTATTGGTTACATCATCCACTCGGCCAGGCGGCATGATGCCCTGCCGCACCTGTGAGGGGGTAGCTGACTCCCTGGATGTGTGCTTTGCAGCTGCTTTGTCCTTGGTTACTGTGTTTAGTACCAGGTCAAAGGCTATCGGGAATTTTTTGTTAACTACCACCCCCCCCCCCACACACACACACACAAATAAGTAAGCATATACTTTAGTAAATAGATGAAGTTTAACAATCCTGCAGAGTAAGAGAATTGGAGGTGGGTGTGTGTTAAGTTTTGATTTATTACAGCCTCTTCAGAGTTTATGTTCCATATGTGATTCGTTTTTGAAATTATCTTAGTTTTTCTGTATGACTTAATTTTTAGCACTCACTGTAGTCTTAAATTGCCTTCTTTTTGCATTGGCAGCTGGAGGAGAAAGCTCGCCTAGAAGCAGAGGCCAGGGCCCGGGAGCACCTGCACCTCCAGGAGGAGCAGAGGCGGCGGGAGGAGGAGGAGGATGAGGAAGAAGAGGAGGATCGTTTCAAGGAGGAATTTCAGCGGCTTCAGGAGCTTCAGAAGCTAAGAGCTGTAAAAAAGAAGAAGAAGGAGAGGCCAAGTAAAGACTGCCCCAAGTTGGACATGCTCACTAGAAATTTCCAGGCAGCAACAGAGTCTGTTCCTAACTCTGGAAACATCCACAATGGCTCACTAGAGCAAACTGAAGAACCAGAAACCTCTTCTCACTCCCCATCCAGGCATATGAACCACTCAGAGCCCAGGCCAGGGCTAGGGGCTGATGGGGATGCTGCAGACCCCGTCGACACCAGAGACTCCAAATTTCTCCTCCCCAAGGAGGTGAATGGGAAGCAGCATGAGCCACTCTCTTTTTTCTTCGACATCATGCAGCACCATAAAGAAGGAAATGGCAAGCAGAAGCTGAGGCAGACCAGCAAGGCCAGCAGCGAGCCAGCGAGGAGGCCCACAGAGCCCCCCAAGGCCACAGAGGGGCAGTCCAAGCCCCGGGCCCAGACTGAGTCAAAGGCTAAGGTGGTCGACCTCATGTCCATCACAGAGCAGAAAAGAGAGGAGAGAAAAGTCAACAGTAATAACAATAACAAAAAGCAGCTGAACCACATCAAGGACGAAAAGTCAAACCCAACCCCTATGGAGCCCACCTCTCCCGGTGAGCATCAGCAGAACAGCAAGCTGGTGCTGGCAGAGTCCCCTCAGCCAAAGGGCAAGAACAAGAAAAATAAGAAGAAGAAAGGAGACAGAGTCAACAATTCAATTGGTAAATACAGAATAGCGGGAAGGTATTTCTGAGCGATGCCTGGTTTTCCATGTGTGATGTGCTAGTATAGGAAAACACTGGGTTTGGCATGCTCTCGCCATGTGGCCTCCCTCCTGTAGAAAAGAGCGTAGAGGGGCCAGGCATGGTGGCTCACACCTGTAATCCCAGCACTTTGTGAGGCCAGGGTGGGCAGATCACCAGAGGTTAAGAGTTCGAGACCAGCTTGGCCAACATGCTGAAACCCTGTCTCTACTAAAAATAACAAAAAAAAATTAGCTGGGCTTGGTGGTGCACCTGTAATCCTAGCTACTCGGGGAGGCTGAGGCAGGAGAATCGCTTGAACCCAGGAGGCAGAGATTGCAGTGAGCCAAGATCATGCCGTTGCACTCCAGCGTGGGTGACAGAGAGACTCCATCTCAAAAAATACATATAGAGAGAGAGAGGATTTCTACCCCCTCCAGTTCCCCAACTTTAGTTCCCCAACATCAGTATTTCCCATGTTTGCTTCGTTATTCTCTCTCTCCCTCTCTCTCTTATTTTTCTGGACAGAAGGAGAGTCACTTCATACATGATACCCCTTTAACCTAAAATACTTCCATGTATATTTCCTCAAGATAAAGACACTTATAAAACCACAGTACAGTGATCAAAATGAAGAAGTTGACACTGATCCAATGCTATTCTCTAATTGTAGACCTTACTCATGTTTCTCCAATTGTCCTTTTAACATCCTTTATAGCAAAAAAAAAAAAAAAAAGCTCTTGTTGTTTCTCCTGACATGGGATCCAATCCAGGATCCCATGTCGTATCTCTTTAATTTCCTTTCCTTTGGATCGGTTTCTCTGTTTTTCATGACCTTTACTTTTTTGAAGAGTGCAGCGCATTTATTTTTTAGAGGATCCCTTGGTCAGGGTGCATGCCCCATGTCTTCCCAGTCAGGTTCAGATACCATGTTTTGGCGGCAACACCACTGATGTGGCCAGTCCCTGTTGGTATATCCCACCAGGAAGTGGGTGACGGTGTCTGTCCCATCACTGGGGATGGGAACTCTGATCCTGGGTTGAGCTGGTCTGCCCATTTTCACTACGGTCAAGTTAATATTTCTCCTTTGCTAATTAGTAAGTGTCTTATGGGGAAATGAGTATCCTGTTTTTATTGAACATTCACCGACTAGTTGTAGCATCCATTAATGATTCTTGCCGGAAATGTTTATTACTGTGTTGTCATATGGTGATTTTTTTTTTTTTTTGAGATGGAGTTTCGCTCTTGTTGTCCAGGCTGGAGTGCAGTGGCACGATCTCAGCTCACCACAACCTCCGCTTCCCGGGTTCAAGCGATTCTCCTGCCTCAGCCTCTCAAGTAGCTGGGATTACAGGCATGCACCACCACACCCGGCTAATTTTGTGTAGTAGAGATGGGATTTCACCTTGTTGGTCAGGCTGGTCTCAAACTCCCGACCTCAGTTGATCCGCCTGCCTCAGCCTCCCAAAGTGCTGGGATTACAGGCGTGAGCTGCCACCCCTGGCCCAAATGGTGAATTTTCTAATATTATTCTTTCTATATTTGTTACTTGCCATTCAACTGTAGGAAGAGCTTTCCAACCTCATGTGTTTTTTTCATTCACTTAGTTATATCAGGATAGATCCACGAAGTTTTACTTGATGCTATAGATGAGAATCTTTTACGAACACTCTTTATGTTGCTGTTTTGATTGTCTGAGATTCGGTCAGTGGGAGCCCCCTCGGAATGGCTTTTTCCTTAGACCATTTGATGCGGCCCTACCAGCCTTTAAGCATTTTATACTTTGTGTCATGGTTCGATGCTCCGGGCTCATCTCGTGTCTTCTCTCTCCCAGCCCTGAACCAGCCATTTCTCCAAGGAGCCCTCCTCTTTCTTCAACAGTGGTGTTCAGAAACCCAGACCTGGACACTGCCATATGGCATTGCTTTTAGGCCCTCTCAGTCAGCAGAGCAGGAGGAGTGGGGGTGTGAGCATGTGCACACGAGCGCCTGCCACCTACACACACTAATTGCTATGTACAAGCCGTGAGTTCCCACAGATATCCCAGCCCCACTCCTGTGCTACAGTGAGCGTTCTCCCTTCCCCGTCCACCTTTGTAACTCCTTAGACAGTAAGAACCTGGACCCCATCATCCATGGTGCCTTTACTGACTTGCTGAGTCCTACAACACAGGTAAAGGGTTCAGAAGTCCCTGCCCTTACCCGATGGAAAACTCCGGGCATGCTTTCGGTATTTGTTCAGTTCTTTTTGTCTTTAGCCTCAGGGTGTGGTGATTACACTGAATTTACAAATGACTTAAATTAGTTCTTTTCACCTTTAGTACAATTACGTTATTGATTGAAAACACACCTGATTGCGTTTTTCCATTTGTGTTCCATTTGTTTTCTCCCCTACCCAGTTCCTCTTTTTTTTTAATCTGTTCCCACCCACTCCCTGTAGGTAACTAATCAGTTTCTTATTTGCTTTTCTTTTTTACATAAAAGGTAGTGTATTATAGACATAATAGTGACTTCTGGGTTCTTTTCTACTTCATATATTCTGGGAATCACTGCACATCAGTTCGTAGAGATTGTCCTCATTCTTTCTGCAGCGACACGGTACTCCATTTAAAGTGTACGATGATTTCTGCAGTCACTCTTCTTTGTGCGAGCGTTTAGGTTGTTTCTAATGCTTTGGTTTTTTGTTTTTGTTTCTGTTTTAAGGTGGAGTCTCACTCTGTCATCTAGGCTGGAGTGCAATGGCGCAATCTCGGCTCACTGCATCCTCCACCCCCCAGGTTGAAGCAATTCTCCCACCTCAGCCTCCCAAGTAGCTGAAATTACAGGCACGTGCCACCATACCCAGCTAATTTTTGTATTTTTAATAGAGATGAGGTTTCACCATGTTGGCCAGATTGGCCTTGAACTCCTGACCTTAAGTGACCTGCCCACCTTGGCCTCCCAAAGTGCTGGGATTACAGGTGTGAGCCACCGTGCCCGGACTCAATGCTTTGTTTTAATCATTACACCCAGTGCTACAGTAAGTACTTGTGTGCATATGTGTTTCCATATTGTTTGGAGGTGTTTCCTTGGAGCACTTTCCCAGAAGGGAGAGGGCTGGGTCAAAAGGTAAGTGTGTTCCCGGTGTGGTGGCTCACGCCTGTAATCCCAACACTTTGGGAAGCTGAGGCAGGAGGATTACCTGAGGCCGGGAATTTAAGACCAGCCTGGGCAATATAGCAAGACCCCATCTCTACTAAAAAAAAAAAAAAAAGCCACTTATCTGGGCATGGTGGTGCACGCCTGTAGTCCCAGCTACTTGGGAGGCTGAGGCAGGAGAATCGCTGGAGCCCAGGAGTTTGAGGCTGCGGTGTGTCATGATTGCACCACTGCACTCCAGCCTGGGTGACAGAGTGAGACCCTGTCTCTTAAAATTTAAAGCAGCCGGGCATGGTGGCTCACGCCTGTTATCCCAACATGTTGGGAGGCCGAGGGAGGCGGATCACGAGGTCAGGAGATGGAGACCATGCTGGCCAACATGAAACCCCGTCTCTACTAAAAATACAAAAATCAGTTGGGCGTGGTGGCACACGCCTATAATCCCAGCTACTCGGGAGGTTGAGGCAGGATAATTGCTTGAACTGGGGAGGTGGAGGTTGCAGTGAGCCGAGATCACACCACTGCCCTCCAGCCTGGCAACAGAGTGAGACTCCATCTCAAAAAAAAAAAAAAAAAATTAAGGCTGGGCATGGTGGCTCACATCCATAATCCCAGCATTTTGAGAGGCCAAGACAGGCAGATCACTTGAGGTCAGAAGTTCGAGGCCAGCCTGACCAACATGTGGAACCCTGTCTCTACTAAAAATACAAAAATTAGTCGGGTGTGGTGGCACTCACCTATAGTCTCAGCTACTGGAGACACCGATGCAGGAGGATCACCTGAGCCTGGGAGGCGGAGGTTGCAGTGAGTCAAGATCACGCCACTGCATTCCAGTCTGGGCAACAGAGCAAGACCCTATCTGAAAAAAAAATAAAATAAAAATTTTTAAAAAGGTAAGTGCTTTCATAGTTTTTTTGCTAGCTACGTCCAAGTTCTCCAAACCCTCCAGTCAGCCCACCCACCAGCAGCATCTGAGTGCCTGTTTGGCCACAGCCTTGCTTATAGAGTAGTTGTCAGGCTTTTTAACTGTTGCCAATCCGTTAGCTACAGTAAGCCCTCAGTGTAGTTTTCATTTGCATTTTTCTCCTCTAATTACAATGAGGTCAATATATTATTAAGGGCTATTTCTTTTTGTGTGTATGAATTTTCTATTCATACCTATTTCTCATTTCTTACTAGGTTTTTGGTCTTTTCCCTTTTGTATTTAAGAATTTTGTTTTTGTTTTTGAGACGGAATCTTGCTCTGTCGCCCAGGCTGGAGTGCAGTGGCGCGATCTCGGCTCACTGCAAGCTCCGCCTCCGGGGGTCACGCCATTCTCCTGCTTCAACCTCCTGAGTAGCTGGGATTACAGGTGCCCACTACCACGCCCGGCTAATTTTTATATCTTTAGTAGAGACGGGGTTTCACCGTGTTAGCCGGGATGGTCTCAATCTCCTGACCTCACAATCCGCCTGTCTTGGCCTCCCAAAGTGCTGGGATTACAGGCATGAGCCACCGCACCCAGCCAAGAATTTTTTTATATGGTAGGGACATTAGCCTTTTACTCATGCAGTATGCTGCAGACATTCTCTCCCAGTTCATAAGTTGTCTTTTGACTTTGTGTATGCTTTTCAGTCAGGTGGAAATGTTCTTCCTTTTATGCGGTCAGCTTCTTGATTTTTTATTGCCTCTGGATTTTGAATAATTGTTAGAAAGCTTTACGCTAACATTGTGATTAAAGAGGAACACACCCATGCTGCCTTCCAGTGTTTGTGTAGTTTCTTTTTTTTTCATTTATATCCCTAATATGTTTGGAAATTTTTCTTCTCTGTGGTGTGAAATATGGATCCAATTTCTCTTTTTCCAAATGGTTAGCGAGTGGTCCCAGCACATTATTATTATTTATTCTTTTTTTTGGGAAGTGGGGTATAGGGTCTTGCTCTGTCACCCAGGCTAGAGTGTGGTGGTGCGGTCATAGCTCACTGCAGCCTGGAACTCCTGGGCTCAAGTGATTCTCCCGCCTCAGCCTCCTGAGTAGCTGGGACTACAGGCACGTGCCACCATGCTGGCTAATTTTTTTTTTTTTAGTAGAAACAGGGTCTTGCTACATTGCCTTAGCTGGCTATAACTCCTGGGCTAAAGCAGTCCTCCTGCCTCAGCCTCCCACAGTGCTGGGATCACAGACGTGAGCTACCATGCCCGGCCTTAGCACCAGTTATTAGAAAGTTCATCCTGGACCAGGTGTGAGGGTGATGGCTCATGCCTGTGATCCCAGCACTTTGGGAGGCCAAAGCAGGAGGATCATTCGAGCCCAGGAGTTTGAGACTAGCCTGGGCAACATAGTGAGACCCCATCTCTACAGATATTTTTTTTAAAATAGCAGGGCATGGTGGTGCACACCAGTAGTCTCAGCCACTTGGAAGGCTGAGGCAGGAGGATCACTTGAGCCCAGGTGTTTGAGATTACAATGAGCTATAATTGTGCCATTGCACTCTAGACTGGTCTATAATGAGACCTTGTTTCTACAAAAACAAAAATAAATAAATAAAATCATCTTGTCCCAGTGATTCAAGATGCCACCTTTGTCCTACAATAAATTTCTTTCTTTCTTTTTTTTTTTTTTTTTTTTTTGAGACAGAGTTTCACTCTTGTTGCCCAGGCTGGAGTACAATGGCATGATCTCAGCTCACTGCAACCCCTGCCTCCTGGGTTCAAGCGATTCTCCTGCCTCTGCCTCCCAAGTAGCTGGGATTACAGCCATGCACCACCACACCCGGCTAATTTTATATTTTTAGTAGAGACAGGGTTTCTCCTTGTTGGTCAGGCTGGTCTCAAACTCCCAATCTCAGGTGATCTGCCCACCTTGGCCTCCCAAAGTCCTGGGATTACAGGCGTGAGCCACCGTTCCCGTCCTGTCCTACAGTAAATTTCAATATGCACTTGGGTCTGTTTCTGGAATTTCTCTTCCTTTCCTCTCTGTTTACTTGTGTCATTATTGCATTTAGTTAGTTATTTTTAGAGGCTCTACATGTTGTAATATCTCGTAGGGCTGTTCTCTCCTCATAGCTTTTCCAGCTCAGTATTTCCCAGGCTATTTCATGTTTGTAGTTCTATATGAACTTTAGCATCAATGTGCCTGGCTCCATTTAAAAAAAGCTTGTTGGGGCCGGGCTCACACCTGTAATCCCAGCACTTTGGGAGGCCTGGGCAGGCGGATCACCTGAGGTCAGGAGTTCGAGATCAGCCTGGCCAACATGGTGAAACACCATCTCTACTAAAGATAAAAAAAATTAGCCAGGTGTGGTGGCGAGCGCCTGTGGTCCCAGCTGCTCGGGAGGCTGAGATGGGAGAATTGCTTGAACCCAGGAGCCAGAGGTTGCAGTGAGCCAAGGTTGCTCCACTGCGCTCCAGCCGAGGCAACAGAGTGAGACTCTGTCTCCCCCCACAAAAAAAAAAGTTGTTGGTATCTTTGTCAGGATTCCATTACACTTATACATTAATTTAGGGAGAATTGATGTCTTTATGATATTGATCATTCCTTCCAAGAACAAGGGATGTTTTTCCATTTGTTCAAGTTTACTTTCAGGTCATTCAGGAATATTTTAAATTTTCTCTTAAATATTTTTCACATTTCTTACTGAGTGTATTTCTCAGCATTTAATCACCATTGTTTTTAATTTAAATGGGATCTTCTCCACCATTATATTTTATAATTCTGAACTATCCAATACAGTAGCCATTAGTTATATGTCATTATCGAGCACTTGAAATGTGGCCAGTCCAAATTGAGAAGTGTTATAAGTGTAAAATATATACTGGATTTTGAAAACCTAGTGTAAATAAAAGAATGCAAAATATCTCAGTATAATTTTTAATATTGGTTACATGTTTAAATCATAATATTTTGGATATATTAAATATATTACTGCAATTAATTTCACCCGTTTCTTTAAAAAAAATTTTTTTTAATGTGGCTGTTAGAAGAATCTTTTGTGTGTGGCTCAGACTCAGATTTCAGATTATATTTCTTATTTTTTTTTTTTTTTTTGAGGCAGAGTCTCACTCCATCACCCAGGCTGGAGTGCAGTGGCGCAATCTCGGCTCACTGCAACCTCTGCCTCACTGCGGACTTTATTTCCCAGGTTCAATTCCACCTCCTGGGTTCAAGCAGTTCTCATGCCCCACCCTCCCGAGTAGCTGGAATTACAGGTGCCGCACCAGCACACTCAACTAATTTTTGTATTTTTAGTAGAGACCAGGTTTTACTATGTTGGCCAGGCTAGTCTCGAACTCCTGACTTCAAGTGATCCTCCTGCCTTAGCCTCCCAAAGTGCTGGGATTACAGGCGTGAGCCACTGTGCCCAGCCTCAGATTGTATTTCTATTGGATAGTGCTGCCCTAACTGGTTATTTATTTGTGTATGAAAGCTATTGATTTTTGTTTGTTTGTTTGTTTATTTCGAGATGGAGTTTCGCTCTTGTTGCCCAGTCTGGGGTACAATGGTGCAATCTTGGCTCACTGCAACCTTCGCCTCCCAGGTTCAAGCGATTGTGCTGCCTCAGCCTCCCAAGTAGTTGGAATTACAGGCAAGCAAAACCATGCCCAGCTAATTTTTTGTATTTAGTAGAGATAGAGTTTCACCATGTTGGTCAAGTTGGTCTACAACTCCTGACCTCAGGTGATCCACCCATCTCGGCCTCCCAAAATGCTGGAATTACAGGCGTGAGCCACCACGCCCGGCTGTATGTTAACTTTATTTTTTTATTTTTTATTTTTTTTAATTTTTATCTATTTTTTGAGATGGAGTTTCATTCTTGTCGCCCAGGCTGGAGTGCAGTGGCGCGATCTTGGATCACTGCAGCCTACGCCTTCTGGGTTCAAGCGATTTTCCTGCCTCGGCCTCCCAAGTAGCTGGGATTACAGGCGCACACCACCATGCCCAGCTAGTTTTTGTATTTTTGGTAGAGGTGGGGTTTCACCATGTTGGCTAGGCTGGTCTCGAACTCCAGACCTCAAGTGATCTGCCCTCCTTGGCCTCCCAAAGTGCTGGAATTAACAGGTGTGAGCCCCCTCGCCCTGCCTGTATGTTAACTTTATATATTTTACTTTACTGAATTTTATTGTTTGAGTCTTACTGTTGATTCTCTGGGGTTTTCCAGGCATTCTATTATATATGTGTACAAATAGAGAAAGTTTTACTTCTACTTTTTCAATTCTTACGCCTCTAATTGTTGTCTTTTACTTAACTGCATCTTTTCTGATCTTAACAGAAATGTCTCTGGTGTTTCCACATTAAGTAAGATGTTGGCTTTAGGGTTAAGGTTTATATATTATAAGATAATTATTTAAAATTAGCCACATTAAAAAAATTTAATGTTAAAAAAAAATCCAGCGATTCCTCATCTCTTGAGTGTTTTTCATTAGGAATGGGTGTTATGGGTGTTAAACTTCAAAGGTTTTCTAGCATCTGTGGAGATAACCATGATGTTTCTCCTTAGATGTATTAATACGATGTTTTACATTATTTGATTTTTAAGTATTGAACTGAACTTGAATTCCTGGAATAAAGCTCACTTGATTATGGTATATCCTTTTGTTTTGGAATCTGTTTACATTATTTAATATATTTACATCTATATTATTTTTAGGAGAGATGGGTCTGTGACTTCCGTTTTTGTTCTGTCTGTATTAGCTTTGAGTATCAATATTATACTTGCCTCATAAAAAGAATTAGGAAGTTTTTGGCTGGGCACGGTGGCTCATGCCTATAATCCCAGCATTTTGGAAAGCCGAGGAGGGGTGCGGATCACGAGGTCAGGCGTTCGAGACAAGCCTGGCCAACATGGTGAAACCCCGTCTCTACTAAAAATACAAAAATTTGCCAGGCGTAGTAACACGCACCTGTAATCTCAGCTACTCAAGAGGCTGAGGCAGGAGAATAGCTTGAACCCGGGAGGTGGAGGTTGCAGTGAGCCGAGAACACGCCACTGCACTCCAGCCTGGGACAGAGAGACTCCACCTCAAAAACAAAACAAAACAAAACAAAACACAGGAAATTTTCTTGTTTTTTACATTTTCAGTGATCTGGAACAATTCACATTGGGACCATCCAGGCTTTAAAGGTTTGATAGAAATCCCTTTGCAAGCCCCCTGGACCTGGTGTGTTTTCTGTGGTCCTTGCTAGCAGTCTTCTCTCCTCTCTGGAAATTATTCTATCTCTAGTGAGGTTAATTTTGGTAAACCATCTTTCTGTAGTAAATTATTCTTTTCAACTAGATTTTCAAATTTATTTGCATAGATGTCTGCAAGGTAGTCTAGTCATAGTTTTAAATTTCTTTGCAATGATTATTTTCGCCTGTCATTTCTTAGTTTGTGTATTTTTCCTTTCTCCCTATTTTGCTTAAGTTAATAGTTTATGTATTTTGTTAGTTTTTTAAAATCATCTGAGTTTATTATTTAGGTTTACTGTTCTTCTTTTGTTTTTTTTTTTTTTTCTTTTTTTTTTTTTTTGAGACAGAGTCTCGCTCTGTCCCCCAGGCTGGCGTGCAGTGGCGTGTTCTCGGCTCACTGCAGCCTCCACCTCCCGGGTTCAAGCTATTCTCCTGCCTCAGCCTCCCGAGTAGCTGAGATTATAGGCGCGTGTTACTACGCCTGGCTAATTTTTGTATATTTAGTAGAGATGGGGTTTCACCATGTTAGCCAGGATGGTCTCCATCTCCTGACCTCATGATCCACCCGCCTTGGCCTCCCAAAGTGCTGGGATTACAGGTGGGAGCCACTGTGCCTAGCTTACTGTTTTTCTTTACCTCCTTTCTTTCTTTTTTATTTTTTATTTTAAGACAGAGTCTCACTCATGTTGCCCAGGCTGGAGTGCAGTGGCACACTCACAGCTCACTGCAACCTCAACTTCCCTGGGCTCGGGTGATCCTCCCCACTCACCTTCTCAAGTAGGTGGTACCACAGGTGGGCACCACCACACTCGGCTAATTTTTTTGTAGTTTTTGTAGGAACAGCATTTTGCCAGATTGTCCAGGCTGGTCTCAAACTCCTGGTCTCAAGCCATCTGCCCACCTAGGCCTCCCAAAGTGCTAGGATTACAGGCATGAACCACCGTGCCCAGCCTACCTTGTTAATTTCTGCTTTCGTCTTTATTTTCTTTCTGTGCTTTCTTTTTTTTTTTTTTTTTTGAGACAGAGTCTCGCTCTTTCGCCCAGGCTGGAGTGCAGTGGTGTGATCTTGGCTCACTGCAAACTCCGCCTCCCGGGTTCATGCCATTCTCCTGACTCAGCCTCCCAAGTAGCTGGGACTACAGGCGCCCACCACCTCGCCCGGCTAATTTTTTGTATTTTTTAGTAGAGACGGGGTTTCACCATGTTAGCCAGGATGGTCTCGATCTCCTGACCTTGTGATCCACCCACCTTGGCCTCCCAAAGTGCTGGGATTACAGGCGTGAGCCACCACGCCCGGCCACTGTGCTTTCTTTTGTTTTACTTTCTTGGGGTTTTTTCTAACTTTTTAATTTAGAAATTCAGTTCATTTTGTTTTTTCTTCCATTTTTATTGATAAAAGTGTTCAGCACGTGGAACTTTCCTCTGATCTTTTTCTTAACAATATCCCATGGAATCTGATAGATAATTTTTCCTTTTTTGTTTGTTTGTTTGTTTGTTTTGTTTTTGAGATGGAGTCTCTCTCTGTCGCCCAGATTGGAGTGCAGTGGCATGATCTCGGCTCACTGCCACCTCTGCCTCCTGGGTTCAAGCAATTCTCCTGTCTCAGCCTCCCGAGTAGCTGGGATTACAGGCATGCACCACCACGCCTGGCTAATTTTTGTATTTTTAGTAGCGACGGAGTTTCACCATCTTGGCCAGGCTGGTCTTGAACTCCTGACCTCAGGTGATCCACCCGCCTCTGCCTCCCAAAGTGCTGGGATTACTGGCGTGAGCCACCACGCCGAGCCTCCATTATTTTTTTTAAAGAAATTCTGGGCTGGGCGCTATGGCTCATGCCTGTAATCCCAGCACTTTGGGAGGCCGAGGCGGGCAGATCACTTGAGGTCAGGAGTTCGGAAACCCTGTATCTACTAAAAATACAAAAATTAGCTGGACGTGGTGGCACGTGCCTGTAGTCCCAGCTACTGTGGAGGCTGAGGCAGAAGAATCGCTTGAATTTGGGAGGCAAAGGTTGTGGTGAGCTGAGATGGTGCTGCTGCACTCCAGCCTGGGAGACAGAGCGAGACTCCATCTCCAAAAAAAAGAAATTATGTAATTTCCATGCGTCTTTTTTCTTTCACTCGATAGTGTAATAGGCAGCTTTTAAATTTCCAAGAGGAGAAACTTTGTTGTTGTTAATAATTTACAGGTTTTTTTCATTGTGATCAGAGAATATTGCTTTTGTTTTGCAAAACCTATTGATACTTTCTGAGGCCCAGTGTATGTCAGCTTTTGTAACTCCTCCATGTGTACTTGATAGAAGTGTATTTTCTTGGGTCTTGGTATAGAGTTCACTGTGTGTGTGTGTATATATATGTACGTATGTATTTACATATGGAGATACATATATGTATACACCTCCATGATACATTAATTCTGTTGTTTAGTCTTCTGTATATCCTTATTTTGTGTCCTCATGGCCTGTCTTCTGTGGCTTATTATTAATATGTTTCTGTGTTTTCTTGCATCTCCTGTTTCCGTGTTGTTTGGTGCACATTCCTGTTATATATTTTTAGTTACTTGTGGCTTTTTGTGTTGAGAAGCGGCCACCTTCTGGTCGTGCTTTGTGCCTGCGGCCTAAGTCCTGCTCTGTCTGCGTTGTGACTGCTGCCCCTGCTCTCCTTCGGCCCATTTGCCTGACGAGACAGCCTTGTCCTTGGCCCTTTGTTTCCAGCCTTTTTCTGAGTGCCTTGGTTTTAGGACGTTCTCTTGTGTGAAGCAAACCTGAGGCTTGCTTTGTGAGCCAAATTGAAAATCTTCTTTTCAGTCAGTTAAGCCCATTCACACTTAGTGATATAACTATGTGGTTGGTCTCAACCCTGTCATTATTTTATAATTTCTGTATTTTCTATTTACTGTTTTGTTTTTTGGGTTTTTTTAAAATGTGTTGTGGGGTTTTTTGCTTTTTTATTTAAAAAAAAAATTGTGGGGCTGGGCGTGGTGGCTCATGCCTGTAATCCCAGCACTTTGGGAGGCTGAGGCAGGCAGATCACCTGAGGTCAAGAGTTCAAGACCAGCCTGGCCAAGATGGTGAAACCCCATCTCTACTAAAAAATACAAAAATTAGCCCAGGTGTGGTGGTGCATACCTGTAGTCCTAGCTACTTGGGAGGCTGAGGCAGGAGAATTGCTTGAACCTGGGAGGTGGAGGTTGCAGCGAGCTGAGATTGTGCCACTGCACTCCAGCCTGGGCGACAGAGCTAGACTCTGCTTCAAAAAAAAAAAAAAAAAATTGTCCAGGTGCTGTGGCTCACGCCTGTAATCTCAGCACTTTGGGAGGCCGAGGGGGGCAGATCATGAGGTCAAGAGATCAAGACCATCCTGGCCAACATGGTGAAAACCCTGTCTCTACTAAAAATACAAAAGTTAGCCAGGCGTGGTGGCGCGCACCTGTAGTCCCAGCTACTCGGGAGGCTGAGGCAGGAGAATTGCTTGAACCCAGGAGGTGGAGGTTGCAGTGAGCTGAGATCGTGCCACTGCACTCCAGCCTGGCAATAGAGCGAGACTCCTTATCAGAAAACAAAAAAAAATTGGGGTATTAGGAAAATGGGTGCTTTTTTCCTAGTGCATTCCTATAGACTTGCATACCCCACTCATGCTCCTTGGGCCTGGGTTCCCTGTGTACCCCCTCGTGGCCTGCTGTGTTGGCATTAGGGGGTCCTCTGACACCCACTCATTGCCTCCACAGCAGGCAGTGAGTGAATTCCATTCTTTGTGTTTTCTCTTTCCTGTCTCCCTGTCTCTCCTCTTCCCATTTTTTGTTGGTGGTGTTTCTGCTCTGTCAGAACACACGGTATTCTTAGGTACACAATTTACTACAACAGGGCTCCCGCTTGCCTCTGCTGAGTGTTCCCAGGTGTCTTCAGGTTGGTGAAGCTCATCCTCAGGCAGTGGCCTTGAGTAGGGCCACAGAATTCTCTGAGTTCTGGAGAAGTAAACTTTGACCTGTTGTGTTGTCAATGAACAGATAGTTTGGTTGGATATAAAATCCTTGGATCAACTGATTTCTCCTGTTTAATATAGTGTGGTTGTTGTAAAAAAATTTTTTCCTGATACCAAATTGGTTAAAGTTGTGTTTCCTGTTTTTCTTACACCAAGATTTTATAGACTGATTATTCTAGTTCTAGTCAGGAAAAGAGAGTATTAGAAATCTATTATGACAGCACTTCCAGCAGACATGCCAGCTCTTTTTCCTCCTCAAGTTGGAGCTCTTTTCTTCTAGAACTTCTTGTGGGCGGCTGCTGACATCATGCTTTCTTAGATCTTCACTTTTTGTACATCTGTAAATGCTCCGGCCCTCTCTCACCCTTGCTTGTGCATCAGTTTCCTGCATCAGCAGACGGTGTTCTGTGCTTCCTTTCTGCTGCTTGAGTTTTTAAAAATCGAGACTCAGAATGCTTTCCCATGCCCTGAAGCACCTCTCTGTACAAACATGTGGAGCCTGCTGTGGCTGGGGGCTGTCCTCACTCTCCAGTCACATCCGCTATTCTGTGCCAGGATTGAGCTATTGGCTGCGTTTCCTTTAACCTAATCTTTCCCTTCCTCCTGAGTGTAGATTACCAAAGGTTGACTTTCCCAGGCCTTTCCCTGAACACACCCAGCCTTCATTCCTAGACCACCCAGTCCCAGTGGCACCAGTGATTGTGGCCTCCACCCCGCTGTGTGCCCTCAGGGATACAGTTGGGATCCGAGATAGCCAAGGCTGTCATAGAGCAGGTCCCTAGAGAGAGACTCCTAAGTGACATGTCTGTGAACAAACACACTTGAAAGCACTTGCCTGGTGCTGTGTGAGTTGTCAAAAATATTAGCTGCTATTATGCGAGTAAAACGTGCCTCATGCTACCATGGAAATTCCCCAGTGGTAGAAAGAAATGGAGTGTTTATTAAAGGTTCTGAAAAATTGTCCCGTGTTGAGGGCTGCAGGGAAATGGAGACTCACCTTTAACAAAGAAATGTCAGTGGCTCCTGTCCTCTTTGTTCACATCGATGAGGCTGAATGCTGTGTGCACTGCACCCCCCCAACCCCGCCCCAGCCCAGATGTGTGCTGCTGGACCCTCTTTGATACTTAAGGCTCACATAAGCCTCCGGGAATGTATTCACGATTGAATTAGATAAGTGACCAGAACAGAACAGAGAAGTAGAAATTCTCAAACTTGCCTGAGAGTCTAGGAAATTGAGTAATTCTCAATCAATGATTTCCCTGCTATCCTGCCTGTTTTCAAAGATGGTTGTGTAATTGCAGCATGAAATGTAGCCTTGGTTTTTGTTTGGAACAACTTGAAAGTGTTTGGCCAGGCACAGTGGCTCACGCTTGTAATCCCAGCACTTTGGGAGGCCGAGGTGGGTGGATCATTTGAACCCAGGAATTCAAGACCAGCCTGGGCAACATGGTGAAACCCTGTCTCTACCAAAAATATAAAAATTACACAGGCATGGTGGTGTGCACGTTTGATCCCAGCTACTCAGGAGGCTGAGGCAGGAGGATTACTTGAGCCTGGAAGATGGAGGTTCCAGTGAGCCGAGATCATGCCTGGGTGACAGAATGAGACTTCATATAAAAAAAAGAAAAAAGTTTTTGATGAAATCTCTGGATGTCATATGGGTGAGATGAATGCCTGGGAGAACCACCTTCCTGTAGGGTTGATGTCTGGGTCCTCTTCCTGTCAAGGGCACATTCGAGGGACAGCCCTTTCCTTAACATGGGCCTGTCCCCTGGGCAGCTTCTGCTGGCAGCTGTGCTCTGCCTGACTCCAACGGAGACTTAGGGCAGTCCCTGGGCTTGCGTGCGAATTAGATTTCTGGGAATCTTCTTGCTAAAGGGCTCTCTGATGGGCTGCCTGTCATATAATGACCAGTCACATGGGGAGTCTAGGTTCTGGCAAACATGTCTTCTAACGGGACCTGAAGCCACAGTTGCTTTGCTTAGTGGACATGTGAGTTCTGCAGTTTCCAGGTCAGACCTGGGTGTTCATAAGCACACCAAAGAGATCTGTCCTCTAAAATCTCATTTTAGAAAAAATGTTTACAATTTTTGAAGTTGTTTAAATTGAGCGAAGACAAATGATTTCTTCCGTTCTGATAAGATAGCCTGCTGCTGTAATTTGACTTGCTGCTTCTCTTTTGTTTTACAGATGATGTCTTTCTACCTAAAGATATTGACCTAGACAGTGTGGATATGGATGAGACAGAGAGGGAAGTGGAATATTTCAAAAGGTAAATGTGGAGGCTGTGTCTGAAACCGTGGTGACTGTGTGCTTGCCATACATGTTTGGTTTTCTGTCTTTCCATGGCACTTCTAGTTGTCTTGGACGAAGTTACATCAAGCAAGCCAGACAACATGGCTTCTGAAGAGCCTTGTAGTAGGACAGGCCAGCCACACACACCCCTCCCATACTCCCAACACTCACACAATCACTTCTGCTCCCCCTCACATGCTAGAAAAATAGTTGATGGCAGTGGCTTCCCCCCCACCCTTCCCCGCCAACTGGCTGTTGCGCTTCTGAGGCGGTGGCTCTCCAGGTGTCCTGGGCCAGCAGCGTCTCCTGGGGATACAGGCCCCTACTTAGACCTGTCGGATCAGATTCTGGGAAGGGGCCGGCATCTACGTTCTTGACAGCCTTCCGGGTGACCCTCACATATGCTGATGGTTGAACACACTGGAGTGGTATGCTTTTGAGAAGAAAAGTAACATTTTACATACTTGCTGTTTTCCTGATGGGCAAGTTTTATCAGTGCTTGTTCTATAATGTTTTAACTACTATGTGAATTATTAATGGCAACAAAATTTTATTTATTTTATTTTTAAGAGGGAATCTCACTCTATCACCCAGGCTGGAGTGCAGTGGCACGATCTCAGCTCACTGCAACCTCTGCCTCCCGGGTTCAAGCAATTCTCCTGCCTCAGCCTCCAGACTAGCTGGGATTACAGGCGCCCACAACCACACCAAGCTGATTTTTGTATTTCAGTAGAGACAGGGTTTCACCGTGGTTACCAGACTGGTCTCAAACTCCTGACCTCAGGTGATACACCTGCCTTAGCCTCCCAAAGTGCTGTGATTACAGGCGTGAGCCACCGCGCCCAGCCTATTTATTTCATTTTTTTTATTTTTTGAGACAGAGTCTCTGTCACCCAGGCTAGAGTGCAATGTTGTGATCTGGGCTCACTGCAATCCCCACCTCCTACGTTCAAGCGATTCTCCTGCCTCAGCCTCCTGACTAACTAGGATTACAGGGGCCTGCCACCACGCCTGGCTAATTTTTGTATTTTTGGTGGAAACAGGGTTTTGCTATGTTGGCCAGGCAGGTCTCAAACTCTTGACTTTAAGTGATGCACTCACCTCAGCCTCCCAAAGTGCTGAGATTACAGGTGTGATTAAGCGTGCATTTGTATTATAATAAAAACAACAAAACTGGACTAGAGGCTGCGCCTGGTGGCTCACACCTGTAATCCCAACACTTTGGGAGGCCAAGACAGGCAGATCACTTGATCAGGTCAGGAGTTCGAGACGAGCCTGGCCAACATGGTGAAACCCCGTCTCTACTAAAAATACAAAAATTACCTGGACGTGGTGACAAGAGCCTGTAATCCCAGCTACTCAGGAGGCTGAGGCAGGAGAATTGCTTGAACCTGGGAGGCACAGGTTGCAGTGAGCCGACATAGCACCATTGCACTCCAGCCTGGGAAACAGAGAGAGACTTTGTCTCAGGAAAAAAAAAAAAAAAAAGCCAGGCATGCACTTGTAGTCCAAGCTACTCAGGAGGCTGAGGCCAGAGGATCACTTGAACCTAGGAGTTTGAGGTTGCAGTGAACTATGATCACGGCACTTGCACTCTAGCCTGGGCAACAGAGCAAGACCCTGTCTGAAAAAAAAAAAAAAAAAATTCCCCGAGTAGCTGGGATTACAGGCGCCTGCCACCACGCCCAGCTAATTTTTTTATTTTTAGTAGAGACGAGGTTTCACCATGTTGGCCAGGCTAATCTTGAACTCCTGACCTCAGGTGATCCACCCCCCCTTGGCCTCCCAAAGTCCTGGGATTACAGGTGTGAACCACCACGCCCAGACTGTCAAAATTTTTAAATACACAGAACTAAAAAGATAATTAAAACATTGCATATGAAAACCTGCGGGATATCGAAAAACGTTAACTTTTTAGAGCTGTTTATGTAAGGCTATAATTGCCTAAATTAGTTTTTAAAAATCCTGAAACATAATGAGTTAAAGATTTCACTTGAGAAATTAGGAAAAGAACAATAGAATAAACCAAAGAATATATAAAGAAGGAGATAAGAGAGATAATGAAATAGAAAACAAAGATTTGGTAGAGAAGATCAACAAAGCTAAAATATGATTGATTGAAAACACCAAATAAATCTTTAGGAGACAGATTAAGAATAATAGAGAAAAAAAGACACAAAAAATAGCATAATTAGATGGAAGAAGAATTAAGATGTTGATAACTATCAAAGTCAGGTGATGGCTATGTTCATTATGCTATACTATCTGTTTTTGTGTGTGTTTGAAAATGTCAGTAATTAAAAAAAAAAAAAGTTTTGTCCGGGTGCTGTGGTTCATGCCTGTAGTCCCAGCACTTCGGGAAGCCAAGACAGGCGGATCACTTGAGGTCAGTTCAAGACCAGCCTGGGCAACATGGTGAAATCCTGTCTCTACAAAAAATACAAAAAAAGTAAGCCAGATATGGTGGCATGCGCCTGTAGTCCCAGCTACTCAGGAGGCTGAGGTGGGAGGATGGGTTGAGCCTGAGAGGTGGAGGTTGCAGTGAGCCAAGATTGTGCATCTACCCTCCAACCTGGGTGACGAGAGCCCTGTCTCAAAAATAAATTTTTTTTTTTAAGTGTGTAAATATATAAGTGAAAAGGAGGAAATAACTACAGATACTGGAGAGATTAAAATAAGAGAACACTGGGAACAACTTCATTACAATTGACTTTAAAACTATGAAATGCAAAATCAACCTGAGGTAAAAATAGCCTGAATGGTCCAGTAACTACTAAAGAAATGAAAACAATAGCTGTAAGTCTCAGTGAGAAAACTACATTTTAACAGTTTTACCGAGAATTCTACCAAACTTTCAGACTTTGAAAGAATGGATTATCCAGTCTTGAGCAAACTCTACCAGTGAATTTAAATGAGTGAGACATCACACACACAAGTGAATACTCCCTACTTTGTTTTATGAGACAAGTAAAATTCTGATACCAAAATCTGCCCAAAACAATACCAGAAAAAATGAAAAATCACAGGTTTATCTCACTCATATTAGATTCAAAAATCCTAAAGAAAATATTCTCCAGGAGGCTGAGGCAGGAGAATTGCTTGAACCCAGGAGGCAGAGGTTGCGGTGAGTTGAGATCACGCCATTGAACTCCAATCTGGGCAACTAGAGCAAGACTCCGTCTCAAAAATATTCTCATACCTACATCAGTGTAATTTTCAAAAAAAAGAAACAATATACCAAATCGAGCAGTGTATTTTAAAAAGCAGTATACCATGAGCAAATTGGTTTATCCCAGGAACGCAAATAGTGTTTCATATTAGAAAATCCACTTTATTGGCCAAGCGTGGTGGCTCACGCCTGTAATCCCAGAACTTTGGGAGGCCCAGGCGGGCGGATCACCTGAGGTTGGGAGTTTGAGATCAGCCTGACCAACATGGAGAAACCCCATCTCTACTAAAAATACAAAATTAGCCAGGCATCGTAGCGCATGCCTGTAATCCCAGCTACTCGGGAGGCTAAGGCAGGAGAATCACTTGAACCTGGGAGGCGGAGGTTGTGGTGAGCCAAGATTGCACCATTGTACTCCAGCCTGGGCAACAGAGAGACACTCTCAAAAAAAAAAAAAAAAAATCCTCCTTCCTTCCTCCCTCCCTCCCTCCCTCCCTCCCTTCCTTCCTTCTGACAGGGTCTCACTCTTGTCACCTAGGCTTGAGTGCCATGACACAATCACTGTTCACTGCAGCCTTGACCTCCCCAGGGTCAAGCAGTCCTCCCACCTCAGCCCTCCAAGTAGCCGGGACTACAGGCACATGCACCATGCCTGGCTAATTTTTTTTTTCTTCTTTTTGTAGAGACGGGGTTTCGCCACATTGCCCAGGCTGGTCTCGAACTCCTGGCCTCAAGTGATCTGCCCACCTCAGCCTCCCAAAGCGCCAGAATTACAGGTGTGAGCCCCCGCACCCAGCTAGAAAATCCACTAATGTTAGTTGCTACATTAATATATTAAAGAAGAGCCATATGATCATGGCTTAGTAGATCATGGATCAGTAGATTTCCAAAAAAAGTATTTTATATTCAACCTTAAATTGTAATTCCTAGGCTAAAGGAGTATAAAAGAGGAACTAAAAATCAATTTTACAGGTGATCTAATTGTCTACATAGGAAATATAAAAGAACTTACAGCAAGGGGCTAACTGTGTAGGATCAGTACAGAAGTTATTTGCTTTTGTTTTTTGTTTTTAAACAGAGCACGGTGGCTCACACCTGTAATTTCAACATTTTGTGAGGCTGAGGTGGAAGGATCACTTGAGCCCAGGAGTTTGAGACCAGCCTGAGCAACATAGCAAGATACTGTCTCTACAAAAAATAAAATAATTAGCCAGGTGTGGTGACATGCACCTGTGGTCCCAGCTACTCAGGAGGCTGAAGTGGCAGGATCCCTTAAACCCAGGAGACCAAGGCTACAGTGAGCCAAGATGCACCACTGTGCTCCAGCTTGGGCAACAGTGAGACTCTGTCTAAAAAAAAAAAAAAAAACAGTTATTTTTCTCTATACCCACACCACAAATAATTGGAAATGTAGCTCAAAAGAGCATTTATAATAGCACCAAAATCTCTCACTATCCACAGATAAATCTGGCAAAAGTTGCATAAGACTTGTATACAAAAGACTGAAACTTTATTGGAAAACATTAAAGAAGATCTAAATCACAGAGATTCATTATCCAAAGACAGGAAGGGTTAGTATCATAAAAGCTGTCAAGGACCGGGCATAGTGGCTCATGCCTGTAATCCCAGTGCTAGGAGACCGAGGCAAGAGGATTGCTTGAAGCCAGGAGTTTGAGACCAACCTGGACAACATAGACCACAACTCTACAAGAAAATTAAAAATTAGCCAGGCGTGGGCCGGGCGCGGTGGTTCATGCCTGTAATCCCAGCACTTTGGGAGGCCGAGGCAGGTGGATCACGAGGCCAGGAGCTCGAAACCATCCTGGCTAACACGGTGAAACCCCGTCTCTACTAAAAATACAAAAAATTAGCCAGGCGTGGTGGCGGGCACCTGTAGTCCCAGCTACTCGGGAGGCTGAGGCAGGAGAATGGCGTGAACCTGGGAGGCAGAGCTTGCAGTGAGCCGAGATTGCACCACTGCACTCCAGCCTGGGCAACAGAGCAAGACTCCGTCTCAAAAAAAAAAAAAAAAAAAAAAAAAAAAAGCCAGGCATGGTGGTACATGCCTGTAGTCCCAGCTACTCAGGAAATTGACACAGGAGTATCCCTTGAGCTCAGGAGTTTGAAGCTTCAGTGAGCTATGCTTACGCCACCTCACTCCAGCCTAAGCAATAGAGAGATCCTTTCTCCAAAAAAATTAAAACAAAAGGCAAACCATTAGGATTACACAGCAAGCTTTTGACCACTAAACTACAAAGAGGTCTTCAGCCTGACCAAGGAGCCCCATGGCAAGACCAGAGGAGGTGCTGCTGCTTCATGGGTTTGCAGCTAGCGAGCCCTCCCTCTCTCCTGCTGGAGGAAGGTGTGAAGCGACGGGAGTCCCTAACCACTGCTCCGGGGAGCATAACTGTTAAATTACTTTGGAAAAGAGTTTGGCAGACTCTAGCAAAATTGAAGTTGTGCCTCCCGTGCAACCCCACAAACAGCTGCACACTTGTGTGCACGACTAGAGGTTCTCCTGCATGTCCCGGGGGCGGGGCAAACGTGAGGCAAGCAGCAGCATCTGTCTGTTCACTGCCATGTGTTCATACCGCAGTGAAGACGAACAGACTGTCACCTCATGGAGAACTCTCACAGACATAACATTGAGTGAAATAAGAAGCTGTAAGACCATGTACATACAGTGCAGTTCCCTCGATATGAGGCCACACAGCACAACCATACTAACATTTAGGATGTCATAGAGAAGTCACGAAATTACCAAGAACTATGGTGAACTAATTACTCCAAACCCTAGGGCTGTGACTACCTCTTGGGAGAGGACAGCACGGCGCCACGGTTAGCAGTGTCAGGTTTTGTGACCTGGGGGTGCTGTGACTCAGGATTCTCCCTGCTGGTTATGTGGCTGTCCTGTGTGTCAGACACCGTGTGCATGTCTCACGTAGTCTGCAGTCGACAAAACAGGCCTGATGCAGAGGCCACTGTGTCTCGGGTGCAGGTGGTGTGGGGAGGGACAAAGCCAGGTCACACTGGGCCTGGGACCTTAGAGAGCAGCGTGAGCTCTGTGCCCATGCTGCAAGAACCTGTGGAAGCTGTGCAGTGGTTTGGATTGGATTTCTTCCTTGAATGGCTTGGAGCAGGAATGTGGTTGATGTTCTTGAGCATTCTATTCCAGCTGCTGTGTCCAGAAGGGGCTGGGGGACAGGGTCACACATGCACTAATGGAAACAGGATTAGTGATTGTCAGAGTTAGGAGGGGACAGCAGAGGCAGAAGGTAACATCACAAACTCAGGGCTTGACCAGCTAGGGACAGGGAAAGAGAATTTGGATTCTGGGAGATGACACAGTCAGCCCTTCCAGTTTAGGGGAGTGAGGGGATCAGTCTCATAGAGGCTGCAAGGCAAGAACGCTGTTGGGCATTCACGAATGTTTGTGGTTGAATAAACAAGCCACAGTTTAAGCAACCATAATTAAACCTAATGGATGGGTGACAGTAATAACCATTTTCAGGTTTCATTCAAGTTTAGAGACAAATAAGTAAGTAAGTAAGAGACAGGGTTTTGCCACATTGCCCAGGCTGGTCTGGAACTCTGGAGCTCAGAGGATTCTCAAACCTTCCAGAGTGCTGGGATTGCAGGAATGAGCCACCACACCTGGTCCAGTGTTTCAATTTTGCTTACAAAAGTATACTTTAGGCCGGGCGCAGTGGCTCGCACCTGTAATCCCAGCACTTTGGGAGGCCAAGGCAGGAGGATCACGAGGTCAGGAGATCGAGACCATCCTGGCTAACACGGTGAAACCCCACCTCTACTAAAAATACAAAAAAATTAGCCGGGTGTGGTGGCAGGTGCCTGTAGTCCCAGCTAGTCAGGAGGCTGAGGCAGGAGAATGGCGTGAATCCAGGAGGCGGAAGTTGCAGTGAGCCAACATCACGCCACTGCACTCCAGCCTGGGCAACAGAGCGAGACTCTGTCTCAAACCAAAAAACAGTATCCTTTAGGCCAGGCACGGTGGCTCATGCCTGTAATCCCACTTTGGGAGGCCAAGGCGGGTGGATCATGAGGTCAGGAGTTCAAGACCATTCTGGCCAAAGATGTTGAAACCCCCTCTCTACTGAAAATACAAAAATTAGCAAGATGTGGTGGTGGGTGCCTGTAATCCCAGCTGCTCGGGAGGCTGAGGCAGAGATTTGCTTGAACCCAGGAGGCGGAGGTTGCAGTGAGTTGAGATCGTGCCACTGCACTCCAGCCTGGGCAACAGAGCAAGACTCCGTCTCAAAAAAAAAAAAAGTTTGAAGTAAAAAAGACTAATTTAGAATTTAAAATTTGATTTTAGGAAGTATGTCAGATATCAAAGGTTTAAAACACTTGATATCAAAATAAGATCATCACAAAAGAAGTTATTCATTTAACCAAACTAATAATTCAAAGGTTTCAAAAAGCAAAAACCTTTATGTTTTGATAGGAGACTCTGGTTTTGGAGGGTTGGGGTTTCTGGGTTTTTTGTTTGTTTGTTTTGTTTTGTTTTTTTGAGACAGGGTCTCACTCCATTGTCCAGGCAGTGGTGCAATCACGGCTCACTGCAGCCTTGACCACCAGGCCCAGGTGATCTTTCCACCTCAGCCTCCTGGGTAGCTGGGACCACAGGCGTGCTCCACCACCCGCTGCCTGAGACTCAGTTTTCTCAACAGTCAGAAGACATAATGAAAATGGCATGAGGCCAACAGAATGTCTTTTTTTTTTTTTTCAGCTTACTCAAAAGATAATTGACAAAGTATTTTATTATCTCTTATTAATACTACATGAAATCTTATTGAAAAGAGAAAACCAGTTGCATCAGTGTATTACTATTAATTGTAGTAAAATCTTTTAAACAGATCCATCTAATTTCAATCAGCTTTGACCACACAGGATTTCCATAAATCTTTTATAACCTCTTAGAATTTTCCCATTCACTTCCTTTTCCCAACTTTCTATATTCATTTATTTTCTTTTCCATCTGTTTTTCAACTTAAGACCACTTTTAAATAACCTCTAAACTAGTCAAAATCACTTTTTCCTTTGACAAAACCACATCCTCATGTTTTTCTTATAACCTTCCTTACCAAAACACATCTTACTTTTTCTTATGTATTTTATATGTAGAACTGTTTTCCTGCTTATCTCTACTTTGAGTTACCATGTTAGTCAGAATTTTAGCTTTTAGTAACCTTAAATTATAGTGAAAACTTAAGAAATAAGCAATTATTAATATTTTGTTTATCTGAAATAAGCCAGGCACAGCGTTCACACCTTGTAATCCCAGCTCTTTGGGAGGCTGAGGTGGAGGATCACTTGAGCCCAGGAGTTTGAGGTGTGAGCTGCGATTGTGCCGCTGCACTCCAGCTTGGGAGATAGAGTGAGACCCTGTCTCAAAAACCAAACAGAGGATAAAGAATTTAAGCTTTCCAGTCAATGAAGCTTTACATTATTGGCAGAAATCATGTCAACAAACAGAAAAGCGGGCTGAGAAAGTGCATATCGTTATCAAGGGTTACGGAAGAGAGGAATTCAGTCAACTGAGAAGGTTTTTTTATTATGAATTTTTTAACTTTTTGAGATGGAGTTTTGCTCTTGTCACCCAGACTGGAGTGCAATTGGTGCAATCTCGGCTCACTGCAACCTCCGCCTTCCAGATTCAAGTGATTCTCCTGCCTCAGCTTCCTGAGTAGCCTCTATTACAGGCACCCACCACCATGCCCAGCTAATTTTTTTGTGTTTTTAGTAGAGACAGAGTTTCACCATGTTGGCCAGGCTGGCCTCTAACTCCTGAGCTCAGGTAATCCACCTACCTCCGCCTCCCAAAGTGCTGGGATTACAGGCGTGAGCCACCACACCTGGCCCTGTCTCTATTTTTTAATTAAATTAAAAACTATATATATATGTATGTATATACACACACATATATATGGTGCTTGCCTGGGCAACACAGCAAGACGTCATCTCTACAAAAAGTAAAATCAGCTGGGCATGGTGGCACACTACTGTAGTAGTTCCAGCTACCTGGGAAGCTCAGGTTGGGGAGGGTCGCTTGAGCCCAGGAGGTCGAGGTTGCAGTGAGCTGTGATCGTACCACTGCACTCCAGCCTGGGCAACAGAGTAAGACCCTGTCTCCAAAAAAAAAAAAAAAAAAAAAAAAAAGTAATCACACCAGAGAGGCAGTGAAATGTGAGAGCGGGTACATCCTACCCCTTCCCCCACCTCAAGCTGAGTAATCCACCTGCTGTATTGTATAGACTCTAGATAGAGTGTGGCCAAAGTAGCTGTAAATTAACCTCTTAATGTTGTCATAGGGATAACTCATATCCTGTAGTTCAACAGTTTATAGCCAATCACTATCAATATAATTTCTGTAAAGCAATGAGAATTCTTGACAACTTTTTTTTTTTTTTTAAGGCAATAGTCTTGCTCTGTCACCCAGGCCGGAGTGCAGTGGTATGATCTTGGCTCACTGGACCCTTGACCTCCCAGGCTCACTTGATCCTCCCACCTCAGCCTCCTGACTAGCTGGGACTACAGGCGTGGGCCACCAATCTCAGCTAATTTTTATTTTTATTTTTATTTTATTATTATTATTTTTTGAGATGGAGTCTCGCTCTGGCGCCCAGGCTGGAGTGCAGTGGCGCGATTTCGGCTCACTGCAAGCTCCGCCTCCCAAGTTCACGCCATTCTCCTGCCTCAGGCTCCTGAGTAGCTGCGACTACAGGCGCCCGCCACCACGCCTGGCAATTTTTTTTGTATTTTTAGTAGAGACGGGGTTTCACCGTGTTAGCCAGGATGGTCTCGATCTCCCGACCTCGTGATCCGCCCATCTCAGCCTCCCAAAGTACTGGGATTACAGGCGTGAGCCACCACGCCCAGCCTCAGCTAATTTTTAAAATGTTTAGTAGAGACAGTTCTCATTATGTTGTCCAGGGTGGTCTCAAACTCCTGGATTCAAGTGATCTATCTGCCTCGGCCTTCCAAACGTTGGGATTAGAGGCGTGAGCCACCAAGCCTGGCCCTGATAAACAACTTTTGTAATCACCTCCTCTCCTAATTTGTTCTTTTTTTCTTAAAAACTTGAGTTGTTCTTTCTAACCCCCTTCCCTTTCTAAAGAGGCAAGAGATTTGGGTTTCAGGGAAAAAAAAGGGAAACTGCCTTCTCTGGCCTTGCTTCACAGCATGGGATCCGGGTCCCGGTACTGGCAGTTTGGCTCCGTTCCTCCTGTGGCTTCTTTTTTTTTGGCCTAAATTACACAGCATGCTTTTAAAATTGCTGCTTCCTACTGTTTGTAATTCAGACCTTTTTTCCTCCTTAAATTTGTGACCAAGGCCAGGTACAGTGGCTCATGCCTGTAATCCCAATACTTTGGGAAGCCGAGGCGGGTGGATCACTTGAGGGTCAGGGGTTTGAGACCATCCTGGCCGACATGGTGAAACCCCACCTTTACTAAAAATACCAAAAAAAAAAAAAAAAAAAAAAAAAGCCGGGTGTGGTGGTGCACATCTGTAGTCCCAGCTACTCTGGAGTCTGAGGCAGGAGAATCTCTTGAACCCAGGAAGAGGAGGTTGTAGTGAGCCCAGATCGTGCCATTACACTCCAGCCTGGGCAACAAGAGCAAAACTCCGTCCCAAAAAAAAAAAAAAAAAAAATTGTGACCAGCCGGGCGCAGTGGCTCCTGCCTGTAATCCCACTACTTTGGGAGGCCAAAGCGGGCGGATCACGAGGTCAAGAGATAGAGACCATTCTGGCCAACATGGTGAAACCCCGTTTCTACTAAAAGTACAAAAATTAGCTGGGCGTGGTGGTGCTCGCCTGTAGTCCTAGCTACTCTGGAGGCTGAGGCAGGAGAATCGCTTGAACCCCGGAGGCGGAGGTTGCAATGAGCCGAGATCGCGTCACTGCACTCCAGCCTGGCAACAGCAAGACTCCGTCTCAAAAAAAAAAAAATTGTGACCAATTGCTGTTAGTTTTAAACTGGTGCATGAAGGTGAGTTCTCTCCCTGGCCCTCAAGAGATTTGGAAGTTTGTTTTAGAGAGTGCTCTCAGTCACTTAAGGATGTAAATCTTACTTACTTATTTATTTATTATTTTTTGAGACACAGTCTCTCACTCTGTCATCCAGGGAATTAGCAGCATTCCCGCTGAGACTGGATTTGAAACAAAGTTACAGTTCCTTAGAGCCACTACAGATTTCTTTCCTCAATGGATACCTTTAGCTTAGGATAACCACTAATAGGAATTAATTTGAATTTACTTGAAATTATTTATGACTCTTGACCATTTGGGATACCCATTTGTCATCTTTTCTACTAAAGGAAACTAAAATATTGCTCTCTCAAATACTGGGTATTGTTGAGCTGAAGACAGAGTGCAGGGGCTCTCTCTACCTCTCCTTTGTTTGCCTAAAGGTAGGACATAAATCCTTTTTTACTGAAGACAGCTACTCCGCAGCCCACAGATGGTGCCAGTGGGGCAGAGGAATCTGTGAGCAGACTTTAAACCCCAAAAGACTTTCTAAAAATGAAGTCTCAGTTCAGGCCGAAGTGAAGTGGCTTGATCACAGTTCATTGCTGGGACTACAGATGCGCCACCATGCCTAGCTAATTAAAAAAAAAAAAATTATTTTATTTATTTTTTTTTTGAGATGGAGTTTTGCTCTAGTTGCCCAGGCACGATCTTGGCTCACCGCAACCTCCGCCTGCCGGGTTCAAGCGATGCTCCTGCCTCAGCATCCTGGGTAGCTGGGATTACAGGCATGCGTCACCACGCCTGGCTAATTTTGTATTTTTAGTAGAGGCAGGGTTTCTCCATGTTGGTCAGGCTGGTCTCGAACTCCCGACCTCGGGTGATCTGCCCACCTTACCTCGGCCTCCCAAAGTGCTGGGATTACAGGCGTGAGCTGCCACACCCGGCCCAATTTTTTTTTTTTTTTTTTTTTTTTTGGTAGAGAAGGCATCTCTTTATGTTGCCCAGGCTGGCCTCTGAGTATCTTTCCACCTCAGTCTTCCAAAGTACTAGGATTACAAGCATGAACTACCTCCCCAGCCCAACCCCACAGGTTTACCTTCCCTCATTTTTGGCACTAGTCCCATGGGCAGTTTCGTTTTTCTATTTTCCTGTCTCTTTAAATCTTCCACCTGGCATTTGTGCATAGACTGTCAGCTGAGAAGCTGAGACCTTAGAAAATATGGCCTGACAGATGTGGCTTGCACCCTATTCGCAGCTAGCAAGACTTTCTTTAAGCTGTTCTTGAGAGGGGCCTGGGGCTGAAATTTTGTTCCCTCTTCAGAGACCTTGGTTAAAGCCATAAAGGGATTCTTAATTTTGGTCTCATGCATGTCTGTGTGTGTTGGCTTTGAGTCGTTTGTGCAGGTATGCCCTTGAATGATTATAAATTTCTGGTTTATATTTAGAATATGATAGGGGTTTTTTGTTGTTTTGTTTAGCCTTCTCCTAAGCTAAATGAAACCATATACTCAGAAAGTAAACAGTTTATTAAAACATTCAAAGACAAACAGCTTTAAATAGTGGTTACCCTAGACCTCTAATAAGCAAATATGTTCCACCTCCAAAACTTTTTTTTTTTTTTTTTTTTTTTTTTGGTGGGAGCACAAAGTCTGGTTCTGTCCGTCCAGGCCGTAGTGCAGTGGCGCATTCTCAGTTTGTTACAGTGGGTAGCTAGTCAGGTGTGAGCAGGGCAGGGGAGGGCCTCCTCCATCCACCAGGGATGTCAGGTGACCATCAGGTGATGGTTAGGCAGTTGTCACACTGCCTCTCTAAAATAATAATTGGTCATAGCCAGCACCAGGGAAACTGAAGCTGGTGATCAGCAGCTTCCCGATAAGATCTCAGGAATTGGGCAAGTGGGCTCAAGCATGTGCACTAAGGCACAGAATGGTGGAGTTTAACTGGTGTGTGACCTTCCAGGTACTTTACACCGGGAAGGGAAGATCGCCTCAGGTGAGCATGCGCATGCTCCAGTAAACACACTACGCATGCTCCCTCCCAAGTGCTAGCAGGCCAGTGTGTGTGCAGGCAGCCCACCCCAAGGGAGGAATTGGGAGAAGGGACGCGAGGCCCTGAAGTATGCCAACACCTAGAACCCTACATCAGAGGCCGGATGGGGCACTTGCCTCTCGAGTTGCCCACTTGGCCTCTTCCAAGTGCACTTTCCTTCCTTTTGTTTCTGCTCTAGAGCTTTGTAATGAACTTCCACTCCTGTTCTAAAACTTGCCTCAGTCTCTTCTTCTGCCTTATGGCCTTTGGTCAGATTCTTTCGTCTGAGGAGGCAATAATTGAGGCTGCTGCAGACACATACGGATTCGCCACCGGCAACTCAGGTACCTGCCACCGGCAACAGGCTCGCTCAGCCTCTGCCCACCAGGCTGAAGCCATGCTCCCACCACAGCCTCCCGAGTAGCTAGGACCACAGGTGTGCGCCACCACACCTGGCTAATTTTTGTGTTTTTTTGTAGAGATGAGGTTTTACCATGTTGCCCAGGCTGGCCTTGAACTTGTAAGCTCAAGTGATCCACGCACCTCAGCCTCCCAAAGTGCTGGGATTATAGGCATGAGCCACCACAGCAAGGCTTTATTATTTTTGAGACGGGTCTCACCTTTGTCACCCAGGCTGGAGTGCGGGGGCACCATCACAGCTCACTGCAGCCTTGACCTCCCAGGCTCAAGGATCCTCCCACCTCAGCCCCGAGCAGCTGGGACTATAGGCACATATGTGTACTGCCACTCCTGGCTAACTTTTTACTTTTTGTAAAGATGGAGTCTCACTGTGTTGCACGGGCTGGTCTCAAACGCCTGGGTTCAAGTGATTCTCCAACCTCAGCCTCCCAAAGTAGTAGGAAAACAGGCATGAGCCACCATGGCCAGCTTCAGATCTCCTCTTTGGTGTCAGTTTCAGGAAGGAAAAACCAAGAAACAAGAATGTTGACTATTTGCCTGGCTAAGACCTGACACAGGAATCCTTTTAAACAGCTTTAGAGTTGAAAGTTGACTTAATTAGAAGCTGATATTTAGGATATATGTGTATACAATTTTTTCGAGGCCTCTGCTTTCTATAAAAGCTTCTTGGAGGCCGGGCGCGGTGGCTCACGACTGTAATCCCAGCATTTTGCGAGGCCGAGGAGGGCAGATCACAAGGTCAGGATATTGAGAGCATCCTGGCTAACATGGTGAAACCCCATCTCTACTAAAAATAGAAGAAATTAGCTGGGCGTGGTGATAGGTGCCTGTAGTCCCAGCTACTTGGGAGGCTGAGGCAGGAGAATGGCATGAACCTGGGAGGCGAAGGTTGCAGTGAACCGAGATCACGCCACTGCACTCCAGCCTGGGCGACAGAGCAAGACTCCGTGTCAAGAAAAAAAAAAAAGCTTCTTGGCCAGGGAAGAAGCTACAAAAAATACAAAAATTAGCTGGGTGTTGTGGTATGCACCTGTAGTCCTAACTATTTGGGAAGCTGAGGCAGGAGAATCGCTTGAACCTGGGAGGCAGAGGTTGCAGTGAGCCAAGATCGTGCCACTGCACTCCAGCCTGGGTGACAGAGACTCCATTTGAAAAAAATTAAAAATTAGCTAGGTGTGGCCAGGCACAGTGGCTCACGCCTGTAATCCCAGCACTTTGGGAGGCCGAGGCAGGCGGATCACTTTAGGTCAGGAGTACAGATCAGCCTGGTCAACATGGTGAAACCCTCTTTCTACTAAAAATACAAAAATCAGCTGGACGTGGTGGTGGGCACCTGTAATCCCAGCTACTTGGGAGGCTGAGGCAGGAGAATCACTTCAACGTGGGAGGCGGAGGCTTCAGTGAGCTGAGATTGTGCCATTGCACTCTAGCCTGGATGACAAGAGCGAAACTCCTTCTCAAAAAAAAAAAAAAAAAAAAAAAAAAAACCGGTGTGGTGGTACATGCCTGTAGTCCTAGCTACTTGGGAGGCTGAGGCAGAGAATTGCTTGAACCTTGGAGGTGGAGGTTGCAGTGAGCCGAAACTGCCACTGAACTCCAGCCTGGGCAAGAGAGTGAGACCCTGTCTCAAAAAAAAAAGGATTTCACCATGTTGCCCAGGCTGGTCTCGAACTCCTAAGTTGAAGTGATTTGCCCTCCTCAGCCTCCCAAAGTGCTGGGATTACAGGTATGAGCCACCACACCCTGCCTGGGCCTGATAATTTAAGGGCGCTCACAGCTCTCAGATTAAACGTTTCTTTTCTTTCTCAGGACTCCTTCCGCCCACCCATTCCTCCTCCCGAGTCCTTTCCCCTTCTCAAGTGCAGCCTGTAGCAGGGCCTGGAGGGGACCCTTGACACTGTGCCCCTCACCGAGAATCTAAACCCCTGACCCCGCAGTGAGTTTCTGGCAAGAACAGGAGTGTGATGGGCTTTGCCAAGCACCAGCTTGGTTGTGGGCTGTTTCCTTCAGTGACTGTTTGGCTTTTTGTCTTTGCAGGTTCTGCTTGGATTCTGCTAGACAGACCCGACAAAGACTGTCTATCAACTGGTCCAATTTTAGCTTGAAAAAAGCCACCTTTGCTGCCCACTGAATGAGGACTCCCTGGAGAGGGACACGCGAGAGGCAGGCCAGGCTGCACCACCCCAAGAGCCACGCCCCTCGCTGGCGCCCCAGAGCCGTGGTGCTTGCCAAGGGCTGTGCGGAGCTGGTGCTGCCTGAAACCCCAGACCGAGAAGTTGATGCTCGGCCCACGCCGTTAGCTCGTGTGCGTGTAGTCTGTGCGTGAGACTCCTTCGATTGTAGCTCTGTGCTGTCGGATTGGAACAGTAGTTCCCGCCAAGTCCTCCCACCACCGCGGCCTCGGAGGCCTGGGCCGTGGCCAGATAGGAGTTTGCATCATCCACGTGGCTCCGTTGCCTCTGCATTGCGCCCTGTCCTGTCATGTGTCCTCACCGGGGTATCGGCCGTCACTCAGCTCTCCTGTGCCCCTGCGTCTCACCCTAGGCGGGCTGGGCGGGGCAGGCCTCCTTTGTTCTCCACAATCTACTGTCTCCGAGTGTACACGTTGCGCTGTTTGTGTTTGATCCCCCTGACTTGTAGCCAGCTTGTGTAAGATCCCTTGCAGAACGAGAAAGTTAAAAACAAGCCCACCCAGTACTCACACCATCAAGTCTGTTATAGAGTGTACGACTGTATTAACACGGAGGCCTGCCTGGCTACTTTTTTAACATATTGTTAAGTAATATTAAAATCATGTCTTTCTTTTTGAAAGATGGAATACATTAGTACAGCAGGAGACCTCGGCTGCTTCTTTCTGCTGGGGGAGTGGGGGGATAGCGGGAGAGGGCGTGTAGGTGATGTGTCCGCCATGGGGAGCCAGGGCACCACCCCGGAGCAGGTCCCAGGTCTCTCCAGGCAACGGCTCACCCATCCTGGTGCCCCCACCATCCTCTGTGTGCCAGGCAGAGCAGGCAGCAGGAGACAGAAAGCTCCCAAGGAGCTGCATCCTGGTTACTTCTTACTACCTAGAACACTCAGTAGCTCCCACTTCTCCCAGCCTCATGTTCAGCCTGTCTCTGTGTGCCCTATCAGAGTATGACTTCACTCTGAGTGAAGGTGAATAGGGCAGGGCCTGGTTGGGGAGAGGGTAGGGAGAGCCAGCTTCTGGAGGTATTCGGACGATGAGGCCACAGGATTTCCTGGTGGACAGGATGCAGGTAGGAGAAAGAGGTGAAGACCTGCGCTGTGTGCCTGGAGGTGGGACTGGAGACCAGTTCTGGATGGTGAGTCTGGGATGTCCACCGGCCACCCAGGTGAGAGGTCTGGAACTGGGGACTGCTGTTCATGGACAGAGCCTGTGTGAGGGCCCTGCAGGGGTGAGTAGATGGGATGGGGGCCCGAGCTGTGGAACCAGGAAGGCAGAGGAGGGTGAGGAGGCTTCGAGGCAGGTCAGGGGAGACAAGGCCCAGGGCACCCCCACCCAGGCACCGGTTTGCAGGAGAATGAGGTGGGGACAGCAGGTCCTAGAACTCTGGAGATTGCACGAAAGCTGGAAAAGGGTCACCAACCAGGGGAGGTGCAGCACGACGAACTTTCCTCACTTGTTTTTTTTTCCAGGTGTGAGGAAGAGAACGTTCCTTTGTTCGTGGGATGATAGGGCAGAGAGTGAAGCAGGTCAGGCCATGACCACGGCAACAGTAGTGTCCTTGAAACCCCAGTGCAGGCCCCCGGGACTCCAGCCGCTGCCTCTTCTGGCTGCGGTGGTGGCTGGGGAAAGGCCCAGGCCCGGGCCTCGCCCTATGGGGAAGCTGCCTGCCCAGGCCCCCAGTACCTGCCCTGCTCTCCCCATGGACAGCCTTTAACACTGTGCTGAACCATGCCTGTTGCTGAGGGGAACTGCACAGCCCTGAGTGGTGATGGGGAACTCTGGGTGCCCCGACACACTAAGCATCATGCTGGGACCTAGAGACCCTCAGACGCCCACCGCACATGCCCAGTTCTGGGCACTCCCATCACCTCCATGGCAACCCTGCCTGCGGCTTCACAGCTCTGCCCGCTCTGGCCCCTGACCTGCACCTGCTAGCTTTGGCCCTCAGGCTCCCAGCCATTGTCCTGGCCATGCCCTTGCCAGGAAGGATCTTCCTCTATTTCCCTGGAAACCACTCATCCTTCCAGCATCCCAGGGTGCTTATAGGACATCCAGCTCCAGGGTCCCTGACTTGATGGGAGCCCCTGGGGTTCCTGATGACATCACTTCCCTGTGGGGGAGGGTGGGGCCGCCATAGGGGAGCCTCACATTTTTGACTCACACAGTAGCACAGGGTGAGTATCCCTTATCCCTTATCTGGCATCCTCAGTACCAGAAGTGTGTCCAGTTTCAGACTTTTTTGGATTTGGAGTATTTACATCATGCTTACCAATTGAGCATTTCTAATCCAAAAATCTGAAATCCAAAATGCTCCAATGAGCATTTCCTTGGAGCATCATCTTAACACTCAAAAGGATTTGAATTTTGGAACCTTTCGGGTTAGGCATACTCAACCTGTAATAGTCATGAAATGAAACAATAACAATAGTTAGAAAGGAAACTTTAACAGTGAACAGTTGTATTGAGAAGCTTACTGTTTTCTGCACCCTCAGCTCTGAGCCCTGCTCAGAGATTTTGCCTGGGTAGAGAAACAGGCAGTAAAACAGATAGCTCCTAATCTCTTCCCAAAGAAACTGACTTTGTTTGCAACAAAGAATGAAGAGGTTCAAGCCTGAAGGCACTCAGAAACAGTGGAGGCCATGAAACCCTGGGAAGAGAGACAAGATGCAGGCTCAGCTACAGGCCAGATAGTTTGCAGGAGGTAACTGAAGAAAAGAGCTGGGAGAAGGCATCCAGGGGTCAGAAGGAATATCACACAGTGTTCCCAGAAACTCTCTCTTCAAAGGAGTCAGAATTTGATTGGATTTGTTTGTAGAGCATGGTGCCCCAGGGCATTGTTGAAAACAATAGAATTGGCAATTAGTGGTTTAATGAATGTGGTCAGGGAAAGAGGAAGAGAACTCTACCAAAATGACTGTCATCCCAGGGTGACTGTGGGCATACGCAAAGCTACACACCCTGAGGAGCAACATCATAGCTGGAATACTAGTGGGTAGTAGAAAGAAAACAATGATATAATAAGGCTGCATCAAATGAATATAGAAATTATTTTAAAGGAACCAAATGGAAATTATGGAATCTGAAAAGTTACGTGTGTATATATATACACACACATATATATACACACACACATATATATACACACACACAGAGAGAGACAGATGGAGTCTTGCTCTGTCACCCAGGCTGGAGTGCAGTGGCACCATTTTGGCTCACTGCAACCTCCAACTCCTGGGTTCAAGTGATTCTCCTGTCTCAGCCTCCGCAGTAGCTGGGACTATAGTTACACACCACCATGCCTGGCTAATTTTTGTATTTTTTGTTGAGACGGTGTTTCACTGTGTTGGTCAGGCTGGTCTCAAACTCCTGACCTCAGGTGAGCTGCCCACCTTGGCCTCCCAAAGTGCTGAGATTACAGGCATGAGCCACTGCACCCAGCCTAAATTTTAAAATTAGCAGAAGGAAAAATAAGTGGATTTGAAGATAGGCTGATGGAGATTATGCCAGCCAAAGAACATAGAGAAAAAAATAATGAAAATAAAGAGTCTCAGAAAAATGTGGGACACCATTAAGCATACCAGCCTATGTATAATGGGAATATCAAAAGGAGAGCAAAGAGCAAAAAAAATATTCAAAGAAATAATAGTCGAAAACCTCCCAAATTGAAAAATAGTAACATGTATCCCAGAAGTTGAAAATGTTTATATTAAGAAACAAGAAAGATCTCACTCAAATCAATAAACTAACTTGTCACCTTAAGACACTGGAAAAAGAGCAAACTAGGCCTAAAGTAAGCAGAAGGAATAAAATCATAAAAATTAGATCAGAAATTAATGAAATAGAGGATGCAAAAATAATGGAGAAAATCAACAAAACCAAAAGTTTTAAAAAGGTAAACAAAATAGACATCTGTAGCAAGATTGACCAGGGAAGGATTCAAATTACTAGAATCAGAACTGGCCACACAGAAAAAGGATTTTAAAGGAATACTAGAACAATTATATGCCAGCAAATTTGGTAATTTAGATGATATCTTAGTCCATTCATGCAGCTATGACCAAATATCACAGACTGAGTAATTTATAAATAATAGAAGTTTATTTCTCACAGTTCTGGAAGCTGTGAAGTTCAAGAGCAAAGTGCACCAACAGATTCAGTGTCTGGTAAGGGCTCACTCTCTGCTTCCAAAGTGGCACCTTGTTGCTGTATCTTCATATGGTAGAAGGGCAAAAAGGGGAATTAAGGTGATCCCTTCAACCTCTTTTATAAAAGCTGTAATCCCTTTCATGATGATGGAGCACTCATGATTTGAACACTTCCCAGAAGGCCCCACCTCTTAATACTATCACCTTGGGCACTAAGTTCTAACATATGAACATATAAACCATAGCAGATGAGATGGACAAATTTCTAGACAGGAAGAAGCTACAAGAACTGACTCCAGAAGAAATAGACAATCTGAATAGACCTATAATGAGTGAAGATGTTGAAATAGTAATTTAAAACAGGGAAAAGTACCCACAAAAGCTCAAGCCTAGAAGTCTTCACTGCTGCATTTTACCATACAGTTAGAGAAGAATTAAAACCAATTTTTCAAACTTTCAGAAATAGAAGAAGGAACACTTCCCAACTAATTCTGTGAGGCCAGTATTACCTTGATACCAAAACTAGACAAAGACATCACAAGAAAACTACAGACTATTATCTCATGAATATTGATGCAAAATTCCTCAACAAAATACTAGAAAACCAAATCCAGCAATATAAGAAAAGAAATATACACCGTGATCAAGTGGAATCCCAGGAATGTAAGGGTGGTTCAATATCCAACACATACTTAATGTAATCATATTAATCGAAATTTTAATTGCATGATCATCTCAATAGATGCAAAAAAAGCATTTGACAAAATCCAACACTTTTGCATAATAAAGACATTTCACCAAGTGTGAATAGAAGAGAACTTCCTCAACCTGAAGAATGACATCTACAAAAAATTCACTGTTAATATCATCCTTAATGTTGTGAAAGACCGCATGCTTTCCCCCTAAGATCAGGAACAAGGCAAAGATATCTGTTTTGCAGTTTCTATTCAACATTGTGCTAGAGGTTCTAGCCAAAGCAGTTAGGCCCAGGCAGGCGGATCACGAGGTCAGGAGTTCAAGACCAGCCTGGCCAACATAGTGAAACCCCATGTCTACTAAAAATACAAAAATTAGTTGGGTGTTGTGGTGCGCACCTGTAGTCCCAGCTACTTCGGAGGCTGAGGCAGGATAATCACTTGAGCCCCGGAGGCGGAGGTTGCAGTGAGCTGAGATTGCCACTGCACTCCAGCTTGGGCAACAGAGCAAGACTCTGTCTCAAAAAAAAAAAAAAATTTCAGCTGGGCATGGTGGCTCAAGCCTGTAATCCCTGCACTTTGGGAGGCTGAGGCAGGTGGATCATGAGGTCAGGAGATTGAGACCATCCTGGCTAACATGGTGAAACCCCGTCTCTACTAAAGATACCAAAAAAAAAAAAAAAAAAAAAAAAAAGCCCTGCATGGTGGCAGGCGCCTGTAGTCCCAGCTACTCGGGAGGCTGAGGCAGGAGAATGGCGTGAACCCGGGGGGCGGAGCTTGCAGTGAGCCGAGATCATGCCACTGCACTCCAGACTGGGCAACAGAGTGAGACTCTGTCTCAAAAAAAAAAAAAAATTTTTTTTTCAGGGAACTTCTATCTCAGTAAACTTTCTAGGGCTCCCGTGGTGTGGGGCCTGTCAAGATATTCCTTCCAAGGTGAAGGATAAGTCGCCTCATTTGGTCCCTCCTACAACCAAGAAGATCCACAATGCTTAGTGGGTCTATTTGGATTTTGGAGGCAACACATTCCTCACTTAGATGTGTTACTCCAGCCCATTTATCTAGTGACCTAAAAGGCTGCCAGTTTTGAGTGGGGTCCAGAACAGGAGAAGGCTCTGCAACAGGTCCAGGCTGCTGTGCAAGCTGCTCTGCCACTTGGGCCATATGACCCAGCGATCCAATGGTGCTTGAGGCGTCAGTAGCAGATAGGGATGCTGTTTGGAGCCTTTGGCAGGCCCCCATAGGTGAATCACAGTGGAGGCCTGTAGGATTTTCACCCCATAGGTGAATCACAGCGGAGGCCTGTAGGATCTGGAGAAGATGGCCCTGCCATCTTCTGCAGCTAACTACTCTCCTTTTGAGAGACAGCTCTTGGCCTGTTACTGGGCTTTGGTGGAAACTGAATGTTTGACTATGGGTCATCAAGTCACCATATGACCTGAACTGCCCATCATAAACTGGGTGCTTTCTGACCCATCACCATAAAGTAGGTCGTGCACAGCAGCATTCCATCATCAAAGAGAAGTGGCACATATGTGATTGAGCTCAAGCAGGTCCTGAAGGCACAAGCAAGTTACATGAAGAAGTAGCTCAAATGCCCATGGTCTCCACTCCTGCCACCCTGCCTCCTCTCCCCCAGCCTGCACCAATGGCCTCATGAGGAGTTCCCTATGATCAGTGGACAGAGGAAGAGAAGACTAGGGCCTGGCTCACAGATGCTTCTGCACGATATGAAGGCACCACCCAAAAGTGGACAGCTGCAGCAATACAGCCTCTTTTTAGGACATGCCTGAAGGACAGCAGTGAAGGGAAATCTTCCCAGTGGGCAGAAGTTGGAGCGGTGCACCTGGTTGTGCACTTTGCATGGGAGGAGAAATGGCCAGGTGTGTGATTATGTACTGATTCATGGGCTGTAGACAATGGTTTGCCTGGATGGGACTTGGAAGACAATGGTCAGGGGCTTGAAAGAAGCATTATTGGAAAATTGGTGACAAATTTGAGGAAGAGGTATGTGGATGGACCTCTCCAAGTGGTCAAAAACTGAAGATATTTGTATCCCCTGTGAGTGCTCACCAGCGGATGACCTCAACAGAGGAGAATTTTAATAATCAAGTGGGTAGGATGACCTGTTCTGTGGACACCACTCAGCCTCTTTCCCCAGCCACCTGCCATCGCCCAATGGGCCCATGAACAGAGTGGCCATGGTGGCAGGGATGGAGATTACACATGGAGATTCAGCAACATGGACCTCCACTAGCCAAGGCTGACTTGTCTACAGCCACTGCTGAGTGCCCAATTTGGCAGCAGCAGAGACTAACACTGAGCCTCAATATGGCACCATTCTTCAGGGTGATCAGCCAGCTACCTGGTGGCAGGTTGATTATATTGGACCTCTTCCATCATGGAAAGGGCAGAGGTTTGTCCTCACCGGAATAGACACTTACTCCTGATGTGGGTTTGCCTATCTTGCACGCAGTGCTTCTGCCAAGACTACCATCCATGGACTCAAGGAATGCCTCATCCACCATCAGGGTGTTCCACACAGCATTGCCTCTGAGCAAGGCACTCACTTTACAGCTAAAGAAGTGTGGCAGTGGGCTCATGCTCATGGAATTCACTGATCTTACCACGTTCCCCATCATCCTGAAGCAGCTGGATTGATAGAACGGTGGAATGGCCTTCTGAAGTCACAATTACAACACCAACTAGGTGACAATACTTTGCAGGGCTGGGACCAAGTTCTCCAGAAGGCCATGTATGCTCTGAATCAGCATCCAAGATATGATATTGTTTCTCCCTTAACCAGGATGCACGGGTCCAGGAATCAAGGCACTCAAGTGGAAGTGGCACCACTCGCCATCACCCCTAGTGATCCACTAGCAAAATGTTTGCTCCCTGTTCCCATGACATTATGTTCTGCTGGCCTAGAGGTCTTAGTTCCAGAGGGAGGAACGCTGCCACCAGGAGACACAACTATTCCATTAAGCTAGAAGTTAAGATTGCCACCTGGACACTCTGGGCTCCTCCTACCTTTAAGTCAACAGGCTAAGGAGGAGTTATGGTGTTGGCTGGAGTGATTGATCTGGACTATCAAGATGGAATCAGTCTCGGCCGGGTGTGGTGGCTCACGCCTGTAATCCCAGCATTTTGGGAGGCCAAGGCGGGCGGATCATGAGGTCAGGAGATTGAGACCATCCTGGCTAACACGGTGAAACCCCGTCTCTACTACACAAAATACAAAACATTAGCTGGGCATGGTGGCAAGTGCCTGTAGTCCCAGCTACTCGGGAGGCTGAGGCAGGAGAATGGTGTGAACCCGTGAGGCGGAGCCTGCAGAGAGCCGAGATTGCACCACTGCACTCCAGCCTGGGCGACAGAGCGACACTCCATCTCAAAAAAAAAAAAAAGATGGAATTAGTCTCTTACTCCACAACAGAGGTAAGGAAGAGTATGCATGGAATACAGGAGATCCATTAGGACATCTCTTAGTATTATCTAATGCCCTGTGATTAAGGTCAATGGGAAACTACAACAGCCCAATCCAGGCAGGACTACAAATCAGGAATGAAGGTTCGGGTCACTCCACCAGGAAAAAAACCACCATCTGCTGAGGTGCTTGCTGAAGGCAAAGGGAATACAGAATGGGTAGTAGAAGAAGGTAGGCATCAATAACGGCTATGACCACATGACCAGCTGCAGGAACCAGGACTGTAATTGCTGTGAGTATTTCCTCCTTTTGATAAAAAACGTTTGTGCATGTATACGCTAGTACTAAGAAAATCTCTTCATTTCCTTTCTCCTTTATCGTGTGACATAAGATTTATTGACTTCACATCAGCATTTAAGTACCGTCAGTCACCTTGGCCGGGTGTGGTGGCTCATGCCTGTAATCCCAGCACGCTGGGAGGCAGAGGCAGGCTGATCACCTGACGTCAGGAGTTCGAAACCAGCCAGGCCAACGTGGCGAAACCCCTTCTCTACTAAAAATACAAAAATTAGCCGGGCGTGGTGGCAGGCGCCTGTAATCCTAGCTAATCGGGAGCCTGAGGTGGGAGAATCACTTGAACCTGGGAGGCGGAGGTAGCAGTGAGCTGAGCCGAGATCACACCACTGCACTCCAGCCTGGGGAACAAGAAACTCCGTTTCAAAAAACAAAAAGTAAAGTATTGTTACCTTTATGTAATAGTATTATTTGGGTTGGGGACTGGTGCGTTTCCGGTTGTATGAAGGATAGTTGTATTATGTTAGGCATAATTGTGACTTTATTTTTGTCTTTATTTGAAGATTATTATCTCAGGACTATGTATGGGTTCAAGTAGACAAGGGGTGGACTCATGATGGTTAATACTGAGTGTCAACTTGATTGAAGGATAGGAAGTATTGATCTGGGTGTGTCTGTGAGGGTGTTGCCAAGGAGATTAACATTTGAGTCAGTGGGCTGGGGAAGGCAGATCCACCCTCAATCGGGGTGGGCACCATCTAATCAGCTGCCAGCGTGGCCAGAATAAAGCAGGCAGAAAAACGTGAAAAGAGAGACTGGCCTGGCCTCCCAGCCTACATCTTGCTCCGTGCTGGATGCTTCCTGCCCTTGAACATAGGACTCCCAAGTTCTTCAGTTTCGGAACTCGGGACTGGCTCTCCTTGTTCCTCAGCCTGCAGACGGCCTATTGTGGGAACTTGTGATCGTGTGAGTTAATACTTGACACACTCCCCTTTATATATCTATCTGTTCCATTAGTTCTGTCCCTCTAGAGAACCCTAATACAGCCAGGCTCCCACTGACCCCCTTGTCTTGGTGCCCTGGCAGAAGGCAACAGCAGGAGTGTTTTCCCATGCCAGCTGCTGTAAATACTGTTCAGTCCCTGCACCCCAGCTTCCAACACAAATTCTCAGAGCAGTCACAGCAGCAAGAACGTTTATTATAAAAATAGGTGAATAAAGTAAGTGTGCTTTAACTTCCGGCTGGATGACAAATGCTACTGAAATGCAGTTTCTCAGTGCAGACATGTGGCTCGCAATGGCGGGGGTGGCCACCCTAGTGTGACGTGCAGCCGCAATACTCCATTTGACTGGTTCGAGGCAGAGAGGCGACGCTTTATTCCATAGAACAGGATGGGGCTCCCACCCTGGGGACCATACAAGTGACTCCCTCAGGCAGCCACCCCTTTCTAGGCAGGCTGGGGGAGGGGCTGGCACACCAGCACCAGATAGCTCTGGCTTAAGCCTGATGGAGACACAGACTGGGACCTCCCTCTGCCAGATGTTCCTGACCCCATCTCCACCTCCAGCCTCCAGCCTCACTGGCAGTTCCCTGTGACCCAGCCTGTTCCATAGCCAAAGGGACCAAAGTGAACGATCAGAGTGCCCCGCAACTATTCTAGGGGCCTTGGCTCTCAGTAGAGCTCAACCCATGGCATCTGAGAGCACCCACCCTGTCCCTGAGGGCAGCTGCACCGGGCCAGGAGGCCGCAAGGGCACGGGTGAGTCTCGGTCACTGGCAGCACTCAGCCACATGCCTGAGGAGCTCTTCCCCTTGCTCGTCACTGAAGCACTGCAGGCAGTGAGGGCACTGAAGGTCCCCCTGGCCTCTCTGGGCCGCGCCAGGATGCCCGCCCTCTGCAGGGGGTTCTGGCTGCTGGGACCCAGTCCCAGGCCTCCAGCCACCAGGCACCATAAGCTCTAATGCGTCGGCGGCCAAATACTTGGCAGTTTTGCTCCCAGCGTGAATCCGGCCGGCGTCTGGCTCTCGAGAATCCTGGAGAAAAGGCAAGGGTGTATATACGTGGGCTGTGCTGACGGTCACAAAGCCAGGTCTCAGGTTCCAGCAACCAGAGGCACTTCACCTATCCCTGAGCGGAACTTCAGCCCCTCACTTTGCTTCCTGCTGCGCCCCAGAGCCCAGACAAGGGGGCGCTCAGTGAATGACTGAGGATCACACACACGCTCCGTCATGTGCTCATGAAGAAGTAGGCCCTGGCGTGGTCCACCCCCCAGCCCCTTGGTGGAAGTCCTGTTCAGTTGGACCTATCGGCCCCAGGAGACCTGACTGAGAAGGTGGCCCTGATGACGTGGCCCACAGGCCACCACAGAGTGGAGGTGGCAGAGCCTCTGGTGGGGAGCTGGGCAAACTGAGTACCAACCCTACTCTGCACCTCCTCTGTGGGGCCTGGGGGTGCTGAGCACTCTGGGGCTCAGGGGGTCCTTCAGTAGCAGCAAGAGGTGTCCCTGGCTTGGCCCCACCAACCACCTGGCATGATCTGGCACATGTTCTCCAAACATCCGTCCTGAAGCACTGCAGCCTGTGGCCCTCACTGCTTGCCTGGGAACTTCATTCCAGCAGGCCTTGGTGCTTCCACTTCCTGTCTGAATGTGGACTTTCCCCAGTGGGACTACAGCTTATCACCCATGCCTTCAGCACCACTGTCCCTGGCTGTGCCATCTAGGGACTGAGCAACCCTCGAGGGGCCACAGGCTACTGTTGAAAGGGAACCAGAGGCCACTTAGTACAAGGTCTGCAGGCCCCACCAGGAACTTTACCCCCGGGGGTAAGAATCTGGGCCTGCAAGTCTGGAACCAGTTCATCTGGTCCAAAATCTTCAAGAGGCGGCCTGAGACCATCCTCACGATTGTACCAATAGTGCTCCTTCAATCCAAATCACATGCTTCCTTGAATTCATGAAGGCCAGAAAAACCTGTCCAGCCCTCTGCTGCAGACTTAGTCCCAGGGTTAGTCCCATAGTCCACCATGACTCTCCCGTGCCCTTCATGCGGAGGAGAAGCAGAAACCACTGAGGCCCAGTGGCTGCTCGGAACAGGGCAGTGGGGGGTGGCCTCACAGCCCCAGGGTCCCTGTTCACACCCTGAAACACGGCTGACGTCCTAGCTCCAGCCCGGGACGCATCGATTCTCAAGAGGCATCACTACTGTTCAGTCTGTGCCAGGAGAGGAAGCTCTTTGAGTGGGGCCCAGGCTATTCCCAGGGCCAAAAGTGTGTTAGGTACTTGATGAGGAGCTACATAAACTTCTCCTGGATTTTTGCAGAGCACAAGTCAGTGAGGAGAAGGAAGAGGCCATGGGTCACACACTGAGGAACTTCATCGGTTCCCATTCATGCCAGGCCTCCCTCAAGGCACCCCATGGTAGGAAAAGCACTGAGCCCAGGGGTGGGGTGAGGGGCCCCTGCCCTGCAAGGCCCAGCTCCACGTGCCAGGCTGAGCTGGGGATGTTACTGGACACCCAGGGCCATCACATCTACATGACAAGGTAAGCGGGGTTCCCGTCTCACAGACAGGTCAGGACACGTAGGGAGCTCACACTTTGAGGCCCGAGATATGCTCTCTGACTGCATGACAGTGACGGACGGGCCCTGAGGACAGCCACCTCTGCTAAGACAGGCCGCCATGCCAGCCTCCTCCATAACTAAACAGTATAACAGGGAGGCTTTCCATGACCACGCCCAGGTACCAGGCCAGGTGGCTCTCCCCACAGCAGGGAGGGGCTCGCCACAACCCTCATCACCAGCAAATCAGGGCCTTGGCAGACACAGAAAGGCTCTAATCTCATGAGAAGAGAAACAAAAACACTAAACCTAAGCAGGAAGAAAAACGCCCTCATACTCTACCTGTCTCCAGGACACCTGGTGCAGCAAAGAGGCGACCTTTTCCTCCAGTTCTTGAATCCTACTTTGAGCCCGTTCCCGATCGGCCCTTTCTGACATGAAGTCATCCTTGTAAGCGAGAATCTGAAGAGAGGCGAGACACACATTTCTGCTCAAGGAAGGAGGAAGCGCCCCACCAGGCTTCTCCCACCCCCACAGTGACCACTGCCCACTCAGTGCCACCAAGCCTTCAGCCCAGCCTGTCCCATGATTTCGGCCACCACCGGCCAGCAGACATCTGGTCAGTGCCGTCCGGAGCCCGAGGGACAGACACCTGCTGTTCCAGCATCTGCACCCGCTCCAACGCAGCATCCCGGGCCGTCCTGGAGGCCGCCAGCTCCTGCTTCACTTCGGCACAGTCATTTATTTTCTCTTCCAACTGTCTGTTGAGCCGGGAGATCTCCTTCCTCATCAGCTCGGGCTCGTGGGGGATCTGCAGCCCCCTGAGCTGCGCATGGAGCCCCCTCACGTATTCGTCCCTGCTGGCGTTGTAGCGCTGCCACTTGGCATTGAGGTCTTCAACCTGAAGAGGTGGAGCCGGAAAGCTCACGGTGAAGGCAGCTGACAAAGCTGCTCAAGCCAGCACCCAGTGTGAATTATGTATTAGCAGTGATTCGCTGAGTGAGAGTTTCCTCTTAAATGGAAGCTGCCCCTCCCTGTTCTGTAGAGAGCAGACACTAGGCCCGCTAGAGAATCCTGAGGCAGCACGATGACACCCGTACGCAAGCAGCATGAACGGAGGTGGACTCGGTGCAGCTTTGCTGTCTTAGAAAATGGACCTCCTGCTGCTAACTCTTGCATCTCCTTTACTGACTTGTGGATTAATTTTAGGGGGATGGAGATGGACAGGACATGTCCCGTACGTCGTTTTAAGCAAAAAAGTCCAGTCTCTAGGGACTGTGTGTATCAAGTCCTAGTGGCCAGAGGGCGGGGGGCGACTCTGGGCATCAGCCAAGGAAAGAACCCTCACTTACAGTTTGTAAGCCATGTGTTCTTCTCAAACGAAATGTGAAAGACACTCACGTGAGTCACCTTCTGTTTTAACAGTCGATTTTCTTCCTGCAACTTCTCAATAACACTCTGGACAGAGGTGTGCCCATCTGTGTGTTCCGACTGCATGAGGAAGGGACAGAGAGAAGACACTCTGTCACATACAGCAAGAGGGGAGAAAGCTAGACCCAGAGGCTGAGGCCACAGATTATCACTGCGTCCCCCAGTGCAGCGGGTAGTGATCATTCATTTGGTAGAGAAGCAAAGCAGGGACAAGGGACCACCTTCTCCCTGCCCAGGCCCACCCCACCTGGCCCAGGCCAGAGCCCGGATGGGAGGTCTTCAGGCCACACCACCTTTCACACTGTCCTTATCCCGTCCCACCTACCAGTTTGAGCTGTTTGTCTTTTAAATATTTGGAATGTAAATATTCTAAAGCCATAATGTCTGCAGGGATTGGCACACCAGACATGATAAAGTCTTCTCATTGCCAGAGATTTGCCATTATCACAGACAGCAGGGAAGGCAGGAAGCTGAATCCCATTGTAAACCAGAGGATCTCCAGTGAGGGGGCCCCCAGCTGCCCAGGGTGGGCCTGGCCATGCACCCTGCTTACCTCCTTTGGAGCCCATGACACTGTCCTGTCTGCAGACAATCGGGTTCAACCAGGTGATTCTGGACACAGGAATCTAACCTCTGCCCCACGCAGGGTCAGGAGTCACCGAAGCCACAACCCAAACCAACCCCCACTAACAACTACAGAGCTGAATGAAAAGTCTCCTGAAACTCGTGTGTACCCTACAATTCTGACTGTATCTCAGTGACATAATTTTTGAGAATTCCCCTCAAATGACAAAGGAAGTGCACGTCCTAACACAGCCTACACCGGGAAGCCCCGGGTGACTCAGCTGAGTTCAGGGCTGAGAAGTGACACTTATTTAGAGACTGTGATGAGGGCCTACCCTGCCACTGGCCCCACCCCCGCCTCAGGCTCAACACTGTGTGTGGCTCCTTTCAAATCCCCAGAGGGAAATGACACAGTGACTCAAAATCAGACCAGAACACCCTGCCTCCGCCCAGACGGCACTTTTCCTCTGGTTTCTGAATGCAGCTGTGTCCTCTCTGAGGTTCCCCGCCTGGAATCCACCCAGCTGAGGTGGGCAGTTCTCAGACCAACCTTCTCCCCAGTGGGCGCCTCGGTGAAGCTGCTGATGGGTGCGGGATGTACTGTCTGCCACAGAACATCCCAGCGCGTGTGTTTCTGCATGAACCTTGGTGCTGCCTCAGAGAACTGCCTAGAAAGGACCCGAGCGAGAGGCCCTGTGCCCGGCAGTGCGAGTGAGATGGGGTCTCAGCCTAGGTGAGATGTGCACGGAGTGCCTCCATTCCCCTGCCTGCCACACACAGACCACCACAAGCACCAGCAAGATGGAAGGTGCCTGGCACACAGATGCCTTGGGCCACTGCTCCCCTACTTTTCTGCCTAGGAGCCCCCTGGTTTCTCCTGATGCTGAAACTCCCACGGTCCTTCTCTCTCCCACTAGACCCCACAGAGAGCTACAGCCCAGATCCAGCCTATCCTGGAGGTCCAGCGAACCCTTCTTTGGCCCTCACTGTCACTTGGTGCCGCTGCCCCCGGCCCTTGCTTTGATGATGAGGAGGCTGTGGCCCTGAGCCAGGTCTCCAAGCTTGCGGGAGGCCGTGCTGCTGGCAAGGACATGCCTAAAGCCAGCTTTGGAGATGGCGGTTCCAGCTGTGCCTGCATGCACTCAGACACACTGAGCCTGAAGAAGGCGGGCACTCACGGTCCTTCCAGGAGTTTGGGGTGTGGAACTGGAGGCACTCCCCATCCCCAGCAGTACCACCTGGCTCTGCTTCAGTTTCCTCGGATGGAGGATGTGACTACACTTCCTCCAGGCAGCTCTGCCAGGCTCAGCTCCTCCTCCTCATCCTCAGCTGAGGCAGATGAAAGCCAAGTGCCATCTCCCACCTGGGAGCGGGGTCGGCCACAGGCCTGGTGCTGGGCAGTGAGGTGGCTGCCTGCTTTCCTATTACATTTTGCATGTTCCATCATTTTAAAAGAAACCCTTGGATGAGTGAGCTTTGCCCCGTCAGCTGACTCTCGTTACTGAGAACAGAAGTGGGTTCTGGGGCGCCCCCCCACCTCTGTGATCAGGGGCCTGTAGGCGATGCTCCCAGCACACAGAGGTCTTCCCCACACTCTGCTTACACTGTGGCCTACCTGGTCAGGACTTCTCTCCCCCACATTCCTTTGTGCATGCTGTCGTTCATCCAGACACTTGGCCAGATGCTGACACATGTGGGCGGTGGCGGTCAGCGTCCTCCGCAGCTGATGGGTCTCGTTGGCCAAGGAGCGGCACAGGACGTCACTGGCGGCCCGGGCGCGCTCCCCTTCTGCCATGCTCCTCCGTAGCAGGACGACTTCCTTCTCTCGCTCGTGTTGGGGCTGGCTCAGCAGCTGCTGCATCTCCCTCTCTTTTTCTTCTAGTCGCTCAGTCAGCCTCTCAATTTCCTAAGTGGAAGATTTAAAAGCACAGTTTACTGAATTAAAAGAAGCAGTGTCAAGAGCAAATGTTCAGAAAGCAAAAGAAGACCTGGCGTGGATGCCCCATCACCAGACACAAACATACTCACTCAGAAGTTGGGCGTTTGAACTAACAATTACTCACTCAGAAGTTGGGCATTTGAACTATTAACTCTGGAGTTTTTCAGCCTACAATGTTCTGTTCTGAAACTTCATCTCAAATTTTTTTTTTTTTTGAGACAGAGTTTCACTCTGTTGCCCAGGCTGGAGTGCAATGGCACAATCTTGGCTCGCTGCAACCTCCACCTCCCAGGTTCAAGCGATTCTCCCACCTCAGCCTCCTCAGTAGCTGGGATTATAGAGCCCACCACCAAGCCCAGCTAAAAGAATTTTTTTTTTTTTTGAGACGGAGTCTCGCTCTGTCGCTCAGGCTCGAGTGCAGTGGAGCGATCTCAGCTCACTGCAAGCTCCGCCTCAGAGGTTCACACCATTCTCCTGCCTCAGCCTTCCGAGTAGCTGGGACTACAGGCACACGCCACCACGCCCAGCTAATTTTTTGTATTTTTAGTAGAGATGGGGTTTCACCATGTTAGCCAGGATGGTCTCGATCTCCTGACCTCATGATCCGCCTACCTCGGCATCCGCCCACCTCAGCCTCCCAAAGTGCTGGGATTACAGGCGTGAGCCACCACGCCTGGCCCAATTTTTATATTTTTAGTAGAGACGGGGTTTCACCATGTTGGCCAGGCTAATCTCGAATTCCTGACCTTAGATGATCCGCCAGCCTTGGCCTCCCAAAGTACTGGGATTATAGGCGTGAGCCACTGCGCCCAGCAATTTTTTTTTTTTTTTTTTTGAGGCAGGGTCTCACTGTCACCCAGGCTAGAGTGCAGTGGCACAATCATGGCTCACTGCAGCCTCGACCTCCCCAGGCCCAAGCGATTCTCCATCCTAACCTGAGTAGCTGGGACTACAGGCACGTGCCACCGTGCCTGGTTAACTTTTTTGTATTTTGTAGAGACAGGGTTTTGCTGTGATGCTCAGGCTGGTCTTGAACTCCTGGGCTCAAGAGATCCACCCGCCTTGGCTTCCCAAAGTGCTGGGATGACAGGTGTGAGCCACCACGCCCTGCCAAATTCTATTTTCACAAGCAAGTTCATAATTTTAGATTTCATATCATCAAAATGTTTTTTTGAGATGAGGGTTTCGCTATATATAGCCCAAGCTGGTCTTAAACTCCTAGGCTCAAGCAAATCCTCCCACCTCAGCCTCCTGAATAGCTGGGACTACAGGCTCAAGCCACCACACCCAGTTATCATCAAATTATCAAAGTGGCAATTCCAAGCACTTTTTTGATGGGATAGGTAGAAACTCCACTGTGGTGGGTAACCCCAAAAAGATGTCCACAACCAAACCTCCCATTCCCCGGTATCTGGGAATGAAACCTTACTTAGAGATAGGGTCTTTGCAGATGTAATTAGTTAAGGTGGGGACAAAATGGATTAGGACGGGACTGGTGTCCTTGTAAGCAGACAGAAGTCTGGACAGACACACAGAGAGAAGACGACCACGTGACAACAAAGATAGGAGTGACGTCTTGTCTTGTGGATAAAGGCCAAGGAACACCAAGGATTGGTGGCCCCCACAGGAAGCTGAAGAGGCGAGGAAGGGTCCTTCCCTAGAACCTTGAGAGAGAGCCGATGCCTTGGTTTCTGGCTTCTGGCCTCTAGAACTGTGAAAGATTAAATTTCTGTTGCTTGAAGCCCCCCAGTTTGTGTTACTTTGTTACAGCAGCTCTAGGAAATTAACACACCCAACCCCAATTACTTCTTAAAGAATTTAAAAAGGTTCTTAAAATGACAATTTTATTTTGAGATAGGGTCTCGCCCTGTCACCCAGGCTGGAGTACAGTGGTGCCACCATGGTTCACTGTAGCCTCCACCTCCCAGACTCAAGTGATCCTCTTGCCTCAGCACCCTAAGTAGTTGGATTACAAGTGCATGCCACCGTACCTGGCTAATTTCTGTATTTTTTGCAGAGACAAGGTTTCACCACTTTGCCCAGTCTGGTCCTGGACTTGAGTGATCCGCCTGCCTCAGCCTCCCAAAGTGCTGGGATTATAGGCACGAGCCACCACATCTGACCTGACAATTTTTTAATATCTGGCCTTAAATTTGTACTTTTCCGTTTTCAAAGAATCCTCCAAAATAAACAGTACATTACATGAAGGAGGTGAAGCAGGCTCAACTAGTCCATCCCACAAGTGAAGAAACAGTTTCAGAAAAGTCACGGAGGAGCCCAAGCTTCCCCCAGAAGTGGCGGGAGAAGGGTCCAGCCTCTGTGTCTAGTACTTGAGGTAAGAAGGGACAGAGACCGGGAACCTAGAATGTTCTCATCACAATGGAACAAAATACTAAGCCCTATTACTGCGAGAACCCTGATTATTATTATTATTATTATTATTATTATTATTATTTTATTATTTTAGAGACAGGGTCTCGCCCTGACACCGAGGCTGCAATACAGTGGTATAATCACAGCTCACCGAAGCCTTGAACTCCTGGGTCCAAGTGTTCCTCCCGTCTCAACCTCCCAAATAGCTGGGACCATGGGCTCGAGGTCAAGGCTGCAGTGTGCTGTGACGGTGCCACTGCACTCTAGCCTGGGTGACAGTGAGACCCTCTTCAGGGATAAAGGACTTTGAGCAAAACCTGACTTCTGGTTTTTTTTTTTTTTGATAAAGACAGGGTGTGGCTATGTTGCCTAGGCTGGTCTTGAACTCCTGGCCTCAAGCAATCCTCCTCCTGCCTCAGCAGGGGTCACCGTGCCCAGGTAAAATCTGATTTCGGAGCCTCCTTCCTGCGTTGGTCAAATGCTGACAGTAGGAGAAACAAACAGCTCCACAAACAGGAGGGCAGCATGTCCACAGCTCGTAGATCCTGAGGGCGTGGCTCTCTCTTGCCTCCACACCCTAGTACTCAACACTGAGCCCAGCCCCACACAGATGCCCAGTAAATGGGAATAAGACTGGGCCATACAGAGACAGATCAGGACGCAGGCTCTACGCTCAACCCGTGGGGGCAGGCCAGCCCTGCAAAGGGCTGCCCCACTCATCCTCCCCTCGGCAGCATGAGGGCCCCAGGACCCCTCCAGCCCCCGGGCTTCTGGCATTTGTCACTGGCTCTGAAGTTGCAGAGCTTTGTGCTGGTTTATCTGTCTGAGTGCCTTGTCCAGTTAGTAACAGTTCTTAGGACACAACAGCACCTCGACCACTGTGGTCAGAAAACAAGGTACGAGCTGGAGTTGTGGGTCTACACACACAGGCACAACACACAGACTAGTCAGCAACTGGGCTGACATCTCTCAGGAAAGCCTGTCGCCGGGACCCACAACTCCATAGCTCCACGCTCAGAACACAAAAGTGTAAACAGCTCTATTAATAGTCTTGTGGATTGGCCTTAAGAGGCACAGTGGCCTCTTGGCTTTTAGCGCTGCGGCAACAAAGTATCACAAACTTGGTGTCTTAAACAACAGAAGTGTATTCTCCCAAAGCCTGTAATCCCAGCACTTTGGGAGGCCGAGGTGGGAGGATCACTTGAGCCCAAGGGTTGGGACTAGCCTGGGCAACATGGCGAGACCTTGTCTCTACAAAAAATACAAAAAACATTAGCCAGGCATGGTGGTGGGCGTTTGTAGTCCCAGCTACTCGGGAGGCTGAGACAGGAGGATCACTTAAGCCCAGGAGGTCAAGGCTGCAGTGAGCTATGATCATGCTACTGCACTCCAGCCTGGGCAACAGAGTGACCCTGTCAAAAAGAGGGGAGGGGAGGGGAGGAGAAAGGAAGAAAGAAAGGAACAAGGAAGGTGGCCCGGGGCGGTGGCTCATGCCTGCAATCCCAGCACTTTGGGAGGCTGAGGTGGGTGGATCACGAGGTCAGGAGTTCAAGACCAGCCTGGCCAACATGGTGAAACCCCGCCTCTACTAAAGATACAAAAAATTAGCCAGGCGTGCTGGTGGGCGCCTGTAGTCCCAGCTACCCAGGAGGCTGAGGCAGGAGAATCGCTTGAACCCGGGAGGTGGAGGTTGCACTGAGCCAAGATCCCGCCACTGCACTCCAGCCTGGCGACAGAGCAAGACTCAGTTTAAAAAAAAAAAAAAAGGAACAAGGAAGGAAAGAAAGAAAAGAAGAGAAGAGAAAAGAAAAGAAAGAGCCAAGAAAACAAGCAAAGCAAAGCTAAGCTAAGCCGGAAGGGAAAGGGGGCTGATACGCCAGGACCAGGCAAAGCCTATGAAGCTGGTCCCGAGAATGGTGACAGGATGGGGTTGGGCAGGACCAGGTTGCACAATGAATTGGTGCCATTATTCCAGAAAGTATTAACTGGAGGGGCTTTGTAAAGTTATCCACTCAGGCCTTGTGTTACAGATGAGGTAAGGTCTCAAGTCCAGCTGTGGCTGCACTGAGGACCACAATTCTCTGGCCTGATCTTGCCCCATCACACACTGACCGCAGCTTGATCACAGACGCACTGGTCAGCTCCTCCACATTCTGAGCCTCAGCACTCTCTCTGGGAGCCCTCAGTCCCTACTGGTCCAGGGTTCCTGCTCCTAACGGGCTCTCATAGATGAGAGCAACCTAGCAACGGCTTGCTTCCTGCTGTGTCTTTAACTCTGCACTGCCACCTCAGTGAACCCAGGGCCTGCAGGAGGTGACAAACCTCTCCATTCTTCCACAGGTTCCATGACCGACCTCAGATTGAACGTTGGGATGAGCAATAAATATGTAATTGCATAAAATACCAGATAAGGCCAGCACAGTGGCTCACGCCTGTAATACCAGCACTTTGAGAGGCCGAGACAGGAGGATCCCTGGAGGCCAGGAGTTTGAGACCAGCTTGGGCAACATCATGCGACCCCTTCTCTACAAAAACTTAAGAAGTTAGCCAGGTGTGGTGGCTCATAGTCCTTGTGGTAGGCTCTTCGCCTATAGTCCTAGACACTCGGGAGGCTGTGATGGGAGGGCTGGTTGAGCCCAGGAGTTCAAGGTTACAGTGAGCTATGATGGCCCCAAGGCATTCCAGCCTAGGTGGCAGTGTCACAGACCAAGACCCTGTCTCTAAAAAAATAAAAATAAAAATAAAAAAACAAACAAACAAAACTAAATCATTAAAATGTTCCTTAAATAATTAAAAATCCCCCCATGCTGGGCGTGGTGGCTCATGCCTGTAATCCTAGCACTTTGGGAGGCCAAGGCAGGAGGATCACTTGAAGAAAGGAGTTCTAGACCAGCCTGGGCGACACAGCAAGATCCCGTCTCTACAAAAAAAAAATAAAATTAGCCAGGTGTGATGGCACACTCCTGTGGTCCCAGCTATATGGGAGGCTGAGGCAGGAGGATCACGTAAGCCCAGGAGGTTGAGGCCACAGTGAGCCATGTTTGTGCCACTGCACTCCAGCCTGGGTAACAGAGTGAGACCCTGTCTCAAAAAAATAAAAAAATAAAAATCCCAAAACAAAACCTACATGCTTACATGTTGGGAAGACAGGACCAGGGCCAGTAATACTGGGAACACAGAACTAATTCTATCTGAGGCTACCAGGAAGCTGCAATAAGCTGCTTGGTGAGTGGCCAGATACACAGGACACCAGGGAACACATGTGAGCGGAACACCAATGGCCACCGACTGCAAGTATACTGCTCTGGTTGTGAGGTCCCTGCATCCTGTCCCACCAACATTCTGGAGATGACTTCGGAGTGTCCTTCCGGGTCCTTGGTCTGTACTCATCTGTGGCTCCTGGCATCCACAACTCTAAAACCTGTTGGTGCAGACCAGGTGACCTCTAAACTTCCCTTCTGCTCTAGTGAGTCAGGATGTACCTTCCAGAAAGAGGGAGAGAGTGGAGTAGGGGAGACACTGGCTGCTGAAAGTATTTTAAATGATGTAGATACTGACAACCTAATATTAAGTACAACTGTATACACAGCATGAAAACAACCATGCCAAGTGTACACACACCTTATACACAGAGGAAAAACAGGAAGAAGGCATGCCAAGAGATTAACACTAGTCATCCCTGCACTGTGGGACTACAGCGGCTATTTTATTCTTTATTTTTCAGATATTCAAAATTGTTTTATAATTTTTTTTCTTTTTTAAAAAGGGCATGTTTCTTTTTCTCTCTAAAATCAGGCTGTGGGGCCAACCCTGGAGACAAAAACTATCTTTCGCAGACTACTGCCTTTGCAGGCTTAGTTTCTTTCCTGGGCAAACTAGGATAATAGCCATGAATCAAATGGAATAATAGATGCCAGAGCTCACCCGAATGTTTCAGATGCTTGCAAATACTATTGCACAAAAAAACTGTTACTTATACTGCTGTTGTGGTGTTATAGTTTATCATCAAAAAACAGACATAAACATCATAGACAAGGACAAAGAGAAGAAAGTCAGGATTTGCGTCTTTTTTTGTTTGTTTTTGAGACGGAGTCTCGCTCTGTCGCCCAGGCTGGAGTGCAGTGGCACAATCTCGGCTCACTGCAAGCTCCGCCGCCCGGGTTCATGCCATTCTCCTGCCTCCGCCTCCCAAGTAGCTGGGACTACAGGCGCCCGCCACCACGCCCAGCTAATTTTTTGTATTTTTAGTAGAGATGGGTTTTCACCATGTTAGCCAGGATGGTCTCAATCTCCTGACCTCGTGATCCGCCGCCTTGGCCTCCCAAAGTGCTGGGATTACAGGCATGAGCCACCGCGTCCGGACCCTTGTGTCCATTTTTAATTTAATTTTTTCAGACAAGGTCTCACTTTGTCACCCAGGTTGGAGTGCAGTGGTGCGATCTTGGCTCACTGCAACCTCTGCCTCCCAGGCTCAAGTGATCCTCCCACCTAAGTCTCCCTAGTGGCTGGGAGCACGGGCACGTGCCACCATGCCCGGCTAATTTTTTGCACTTTTTGTAGACAGGGTTTCACCATGTTGCTCAGCCTTGTCTCGAACTCCTGGGCTCAGGCAATCTGCCCGCCTTGCCTCCGAAAGTACTGGGATTACAGGCGTGAGCCACTGCACCCAGCCTAGGATTTGTGTCCTTTATCAGACACGGGCTGCATTTGCCATTGCTCCCAGCATAGAGTTGAAGCGCCACTAGTGAAAGACACATGCATGGGTGAGGGCTGGAAGGGACTCTAGAACACAATATGAGTACACGACCTTGGACCCAAGACACACATGTGTGCGTACACACACACACCATACACACCCCTCAGAATGTGTCTCCCGCACACACACCTCAAAACACCCCTAAGAACCAACCGGAACATACACACTACACAATACACACAGAATACACACAGCATACACACACCCCCCTCGGAATGTGTTCCCACACACGAACCTCAAAATACCCCTAAGAGCCCACCTGAACATACACCACACACACACAGAACCCAAGAACTGCACCAACCCCCCTCCTCAGAACCCAGTGCCTCCTCACCATCCCCCAGGACCCAGTGCCCTCCCAACCCCCCAGGATCCAGCATTCGCTTATCCCCTTCAGAACCTTGCACCCTCACCCCGCAGGACCCAGAGCCCCCTCACCTCCACCAGCACCTGGTGACGCCTCAAACCCCCCAGGACCCAGCACACCTCAGCCCGTGGTGTCCCCTTATCCCACTCAGGACCTGGTCCCCCTCTCTCCCCTAGGACCCAGGGTCCCCTCACCCCCCAGAAGCTGTTGCCCTATCACCCCCAGGACCCGACGGCCCCTTACCCCCAGGACCTAGTGTCCCTCAACCCCAGGACCCGGCACCCCCTCAACCCCCAGGACCTGATGCTCCCCCAACCCCTCAGGAGCCGGGGCCCCCTCACCCCCAGGACCCGGCACCCCCTCAACTCCCAGGACCTGGTGCTCCCCCAACCCCTCAGGACCCGAGGCCAACTCAACCCCAGGACCCAGTACCCCCTCAACCCCTCAGGACCCGGGGCCCGCTCGCTCACCCACCCAGGACCCGGCGGCCGCCACACGCACTCTCGCTCCCGCAGCTCCTCTGGTACCCGCCCTCGTACCTGGCGCATCTGGGCCTCGGCGGCGCCGCCCTCCTGCCTTCGCAGCTGCTCCCGGAAGCGCGCAACCTGCTCCAGCAGCGCGTCCACTAGGGACGGCGCGGCGTCCCCCTCCAGCGCGGCCAGGCGGGCGCGGAGGCGAGCGATGAGGGCGTCGCGGGCAGCGAGCTGGTCCTGCAGGCGGCGCAGCCGCTGTCCGGCCTCGTGGTACAGGGTGCAGAGCGCGGCAGCTGCGCGCGGGGCCTCCTCCCAGCCGCCCGACCCCGGGTCCCGGGACATGGCTGTAGGCCCGCCCGGGAGGCCGCGCGGCCGCCGGCAACTTCCGCGCCCGGGCCCCGCCGGCTGCCGCCCTTCCCGGAACTTTCCCCGGTGCGCCCCGCCCACCCACAACAGCCCGGCCCCGCCCTCCCCCACGCAGCCCCGCCCCCCGCGCAGCCCCGCCCTTCCCCGCGCAGCCCCGCCCGACGGCAGCCCGCCCAGCCCCTTCTCGCCCGGCCCCACCCCTCCCACCGCCTACAGCCCGGCCCCGCCCCTGCCGTCCGCACCCGTCCGGGAGAGTTGGCCTGGCCCCCGAGGCTGTCCACACCCCAGCTGGTGCTGGGCTTATTCCAGTGGCCCCAAACATCCGCCTCTGAGGAGTTGTCGGAGAGTCGAACTCAGCCCAGGAGTTTGGGGATTCATCAGCCTCTGATGGAAAGGAAGGGCTTAACGACAACCCCCAAGCTCTGGAGCTAAGTGTGGGTCTGAATCTCCCCGCGAGGGTCCAGGCCTTGCGGCCACAGCAGCAACAGAAGCTCCAGGAGCTGAGCTCGCAGCGCACCAAGCACGTGGCATGTGTTCCGTCACCTGGGGACACTGAGCCCAGAAAGAGCTCCAACCCCCTGCCCCGCACGCCGCTTTCTTTTTTCTTTCCTTTTTTTTCTTCTTTTTGAGACGGAGTTTCGCTCTGTTGCCCAGGCTGGAGTGTAATGGCGCGATCTCGGCTCACTACAACCTCCGCCTCCCAGTTTCAAGCGATTCTCCTGCCTCAGCCTCCTGAGTAGCTGGGATTACAGGCGCCCGCCACCATGCCCTGCTAATTTTTTGGTATTATTAGTAGAGATGGTGTTTCACCATGTTGGCCAGGCTGGTCTTGAACTCCTGACCTCAGGTAGATCCACCGGCCTCAGCCTCCCAAAGTGCTGGGATTACAGGCGTCAGCCACTGCAGACGCTGCTTTGTAAGGTGGCTAGTATGGGCCCACGGGACAACCTTCCTGCTAGATGCTGTTCTTATATAGCAGAAGCAGCAGGAAACCAGCCCCTTCCCACCCTTTCGCTTTTCCATCCCTTTCCTTCCCCAAAATTCCCAGACAAACGCTAGTGTTTTTCCACAGCCCAGTCTTCCCCACAATGATGCCCAAGCACACATGGGGTCTTTCCAAGGTTCCCTACTCAGGATAGGGCAGGGGTCTTCCCTGTGTGTGCACTTGCCCACAGGCTCCGCCCCTGAGCAGCTTCTTGACTTTCTTCCCTTATGTGATCCACAGCCAAGCCTGAGCTGAGCCTGGGAAAACACAAGCTTGTAGAATCAGACAAGCCTATAAGCAAAGCCAGAGCCACCCAAGTGCTTATGGCCCGGACATTGGGCTACACAGGCCTGGCTTTGCTATGGAAGGCTCCTTCTTACTCATCAGAGCCTGGGCTTCCTCTCAGCAGAAGGAAGGGCAGAGCGAGTGCCCACCCTACCTGGTTGGGCTGTTGTGGGGACTAGAGGGTGGAGTGTGCATGGAATGCTTGTCCAGTGCAGTGGCTGCTGCACAGCAAGCCTACAGTCCCCATGGCTATGGTTACAAACAATGCCTATTGATTGTCTGGGGCATGAGTGGAAAAAACAAAACTGGACCCAGAGCTGTTAGAGGCTAATGTGTGGCCTGGGGCACGTCATTCCAGTGACCTACCTTGAGCCTCTGCCTCAACTGTAAAAGGTGCATGTGACAATCCACAGTCTCTCATCCAACAACAGCCTTGGGGTCAGGTGTGGTGTATTGTATTGTATTGTACTGTACTGTATCGTATTGATTTATTTTAGACGGAGTCTCAATCTGTCGCCCAGGCTGGAGTGCAGTGGTGTGATTTTTGGCTCATTGCAACCTCCGCCTCCCAGGTTCAAGTGATTCTCCCACCTCAGCCTCCCAATTAGCTGGGATTACAGGCGCCCGCCACCACGCCTGGCTAATTTTTTGTATTTTAGTAGAGACGGGGTTTCACCATATTGGTCAGGCTGGTCTCGAACTCCCGGCCTCAAGTGATCCGCCTGCCTCGGCCTCCCAAAGTGCTGGGATTGTAGGCGTGAGCCACCACGCCAGGCCGCCATGTGTATTTTAGAAATGAGGATCTTTGGATTTCAAATAGGTACATATAACTGGGGGAGCCAGCTTTCAAAGAGGATCCCCTCCTTCCAATATCCATGCTCCTGTGTAGTCCCCTCCAATCCACTGGAGAGGGCTGACCTGGGTAACTAAGAGGGTACTGCAGAAATGATGGAGTGTGACTTCTGCAGCTAGCTCCCACAAGACATCACGGCTACTGCCTTGCCCTCTTTCGGAGCATTCTCTCTGGGGGAAGCCACCCACCCTATCATCAAGTAACCCTGTGAAGAGGTCCATGTGGCAAGGAACTGAGGCTTCATGGCAGCAGCCGGCGCCCACTTGCCCACTGTGGTGAAGAAGCCACTTTGGGACTGTATCCTCCGACCCTAGTCAAGCCTTCAGAAGACAGTAGCCCCCACTGACATACTGACTGTGACTCCATGGAAGACCCCGGGCCAGGACCGCCCAGCTAAACTGCTCTGAGTCCCTGACCACAGAAACTGGATGAGATAATATATGCTTATTGTTTTAAGCTACTAACATTTGGGATAGTTTGTTCTGCAGCAATGGAAAATGAACAGCTAAAATCTGACTTAGTGCTCCCACTGGGACATGGTACAGCACCACAAAACCAGACAGATTACAATTTCTGCAAAGACAGGGTGACCATTCAGACTGCGAGATGAATGAAGATCAGAAAAAGCCTTGTAGCTGTTGAAGTCAGATTTTGTACCACCTTTAAGAAAAACATTTTGGGGCCAGGTGCAGTGGCTCATGCCTGTAATCCCAGCACTTAGGGAGGCCAAGGCAGGAGGATCTCTTGAGCCCAGAAGTTGGAGCCCAGCCTGGGCAACATAGCAAAACCCCATCTCTACAAAAAGTTAAAAGAAACTAGGTGGGTGTGATGGTGTGTGCCAGTAGTCCCAGATACTCAGGAGGCTGAGATAGGATTGCTTGAGGCAGGGGTTTGAGGCTGCAGTAAATGGTGATTGTGCCACTGCTCTCCAGCCTGGGCCACACAGTGAGACCCTGTCTCTGAGAAAAAAAAGAAAGAAAGAAAACTATTTTGGGTTTCTGAGCTTTTTAGATTTCAGAATTGCGGATGAGGGATCCCAGACCTCCAAGAACACTTGTCTTAGAGGGTGTTGTAAATATTCAGTAAGGTCACATGGGAAGTGCCCAGCATGCTCTTGCCTTCAATGCAAATTTAGGTACTGGGCCAGGCACTGGGGACTCATGTGTGGACATTGTAATAGTGGAGACAGATCCTTTTCCAAAACAAGAATAATTGCAACGTAAGGAAATTTTGTGTAAGGAAAGGAAGGGGAAAATGTGTATAAGAAAACAACAGGCTGGGTGCGGTGGCTCACACCTGTAATCCCAGCACTTTGGGAGACCAAGGCAGGCAGGACTCCTGAGGTCAGGAGTTCGAGACCACTCTGGCCAACATGGTGAAACCCTGTCTCTACTAAAAATACAAAAATTAGCCAGGCATGGTGGCGGGTGCCTGTAACCCCAGCTAGTCGGGAGGCTGAGGCAGGAGAATCGCTTGAACCCGGGAGGCAGAGGTTGCAGTGAGCCAAGATAGCGCCATTGCACTCCATCCTGGGTGACACAGCGAGACTCCCTCTCAAAAAAAAAAAAAAAAAAAAAAAAAAGGAGGAACCTAACTTTAAAGAGGGTGATTAGAGACAAGATAACAGTCCAGCTCTGCAACCTAAAGGGTGAGAAGGAGCCAGGCATGAGAGTTGGCTGAGTGAGTTCACAACTGGGTATGGCCTAGAGTTGGGCAGGAGCTGATACAGGGAGCAATTTCTTTCTTTTCCTTCCCTCCCTCCCTCCCTCCCTCTTTCTTTCCGCATTCTCTTTCTTTGTTTCTTTCGAGACAGCATTTCACTCTGTCACTCAAGCTGGAGTGCAATGCTGCGATCTCAGCTGCAACCTCTGCCTCCTGGGTTCAAGTGATTCTCCTTCCTCAGCCTCCTGAGTAGCTGGGATTACAGGCACGTGCCACCATGCCTGGTTAATTTTTGTATTTTTAGTAGAGATGGGGTTTCACCATGTTGGCCAGGCTGGTATCAAACTCCTGACTTCAAGTGATCTGCCTGCCTTGGCCTCCCAAAATGCTGGGATTACAGGCGTGAGCCACCGCGCCCAGCCAGCATTCACTTTCTGTGTTCTGAAACTCATCTAGATTTGTGCAGGATGGGGCTAGTGCAGCAGGCCTAGTGTGTTCAACCCTGCATGTTCCAAAAAAGGGACTGGCCCTAGACCTTTTGGAATATCCCACCTGATAAGAGTGTCTTTGCTTATGTGGGGGCCTTGGACCACACCAGCTAGTCTAAGCTAACTTGAGGCCTTGGGTCATGAGCTTGAGCTCTGAAGGAGCTGGAGACCGAGTAACTCAGGTCAGCCATATGGGCACTCCCCGCCTATGTGATCAACCCCTAACCACAGCTCTGGACACAAAGTCTCAGGTGAGCTTCCCAGTTTGGCAACACTCCCAGTACTGTTGGGAGAGCGATATCCTGTGGGTACTTGCACCTGGTCTCCCCGCCGGGCCCGCTCTATGTGCCTTATTTTTCCTTTGCCGATTTTCTTCTGTGTCCTTTTGCTGTAATGAATAACTGTGAGTCCTTCTACTGAATCGTCAAACCTGAGGACTGTCTTGACAACAGGGCTTTTTGCAGCAAATGTGTATTTGTGCTAGATGGACTGTTGCTCCCAGCTTTTTACCACCTCCCGCCACGCCCTTTTGCCGTGTGACTTTGGGCACCTGCCCTGGAGTAGACCAAGTCTGTCCCCACCTGCTCGAGGCTGCATGGCCAGTGGATATCAGCAGAGATCATGCAAGAGAAGGCCTAATGCGAGACACCAGCACCCCAGAGCAGCAAAGCCCTGGGTAGCTACTAATCCCAGAATGGGTGGGTAGAGTAAACGTGAGCCCCACCCACAGATGAAGCTGCTGAGGCCTGCGTGGTCCACTGGCCCTGCTGTTTTCAGACCCATCTGCACCCCTTTCTCCGGCTCACTGTAGACCAGTCATTCTGAAAGAGCCCATGAAAAACACCAAGTTCTCTCCTGCCTCAGGACTTTGTACCTGCTGCTTCAGTGCCTGGAATACTGACTCCTTCCCATGAAAAACACCAAGTTCTCTCCTGCCTCAGGACTTTGTACCTGCTGCTTCAGTGCCTGGAATACTGACTCCTTCCCATGAAAAACACCAAGTTCTCTCCTGCCTCAGGACTTTGTGCCTGCTGCTTCAGTGCCTGGAATACTCATTCCTTCCATTGTTTGCACAAGCACCGCCAGGGGGTGGGGCTCACAGAGGCGCACTGCGGCAGGAACTGGATGTGGGTGTCAAGGTGGTCACAGAACAGACGGCTGGGTCAGCTCCCCAAGGAGAAGCCCTGAGCTGCCCAACAGGTCCCTCTTAGGCCCCACACTTCAGAGGCAGGGCTGCCACGCATGCCTCCTGGATCACCTCTTGGTGTCCCATGGCCCCTGTGGGGCTCCTACCTGGCACATCCTCACCTCCAGGCTCCCCCGGCTCCAACTCAGCAGGGAGGTGGGAGGTTGACGGGAGCAGGCAGGCATGGGAGGGCTCAGCCGGGGTATGAGGGGTGGGCAGAGTCCCCCCACCTGGCTCACCCTTTCTCTTCCTCTCCTCCTCTGGGCACCTTCTTTGACTCCCACAGGCTCCTAGCTCAGACCTCTCCACTCTTCCTGGCTTTCCTTCAGGGAGGTCAGGAAAGTCAGGGACCCGTGGATAAAGACCAGGAGAACACAATGTAAGTATCTGGGCAAAGAACCTCTTAGGCAGAGGGCTTGGCGAGTGCAGAGCCCCAGGGACCTGTGCAGGGCCTGATCAAGACCCTTGGAGGAGTCCAGGGGTGGCTAGAGTGCAGCAAGCAGGGGAGGGACTGGAGTAGCCATAGAAGGGACCAGGACAGACTGAGCCCCAAACGTCCCCCTTGCCTGGCCCAGCCCATGTGTTTCCGGTATTGGTGGGTTCTTGGTCTCACTGACTTCAAGAATGAAGCTGTGGACCCTGGCAATGAGTGTTACAGCTCTTAAAGGCAGCGTGTCCGGAGTTTGTTCCTTCTGATGTTCAGATGTGTTCGGAGTTTTTTCCTTCTGGTGGGGTTCGTGGTCTCACTGGCTCAGGAGTGAAGCTGCGGACCTTCGCGGTGAGTGTCACAACTCTTAAGGTGGTGCGTCTGGAGTTGTTCGTTCCTCCCGGTGGGTTCGCGGTCTCACTGGCTTCAAGAGTGAAGCTGCAGACCTTCAACAAATGAGTGTTACAGCTCGTAAACACGGTGTGGACCCAAAGACTAAAAGAACAAAGCTTCCACAATGTGGTAAGGGTACCCCAGCGGGTTGCCGCTCCTGGCTCGGGCAGCCTTCTTTTATTCTCTTATCTGACCCCACCCACATCCTGCTGATTGGTAGAGCCGAGTGGTCTGTTTTCACAGGGTGCTGATTGGTGTGTTTACAATCCCTGAGCTAGACACAAAGGTTCTTCACGTCCCCGCCAGATTAGCTAGATACATTGTCGATTGGTGCATTCACAAACCCTGAGCTAGACACAGGGTGCTGATTGGTGTGTTTACGAACCTTGAGCTAGATACAGAGTACCGATTGGTGAATTTACAATCCCTTAGCTAGACATAAAGGTTCTCCACGTCCCCACCAGACTCAGGAGCCCAGCTGGCTTCACCCAGTGAATGTGGAGCTGCCTGCCAGTCCCGCACCGTGCACCCGCACTCCTCAGCCCTTGGGTGGTTGATGGGACTAGGCGCCGTGGAGCGGGGGCGGCGCTCGTCAGGGAGGCTCGGGCTGCACAGGAGCCCACGGAGGAGCGGGGGAGGCTCAGGCATGGCGGGCTGCAGGTTCCGAGCCCCGCCCCGCGGGAATGCAGCTAAGGCCCGGCGAGAAATTGAGCACAGCAGCTGCTGGCCCAGGTGCTAAGCCCCTCACTGCCTGTGGCCGGTGGGGCCGGCTGGCTGCTCCGAGTGCAGGGTCCGCCGAGCCCACGAACCCCACCAGAAGGAAGAAACTCTGAACACGTCCGAACATCAGAAGGAACAAACTCCAGACACACCGCCTTTAAGAACTGTAACACCGCGAGGGTCCGCGGCTTCATTCCTGAAGTCAGTGAGATCAAGAACCCACCAATTCCGGACACACATGGGGATGCTAGGCCAAAACCCGTAAGAGCCGGCCGGCCTCCAGGAGGGGCAGGGGTCTTCCCCTACACAGGGGTCCCGGCTCAGGGCCGCTGCCCTTCCCCGCAGCTCCAGTGCCCCGGGACCTTGGGAAATCATCCTGCTCTTTGTCCTGACCTGAGCCAATGCATTTGCCTTGTCGAGCCCTTAGGAGCAGAAAAGCGTAGGCGAGCAGCTGGCAGCCACCATCGCATTTGCTCCCGGAAGGCAAGAGGAGGCAGAGAAAATTCCAGAACCCATTTAAGCGTCTGGGACCCTGAGGTAACCATGAGCTACTGGCAGGCCGGGGGACACAGCGGGTACAGAAGGGGTCTCTGGAGTTTCGTGAGGAAGTATTCGGGCTGTGCGGCGCCGCGACCCTGGCAGGACGCTGCTGTCCCGCCAGCGAAAGCGGGGCGCGCTCAGGGCTGCGGGCAGCGGGGGTGCAGCGGGGAGAGCCAGGGCCTGGGCGCGGAGGAGGGGCTGGTATGGGACCCTCCGGGTGGGCGCGGCCCCGCGGGGCCTTGCGGCCACACCGCCACCGTGCCCAGCGGCCCCATCAGCGCATATTCAGGATGAACCCCGGACACGCGCCCAGAACCGTCTGGTGACCCAGTGATGAAAGCTCGAATCTTATAGGATCCGTATTCATTTCCCGTGGGCTCAAGCCCAGCCTCCGCGGGCGGCGCGGGCCCTCGCGGCGAGTGTCCACGAGGAGGCGGTGTGGACCCGCGGCCCCAGACCAGGCCTCAGGCAGAAGGCGAGCGCGAGCGCCCCGCCCAGCCCCTCCCCGTCCCGCAACCCGCGCCCCGACCAGCGCCCCCAGCACCTCTCCACCCTCGCTCTCGAGCAGTCTCCACGTTTGTCTCAGAGGAGACCCACTTTGCTCCCCAGCGTGGGCCCCTGAGCGCTGGGGGAAGTTGGTTGGTTTGTTAATGACAGAGTCTCGCTCTGTTGCCCAGGCTGGAGTGCAATGGTGCAATCTCAGCTCACTGCAACCTCCGTCTCCCGGGTTCAAGCGATTCTCCTGCCTCAGCCTCCCGAGTAGCTGGAATTACAGTGCACGCCACTACGCCCGGCTAATTTTTGTATTTTTAGCAGTGACGGGGTTTTGCCATGTTGGCCAGGCTGGTCTTTTTTTTTTTTTTTTTAAACTAGATGTTTCCTTTATTCATTCACACACTTAAGTAACATAGACTTATAATTTGTAACAAATAGAACAGAGGTTACACATATAAGACAAAAATCTTGAGTTTGAAAACTTTATTATCTGGCTGTTTTGTCAACATGATAATTTCATATACAACCACGTAAAAACATCTCTGGTGTTTAGATTTTTCCGTTTATTCTAGCTGTTTCATATTTGTAGACGTAGCCATGGCATGTACAGAATATGCATAGCAACAGGACTTTCATATAATATAGTACAGTTGGAAAAAAACACTATCTTGCTAGGGAGATATGTCAAGTAGATTCTAGTTTCCACATTATTTTGATTTTACTGTATTTAACTTTGTATATATTTTACATGTATTAAATGTTTTGATGAAACATTTCAAACTCTATATTAGAAATGTTGGCAAACATTAGTATCTATAAAATATAATCTGTATATATTGTATAATCTGGATATAAATATCCAGAAATCTGTCATATTTTTATACCAATTACAATGGTCAAAGTTGACACTATTCTTAAATATACTTAATGATTATCTGGATTATCTCCATATCTATTTTTGGCCCTCTTTTGCCATCCATACGTGAAGTATAATGATCCTTATTCTTTATGGCATTTTTTTTTTTTTTTTGACGGAGTCTGGCTCTGTCACCCAGGCCAGAGTGTGCAGTGGCGTGATCTTGGCTCACTGCAAGCTCCACCTCCTGGGTTCACGCTATTCTCCTGCCTCAGCCTCCTGAGTAGCTGGGACTACAGGCGCCCGCCACTACACCCGGCTAATTTTTTGTATTTTTAGTAGAGACGGGGTTTCAGCACGTTAGCCAGGATGGTCCCGATCTCCTGACCTCGTGATCTGCCCGCCTCGGCCTCCCAAAGTGCTGGGATTACAGGCATGAGCCACCGCGCCTGGCCCCTATTTTTATTTTTTGAGACAAGGTCTGGCTTTGTCGCCCACACTGGAGGGAGTGGTGTCATCTCGGCTTACTGCAACCTCTACCTCCCAGGATCAAGCAATCCTCCCACCTCAGCCTCCTGAGTAGCTGGGACTACAGGTGTGTTCCACGACACCAGGCTAATTTTTGTATTTTTTATAGAGATGGCGGCGGGGGTGGGGTGCACCTCACTATGTTGCCCAGGCTGGTCTTTAACTCCTGGGCTCAAGTGATCCTCCTGCCTCAGCCTCCTAAAGTGCTGGGATTACAGGTGTGAGCCACCGCCTGGCCTCCGTAATTCTTTTACTTCCTCAATGCTAGGCCTCAGAGAGCATCCCGGCCACCCTATGGGAGAAAACTTTGTTCTGAATCCCCTTAGCTCAGTCGTCCTGTGCAGCCAGGTCAAGCACAGCTCATGCCTCCTGGACTAGCGGGGTTTGGAGAACTTGCTCCTTTTCCTGGAGGGCCAAGAGGGATGGCAGTGCTATGGCAGGGGCCAGGGCAGTGTTAACAGGACCTCTGAGCACAGATGCACAGAGGGTCAAGGAGGGAGATTTCTGGGGAAAGAGCATTCCAGGCCGAGGGAACAGCCCATGGAGAGGCCCAGAGGCAGGGGTGTGTTTGCCAGTGCAGGAAACAAGGAGACTCTTGTGGCTGAAGCAGACGTAGTGGAGGAGGAGGGACTAGGGCCGAGGTCATGGCGGCTTTGTAGACCACCGTGGGAACTCTGGCTTTTCTTTGGAGCAAAATGGGAGCCTTGTAGGATTCTTGGGGAGAGGAAATCCAGAAAAGAAGCAATGGTGGTAGCTTGTCCCCAAGCAGTGGTCTTGGAGATGGTGAGAACCCACCAGGTTCTGGGGGGGCTTCTGAAGTGGAGCGAGGAATTCCTAATAACGACAGAATCAGCATAATCATGACCCCCGCCCCCAGACTTCCACATCCTAATCCCCAGAATTTGTAAATGTGTTACCTTCCATGGCAAGGGGAATAAAGGCAGCAGATGAATTGAAGTTGCTAATCAGTTACCCTTAAAATAGGGAGCTTTCCCTGGGTCAGCAGGTGATCCCAATGTCATCACAGGGTCCTTCAACGTGGAAGAGGGAGGCGGAAGAGAAGGCCAGAGTAACGCAGTGTGAGAAGGATTTGACCCAGTGTTGCTGACTTTGAGCCTGGAGGAAGGGGCCACGAGCCAGGGAATGCCGGTGGCCTCTAGGAGGTGGAAACAGCCAAGAATGGATTCTCCCCTAGAGCCCCAGAAAGAATGTGGCCCTGCCAACACCTTGACTTTAGCTCAGGGAGACCCCTGTCTCAGACTTCTGACCTCCGGAAGTATCAGAGAATAACTCTGTGTTGTTTTAAGCCACTGAGTTTGAAATAATTTTTTCCTGCAACCACAGGAAACTCATACAGACTGGGGTGAGGTAGGGTTAGGGAAAATCAAAGAGGACCTGAAGACCTTGGCCTGAGCAGTGGGGAGGATGGATCTGCCCTCATCTGGGGCAGGAAGGCTGAGGCTGGGGATGGGGCATTTGAGAGAGCTTGGGACATCGTAAGCAGTGACCTGATTGGTTTCAGCACCCCCAGGGTCTGGCACAGTGCTGCACAGGGGAGGGCCCTCAGGTGACTGTGGAATAAATGAATGAATGTATGATGCATGCATGAATGAATGTTTAGCTGCTCAGTAAATATATGTGGTATGCATGCGTGAGTAAGTGGAAGAGGCTGAGCTGTGACCCCAATATCAGGGGTTGCTGGGGGTGGGGTGCCAGGAGAGGGTTGGTCACAGCCATACCCCTTGCCTGTCTTCAGACCAGCTCTGGGGGAGCAGCCCAGTGGAGGTGTGGCTGCCCCACCTGCTGCCTTCCCCCAGCCAGCCCCCTAGCCCAGTCCTGCAGGCCCCTGTCTGCCTGTGATACAGACTATATCCCCGGGAGCCCTTTCACAAACGCCATTTTTCTCCATCTTGCCCCATTTCCCAATCATAGTTAGGGCCGGGACATCTTCCCAGATGCCCTGGCCCCAGAGAGAGGCTTCTGGAAGCCTTCCTATGGGAGCAGAGGGACCTTAGGATTTGGACAGCCCTGCCTTGGGCCAAGGAGCCAGCTCTCAGACCCTCGGCCTCTTCCGCGAGCCCCTTAGGAGTGAGGGGTCAGCAGAGCAGGGCTGTCCCAGCCAGCATCCCAAGGACGTGGGAGGAGTGACAACCCAGGGGCACTTGTCGGCCTGGCGTCTCTGACAAACTCCAGTGATGGGTGGGTGTGGCACACGGCAGCTGAGGACAGACGAGCACAGCAAGAAGCCTGCACAGCCCCGGAGTGGGAGGGCCTGGCGTGTGGCCTGCAGGCTCTGGTGGCCTTCACAGATCTTTCCTCTCTGTAGCCTTGATGTTTGCGTCTGTTCAATGAAAATTAGCCACAGCTTACTTTTGTCGTGTATTAAAGACATTTGTAGCAAACACCCATGATAGCTGGCGTGTGCCATGCTCTCTGCTGCTCCCAGGCCACCTCATCTGGATGAGGGTGATGTGCCCGTACGGTAGAGGTGATGCCACCTATGAGGGTGATGCCCAGTAGAGCCCTGAGCTGCACAGCCCCTGGGCTAGGAGGTGAGGGTGGCTCTTGGGTCTTTGGTGGCTCCCATTCCTTGTCAGAGCCATTTTCCTCCTCCCAGAAGCCGTCTTCTGGCCTCCTTCCTGTTCAACCCCAGCCCCTCCACACACCGAGCGGGGTGTCTGTATTTCATCCCCACGGAGCCTTCATCTCAGCTGCCAGTGAGGGTTCAGGTGCCATCTGAGGCGTCTGCTGATAGCCAAGGTGTTACCACTCAACTCCGGTGTTGGGTGATGGCTACAGCGCAGTCTGCAAATTAAGATGTTTGATGGTAAAGAGTTACTTATAACAAAGAGGTTTTTGAAGACAGAAACTGCCGAGGAAGACGAACCCCAGGAGAGATGCTCTTGGGGGCGAGTTACATACCTGGCAGCTCCCGGCAGGCTCCTCCCCAAGTTGAAAAGTCCCTTCAGGTGGGAAGAGCCCAGGGAAAAATGTAGTCCTCACTGAACAGCTGAGAAACTGGGGCTCAGAAGGAAGGACCAACTGCAGCCTTGGTGGTCCCCAGGATAGAGGGCAGGGCTCCCCATGCCCCCAGACCCAGGCCCTCATATTCCCCACCAAAGGCTCAGGAATGTGTGGCTCCATGTAGGAGTGTGGGTGAAGGGGAGCTGAACATAAGCAGGATGGCTAGAAACGGGCAGGGAACCAGATCCCCTCCCCCCACAGCCTCCACCCACAGCTGGGCTTCTGGGCTTCCCCCGCCAGGCCAGACACCAGTGGCTTCTTCCCTGGCGTGGAGCAGACGGAGGGTCTCTGGATGCGGGGGAATATCAGGCTCAGCGGGGCTGAGGTTTCATGCTGAAGGTGGGAGGATGTGATGCACATTTACATGATGCCAAGACCCCAGCGCCGTCCCATCCACCCACCCGCAGTGCTCAGAACGCCGGCAGCCAGACCTCTCCCCTCTATGCAGGGTGTCACAGGGTGTCCAGGGAACCTGATCGGCAGATCACACGGGCGGTTTCCTGCCAGGTCACTGCTTACCAGTCCCTACTCTCCAGCCTGAGAAGCCAGCCGGGATGACCAGACATCTGAGAGATTCCTCTGATGTGGAAGAGAGAGACAAAACAAACAGAAAAAGGACAACTGGAAGGAAACAGAGACTGTTCTGCGAGAAGACAGCTTGGAAAAAACTGTCATTAATATATTCAAGAAGGAAAGATAAAATTTTGTATTTATGAAAAAAGAACTAGGTGCCATAAAGAAAGAACATTTGGAGAATATAAAGAGCACTTGGAAATTAAAAATAGGATCATGGAAATTGAAAACTCAGTAGAAGAGTTGGAAGATAAGATTGAGGAAATTTTATAGAAATTAGAGCAAAAAGTTGAAAATAAAGCCCTTGCAGTGGTGCATGCCTGTCGTCCAAGCTACTCAGGAGACCAGGGTGGGAGGATCACTTGAGTCCAGAAGTTCGAGACCAGCCTGTGCAACATAGCAAGATCCTGTCTCAAAAAAAAAAAAAAAAAAAAAAAAGTTGAAAAAGAAAAAAGTTGAAAATGAGAGAAAAAAAGGAATTGAAGGACCAGTCTGGGACACTTAACATCTACATAATATGTCTAGATAGGGAGAACAAGGAGGGGAGAAAATCATCAAAGAAACAATCCAAAAACATTTCACAGAAATTAAACTCAGCCAGGCACAGTGGCTCACGCCTGTAATCCCAGTACTTTGGGAGGCCGAGGCGGGCGGATCACCTGAGGTCAGGAGTTTGAGACCAGCCTGGCCAACGTGGTGAAACCCCGTCTCTACTAAAAATACAAAAATTAGCCAGACATGGTGGTAATCCCAGCTACTCAGGAGGTCGAGGTGGGAGAATTGCTTGAACCTGGGAGGCAGAGGTTGCAGTGAGCCGAGATCATCTCAGTGCACTTCAGCCTGGGCAACAGAGGGAGACTCTATCTCAGAAAAAAGAAAAAAAAAAAAGAAATTAAACTCAAGTTTCTGGATTGAAAGGACCTGTTGAGTGCTTAGAACCAAGAATGAAAGCAGATGTGTACTTAAGGCACATCAAAGGGAGTTTCAGAACATGGGAGACAAAGAGAAGATCCTGTAAATATCCAGAGAGAAACAACAGGTCCTGGCCAGCAGTGGTGGCTCACGCTTGTAATCCCAGAACTTTGGGAGGCCTAGGCGGGCAGATCACTTGAGGCCAGGAGTTCGAGACCAGCCTGGCTAACATGGCGAAACTCTGTCTCTACTAAAAATACAAAAAATTAGCCAGGCATGGTGGTGGGCGCCTATAATCCCAGCTACCTGGGACGCTGAGGCAGGAGAATCGCTTGAACCTGGGAGGTGGAGGTTGCGGTGAGCTGAGATCGCCCCGTTGTACTCCAGCCTGGGAGACAAAAGTGAAACTCCGTCTCAAAAACAGAAAAGCAGTAGGTCCTGTACAACTGGCCAGGATCAGAATGGCTTCTGACTTCGCAACAACACAACTAGATGGTTGAAGTCAATGAATGAAAGCTCTCAAAATTCTGAAGTTGGATGATTTCTAACCTCAATTTTTATACTTAGCCAAACTATTCATCATGAGTGAGGGTAGAAGAGAGAATTTCAGAATGATAAGCCTTCAAAAAATGTACATCCCTGGCCCCTTTCTCAGGAAGTGACTCCAGGGTATGCTCTGTCAAAGAGAGAGTAAACCAAGAAAGAGGAAGTGGTGGGATCCAGGAAGCGGGATCCTACATAAGACAGAAGGGCGAAAGAATGCTGGTGAAGGGAGGCCCCAGGGTGAAGGCTATGCCCCCAGCTCACAAAACAGAGTCTACTTTGAGTTGGCAGAATATCTGACATACTGAAATGCTTTGGGGGAGACTGGGACATTTGGCAGAATTTGGAGTTGAATTAGTAATAAAAAAAAGTAAGCAAAATTAGAAAGACAGCATTTATTAACTCCAGAGGAAACAAGAAGTTAAGCAGGGAAGGAAAAGTTATGATGGCCCATTACATAGCTCAGGTATGAAAGAGTTCATGCTGTCCCCTCACAATGTCAACTGTGACTCTTGACCTAAATCAAAGATGATATAGTGATACTGGAGGTCAGGAAGTAGCAATTTAAGTGTGCTTTTCAGGGATATGAAGATGAAACCAAAAGAATGAGCTGCAAGTTGAAGGCAGTTGCCTCCAGAGATGTGAGTACAGGGGACTGCTGTATTTTGTAAGCAGCCTTGTAAAACTATGTAGCTGTTTAAATTATGTGCATGTGGCTGGGTGTGGTGGCTCATGCCTGTAATCCCAGCACTCTGGGAAGCCAAGACGGGAGGATTGCTTGAGCCCAGGAGTTCGAGACATGCCTGGGCAAGATGGCAAGACCCCACCTCTACAAAAAAATCTGCTGAGCGTGGTGGTACACACCTGTAGTCCCAGCCACTTGAGAGGCTGAGGTGGGAGGATCGCTTAAGCCCAGGAATTTGAGGTGGCAGTCAGCTATGACTGTGCCACTACACTCTAGCCTGGGTAGCAAAGTGAGACTCTGTCTGTCTTAAAAAAAAAAAAGAAGAAGAAAAAAGAAAATGTGCATGTATAACTCTGATGAAAAGTAAAAACTAAATTCGAAACACACTCATGACTTACATACCGTTTTCCCTTGTTGGTAAGTCAGCGGGATTTGAACTTGTGCCTCGGGATCGACAGATTTCTGTGTAGTACTAGAGCATGTCCCTGTTGTCACAGGGCCACCTGCACCCCCCCAAGTGTGGTATTGACAGGGAAAAGAGCATTTTACCAATTCAGGTCTGTGCATACCGGCAAGGGAGCACCTCTCAGCAGCCTCCTGCACTGGAGAATGCAGGGAGGGAGCAGGGTTGCTGCTGGGGGCTCCCGTCATGCTGCAGTGGGGGCTGTATGACAGCACACCCCTATCCTGCTAACACCGGGCCAGGTAGAGTGTGCCACTGGGGGATTCTCAATGACTGATCTTTTGTTTTGAGATGGAATCTTGCTCTGTCGCTCAGGCTGGAGTGCAGTGGCATGATCTCGGCTCACTGCAACCTCCGCCTCCCTGGCTCAAGGGATTCTCCTGCCTCAGCCTCCCGAGTAGCTGGGATTACAAGTACCTGCCACCACACCCAGCTAATTTTTGTATTTTTAGTAGAGACGTGGTTTCCCCATGTTGGCCACGCTGATCTCGAACTCCTGACCTCAGGTGATCCACCCACCTCGACCTCCCAAAGTGCTGGGATTACAGGCGTGAGCCACTGCACCTGGCCCGACTGATCTTATAATAAGCACACACGTTAATGTGTAGTAATAAAATGCTGCTTTTACCTGCCATTATAGATGGTGGTGACACTAAGTTTTATCTTCAATGAGCAAAAATGCTCATTTGTATTTATTTAATTACTAGTGAAGTAGAACATTGTCTTAGTCTATTTTGTGGTGCTGTAACAGAATACTCAAGACTGGGTCATTTATAGAACAGATTTCTTTCTTTTCTTTTTTTTTTTTTTTTTTTTGAGATGGAGTCTTCCTCTGCTGCCAGGCTGGAGTGTGGTGGCGGGATCTCGGCTCATTGCAACCTCCGCCTCCTGGGTTCAAGCGAGTCTCCTGCCTCAGTCTCCCATGTAGCTGGGAGTACAGGCGCCTGCCACCCCACCCAGCTAATTTTTTGTATTTTTAGTAGAGACGGGGTTTCACTGTGTTAACCAGGATGGTCTCGATCTCCTGACCTCGTGATCCGCCCGCCTCGGCCTCCCAAAGTGCTGGGATTACAGGCGTGAGCCACCGCACCAGGCTAGAACAGATTTGTTTCTTCCAGTTCTGGAGTCCAGGAAGCCCAAGGTCTAGGAACTCACACTGGGACAAGGGCCTCCTTGCTGCATGATCCCATGGAGGAAGGTAGAAGGGCAACAGGGCATGCCCCAGAGAGAGAGAGAAGGGAAGGAGGCCAAACTCATCCTTTTATTAGGAACCCACTCCCATGAGAACCCGCGTCAGCTAGAATGGCATTAATGCATTCATGAGGGCTTGGCTTATTAAAAGTCCCACCTTTCAACACTGGAGCACTGGGGACTAAATTTCTAATACATGAACTTTGAGGGACACATTCAAACCCTAACAAACATGTTTATTTATTCATTTATTTTTTGAGACAGGGTCTCACTTCATCACCCAGGCTGGAGTGAAGTGTCACCGTTGTAAATCATTACAGCCTTGAACTCCTGGGCTCAAGTGATCCTCCTGCTTCAGCCTTCTGAGTAGCTGGGATTATAGGTGGGCACCACTGTGCCCAGCTAACTTATTTTTATTTTTTAGTAGAGCAGGGGTCTTGCTATGTTGTCCAGGTTGGTTTGAACTCCTGGCCTCAAGCAATCCTCCCACCTCCACCTCCCAAAGTGCTGGGATTATAGGTGTGAGCCAGCGTGCCCTGCCAGGGATTGATTGATTGATTGGTTGATTGATTTTTAGTGACAGGGTCTTGCTCTGTCACCCAGGCTGTAGTGCAGTGGTGTGATCACAGCTCACTGCAGCCTCAACATCTCGGGCTCAAACGATCCTCCTGCCTCAGCCTCCTGAGTCATAAGGTTTTAAACTATGGGCATTTTAAGTTTTGTCATTCACACATAATTAATTGTTTACTCTGGCACTTTCCTGAGCAACTATAAGCCTAAAGTGTTTCATTGTCAAAGAGTGACCAAGGGAAGCTACCCACTAGGGCTCATGGTACCACTGATCTCTTGCAGCAACTGGGGTCATCGGCAAGTTCTCATTCAAGTTCCGAGCTCTACAAATTTGTGTTTTAAACTCTCCAGGTTTAGGCGAGGCGCGGTGGCTCACGCCTGTAATCCCAGCACTTTGGGAGGCCGAGGCGGGAGGATCACGACATCAGGAGATCGAGACCATCCTGGCTAACGCGGTGAAACCCTGTCTATACTAAAAATAGAAAAAAATTACCTGGGTGTGGTGGCGGACACCTGTAGTCCCAGCTACTTGGGAGGCTGAGGCAGGAGAATGGCGTGAGCCCAGGAGGCAGAGCTTGCAGTGAGCCGAGATCGCGCCACTGCACTCCAGCCTGGGCGACAGAGCGAGACTCCGTCTCAAAAAAAAAACAAAAAAACTCTCCAAGTTTATTTGAGCAATTAGTAGACTGGACTGGGTCCTGGATCAAATTGGATCAAATTGGTTCTGATAATTCACTGGACTGGATTCAGCTGGAGGCCTCAGATAGGTACTTTTTTTTTTTTTTTTTTTGAGACAGAGTCTCATTCAGTTGCCCAGGCTGGAGTGCAGTGGTGTGATCTGGGCTCACCGTGACCTCCGCCTCCCGGGTTCAAGCAATTCTCTGCCTCAGCCTCCCGAGTAGCTGGGATTACAGGCATGTGCCACCACGCCTGGCTAATTTTTGTATTTTTAGTAGAGATGGGGTTTCACCATCTTGGCTAGGCTGGTCTAGAACTCTTGACCTCGTGATCCACCCGCCTCGGCCTCCCAAAGTGCTGGGATTACAGGTGTGAGCCACCGCATCCGGCCCACCTTTTTTGATGGTGGGTTTGTTTCAATTCAAGGAGTCTGTGAAAACTGAAATTGGCAAAACTAACATAATCAATTGGAGTGTCTTGGCTAAAGATATTACTGATTGGCAGACATCAGATCCACTCCCACTAGAAAACAGATTGATCCCTTATAAAATAGTTACTGGAAGGCCCATACCTTTAATAACAGAGCTTCACCTGTCTCCTCTCTCCTAAACTCTGATATGACTAAATACTGCAAGACTTTTTTTTTTTTTTTTTTTGAGATGGAGTCTCGCTCTGTCGCCAGGCTGGAGTGCAGTGGCGCGATCTCGGCTCACTGCAACCTCCGCCTCCCGGGTTCAAGGGATTCTCCTGCCTCAGCCTCCTGAGTATCTGGGACTACGTGTGTGCACCACCATGCCCAGCTAATTTTTTTTTTTATTTTTAGTAGAGACGGGATTTCACCATGTTGGCCAGGATGGTCTCGATCTCTTGACCTCGTGATCCGCCCACCTCAGCCTCCCAAAGTGCTGGGATTACAGGCGTGAGCCACCGCGCCCGGCCAATACTGCAAGAGTTTAATGCATTGTGACAAAGTGTACTTTCACCATTGACTGAGGACAATCAAACCTTTCACAGTCTAGAACCTGGAGATTTGGTCTTCTGGAAACGACATCAGAGAGAGACTGCCCTTGAACCCCATTGGAAGAGACCCTACCAAGTTCTTCTCACCACCCACACGGCAGTAAAACTTCAAGGCCTCAAACTTTGGATTCACATCTCATAAGTCAAAAGGGCCCCTCCAGGCTCCTGGAACCGTATACGTGTTGGAGACCTCAACGGAAAGCTGACAAGGGAGGTTTTTCTTCAGATGCAGGTGGGATCCTGGATGTGGGCGGCTTTCCCAAGGTCACAAATCCAGACTTCTCTGTCTTCACGAAAGCCTTTTATTTTTTCCTTTTTTTATTTCCTGTTGTCTTAGTCCCTTCCCTTTCCTTACAGGAGAATCCACTGGACCATAATCTGTGGATGGCTTTAGTACAGGCTTATGCTCTAGCAAGAAACCAGATAAATTGTTGAGTCTGTGGGCTAATGCCCCCCAAATGAGGAAACAATTCCACTGATGCCAGTGCCTCTCCATATTCCGAATAAGTCACCCTGGGCCGGGTGCGGTGGCTCACGCCTGTAACCCAAGCACTTTGGGAGGCCAAGGCGGGTGGATCATCTGAGGTCAGGAGTTTGAGACTAGCCTGGGGAACATGGTAAAACCCCGTCTCTATTAAAAATACAAAAATTAGCCAGGCATGGTGGTGTGTGCCTGCAGTCCCAGCTACTCAGGAGGCTGAGGCAGGAGAATTGCTCGAACCCAGGAGGCGGAGGTTGCAGTGAGCCAAGATCACGCCACTGCACTCCAGCCTGGGCAACAGAGGGAGACTCTGCCTCAAGAAAAAAAAAAAAGAGGCACCCTGAAACCCCAGAGCAGCGTGGAAAGCTATCCTTGATTTTTTTTTTTTTTTTTAAGAGACAGGATCTTGCTGTGTTGCCCATAATGGAGTCAGTGGCATGATTTCAGCTCACTGCAACCTTGGCCTCCTGGGTTCAGATGATCCTCTCACCTCAGCCTCCCAATTATCTGGGACTACAGTGGTGCACCACCAAGCCCGGCTAATTTTTTGTAAAGACAGGGTCTTGTTGCCCAGGCTGGTCTCGAACTCCTGGGCTCAAACAATCCACCCACCTTGGCCTCCCAATGTGCTGGGATTACAGGCGTGATCCACCGTGACTGTTCTATCCTTGATATTCCAGACATCATTGCTAATGCTTTTCTTTAGTTTTCTTTTGAGATGGAGTCTTGCTCTATCACCCAGGTTGAAGTGCAGTGGCATGATCTCGGCTCACTGCAACCTTCGCCTCCCAGGTTCAAGTGATTCTCCTGCTTCAGCCTCCGAGTAGCTGGGATTATAGGCATGTGCCACCACACCCGGCTAATTTTTATATTTTCACTAGAGATGGGGTTTTGCCATATTGGCCAGGCTGATCTCAAACTCCTGACCTCAAGTGATCCACCCGCCTTGGCCTCCCAAAGTGCTGGGATTACAGGTGTGAGCCACCACGCCTGGCCTGCTAATGCTTTTCTGTACTCACTGGAAATAGCACCCTGTCCTTTCCAGTTACTAACCGAATCAGATATAGAAGCCCTATCCAAATGAGGCCTACAAAAGGTACATTGTGCTTCCAGGCATCATGTATTCAAGACCTGGGGACCACCTATGTGGGTACAAGTAATTCCCTGTATGATGTCACTGGTTAAGTCATGGAAGGTCTCTTTTTTCTTTTTCTTTTTCTTTTTTTTTTTTGAGACGGAGTCTTGCTCTGTCACCCAGGCTGGAGTGCAGTGGCCCCATCTCCGCTCTCTGCAAGCTCCGCCTCCCAGGTTCATGCCATTCTCTTGCCTCAGCCTCCCGAGTAGCTGGGACTACAGATGCCTGCTACGACACCCGGCTAATTTTTTATATTTTTAACAGAGACGGGGTTTCGCCATGCTAGCCAGGATGATCTCGATCTCCTGACCTCGTGATCCACCCGTCTCAGCCTCCCAAAGTGCTGGGATTACAGGCGTGAGCCACCACGCCCGGCTCCTGTCTAATTTTTATACCAAAGAAGTGAAATTATGTCATTTTTGAACTTTAAGGAAACTAATATCTTAAAGGATTAATTAGGTCAGAAAAACACATAATTTATCATTGGATTTTGGAAGGTTTGTCAAATATCAAATCTTTAAAACAATCGATATCACAAAATAGGATCACAGATCATTGTAAAATAAGTCATTCATTTAACCCAAGTGATAACGCAAGGATTTCAAAAAAAGGTGAAAACCTTCATTCTTTGAGAGAGGAGATTTAATTTTCCAAACAATAAGTCCTACTAAAAACAGTATGAAGCCGATTAAATTTGTTTTTCTTTTTAGTTTTTCTTTTTTTTTTTTTTGAGACGGAGTTTCCCTCTGTCACCCAGGCTAGAGTGCAGTGGCACAGGCTCAGCTCACTGCAACCTCTGCCCCCTGGGTTCAAGCAATTCTCTTGTCTCAGCTTCCTGAGTTGCTGGGACTATAGGTTCATGCCACCACACTCAGCTAATTTTTGTATTTTTAGTAGAGACAGGGTTTTGCCATGTTGGCCAGACTGGTCTCAAACTCCTGACCTCAGGCGATCCATCTGCCTTGGCCTCCCAAAGTGCTGGGATTACGGGTGTGAGCCACCACGCCAGGACTTAAATTTGTTTTTCAAAATTTTATAAACAATCTATAAAATGTTAATCTTGACCATCAGATATAACCTCCATAAGCCTTTTATAACCTTTATAACCTTTATTAAGGAGTCCGTTAATGCTTCAAAAAAATCTTGTTAATCTGACACAGGGGCTCATATGCTGGTCTTGCATCAGTGTGCCTTTGACATTTATGATTAATTTATAGAGAAACTGAATGTATTTTATCTTTCAAAAATCAGCCCTTACAATCTCACACACCCACCTCTTCGGCGATAGTCCCTGGGCCTTAAGGAGTTGAGTAGCTTTGATTTCTGGCCCTGTGTCTTAGGAATGCAGTTTATTCTGAATGGCAACTTCTACCGGGCCTGAAGATGAGGCTTTACTGTCAGTATTTAAGATTTGGCAGGACCTGGTGTCTTTTTTAGACCCAGCATCATTGTCTGGGGTAAATACCCGAGATTCGTTGTCTCATGGCCACGGAAAACCAGGACTTGGCACACCAGAGTGAGGTTAAGAGCAGAAATTTAATAGGCGAAAGAAAGAGAAAAGACCTCTGCAGAGAGAGGGGTCCCGGAGAACATGAGTTGCCACCTCCACTGTGAAGTGAAAGAGGTTTTATAGATGGGCTTGAGGAAGCGGTGTTTGATTTCCATAGGGCACAAAAGATTGGTCGGACCAGGTGTGGCATTTGCATAGTGCATGAAAATCTGGCCACCCCCACTCTAATCTTTTATTATGCAGATGGGTTTTCTACCTGGCTGGTACCATGTCGCCAGCTTCTTTACAGTACACGTGGTGACAAAGAATAGGGAAGATGGAGCCTCCGTGTTGAACATACCTGGCTCCCAGGTAGCCCTTTTCTATTGGCACAGCTGCTGGCATTCACCCGTGCAAGCTGCCAGCTTGCTTATCTATGTTTGCAGCTCGATTTTTCAGGCTGCTTTTTGTTAGAAAAGAAATGATTTGGGGGTTGCTTTTCTTTCTATTCTTTTTTTTTTTTTTTGAGATGGAGTTTCTCTCTTGTTGCTCAGACTGGCATGCAGTGGTGAGGTCTCGGCTCACTGCAACCTCTGCCTCCCAGGTTCAAGCGATTCTCTTGTCTCAGCCTCCCAAATAGCTGGGATTACAGGTGTGTGCCACAATACTCAGCTAATTTTTGCATTTTTAGTAGAGATGGGGTTTCACCATGTTGGTCAGGCTGGTCTCTAACTCCTGACCTCAGGTGATCCACCCACCTCAGCCTCCCAAAGTGCTGGGATTACAGGCATGAGCCACCACGCCTAGCCAAGAGGGCTGCTTTTTTGTTAAAAGGGAAATTTCACTATGGATTCTGTTGTCCCTACTATCTGCCTAAATAATTTCTTTTTAGCTCCTGCATCACCAGGAGTTACAGCCCTGTGACTCAATGTCACAAGGACTGTTAAAGCACATATAGAAAGATACGGGAATGTAACAACTTTAATTTAAAACCTTTGTTTTAAATGAGGTTCAAGCAATTCTCATGCCTCAGTCTCCCAAGTAGCTGGGATTACAGGCATCTGCCACCACGCTGGCTAAGTTTTGTATTTTTAGTAGAGACGGGGTTTCACCATGTTGGCCAGGCTGGTCTCGAACCCCTGACCTCATGATCCGCCTGCCTCGGCCTCCCAAAGTGCTGAGATTACAGGCGTGAGCCACCACACCTGGCCTTAAAAAACAACTATTTTTTAAAACAAATGTTTTTAAACACTTAAATTCCTAAGTGTCTAAACTACGCTCTTCCTTAAAAACACAAGAGTAGGCCCAGAGCAGTGGCTCATGCCTGTAATCCCAGTGCTTTGGGAGGCTGAGGTGGGTGGATCACTTGAGGTCAGGAGTTTGAGACTGGCCTGGCCAACATGGTGAAACCCTGTCTCTACTAAAAATACAAAAATCAGCCGAACATGGTGGCATACGCCTGTAGTCCCAGCTGCTTGGGAGGCTGAGGCAAGAGAATCACTTGAACCTGGGAGGCGGAGGTTGCAGTGAGCCAAAAATCACACCACTGCACTCCAACCTGGGCAACAGAACAAGACTCCATCTCAAAAACAAAAACAAAAACCAAGAGTAGCCTCTGTTGCAATAACTATTTTAGTAAAAAAATCAAGTGAAAAAAATTTTGCTCAAAAATAAAATAAAAGGGTCAGGCATGGTGGCTCACGCCTGTAATCCCAGCACTTTGGAAGGCCGAGGCAGGCAGATCATAAGGTCGGGAGATCGAGACCATCCTGGCTAACACAGTGAAACCCTGTCTCTACCAAAAATACAAAAAATTAGCCGAGTGTGGTGGCGGGCACCTGTAGTCCCAGCTACGTGGGAGGCTGAGGCAGGAGAATGACGTGAACCCGGGAGGCAGAGCTTGCAGTGAGCCAAGATTGCACCACTGCACTCCAGCCTGGGTGACAGAGCGAGATCCCGTCTCAAGAAAAAAAATAATAATAATAAAATAAAAAAGACAAGGTCCTAGGAGAGAAAAACAAAAACATGAAGGCCTTTTAAATACAAACACGCACACATACACACCCGCACATATGCACACATACACACATATATCTTGGATGTTAGCCTTTTACTTAAGCTGACTTTTAACCACTGAGCTCCTTAAAAAATCCTTTAAAATCTCATTACCATATTTTAGCTAGGACAAAGTGCTGCTATTTCAGAAGTACCAAGTATCAAACCAGAAAGGGCTTGTTTAGGAACCAAACCCAGGCTGTCATGGTGAAAAAAAAAAAAATGCAGGACCTTAGGTATAGAACTGCAGGGTGGGGTGACAGCCATTGCTCTTTCAGTTTGGCATGGCTCGCAACAAGCTAGCCTTGTTATGTAAATAAAACCCCTTAAGTAGTCAAAATCAAAAAAGTTTCCTTTTTTGGCCGGGTGCAGTGGCTCACGTTTGTAATCCCAGCACTTTGAGAGGCCGAGGCGGGCAGATCACCTGAGGCCAGGAGTTCAAGACCAGCCTGGCCAACATGGTGAAACCCCATCTCTACTAAAAATACAAAAATTAGCCGGGCGTGGTGGCGCACGCCTGTAATCCCAGCTACTCGGGAAGCTGAGGCAGGAGAATCGCTTGAACCTAGTAGGCGGAAGTTGCACTGAACTGAGATTATGTGTCTCAAAACAAAAAACGAAAAAAAACTTCCCTTCTTTTTTTTCCCCCTTTTTTTCTGGCCATTTTTCTCCCCCCAGCACACCACGTGTGTGTGTGTGTGTGTGTGTGTGTGTGTGTGTGTGTGGTAATTTAGCCACTTTAGAGGCCTTGTTCCCCATAATTTGGAACTTTCCTTTGGATTGGATCAAGTCAGATACAGTTGGTCAAACCCAATGGGAAAAAGACTGAAACAACAACAAAAACAGAAACAAACAAAGAACAACAACAACAAAAAACAGTTAAACAAAACAAATGATCACACAGCTTATATGATTACTGAGTGTTCTAATGATAAGGAGAAATTAAGACCAGCTGGTTGTTAATCTTAACTTTAGCCAAGACAAATGCCAATTCAGTTACTTACCCAGGGATGGGTCTCAGGCTGTAGATTTCTCTCTACCATCCTAGAAGCAGGAAAAAACTCACCTTCCCTGTTGGAAGCAAGCTCAAACTCCATAAGGGAGTTACCTGCCTTCCATCATCATGGAAACAGGAAATCTTGCCTTCCCTGTTGGAAGCAAGTAAAACTCCAAAAAAAGAGGAGTCATACAGCAAAATAACCTCTAAATCTTGACCAAATTTGGGGAGATGAGGGATTCTCTGGAGGGGGTGCTCTCGGACTTCAGCAAATTGTCCTATTGGTTTGAGCCATAAAGTTAGCTCCTTCCAGTACCAAGCACCAATAGGAGATTTGTCAAAAGTCAGAGGCATCTCCACTCAGAATCCCCCCATGGTTACCAAAATGTGAACGCTGAAAACCTGAGACAGGTGTCAGTTAATTTCGAACGTTTATTTTGCCAAGGTTGAGGATGCATGCCCGTGACACAGCCTCGGGAGGTCTTCATGACATGTGCCCAAGGTGGTTGGAGCACAGTTTGGTTTTATGCATTCTAGGGAGACATGAGACATCAATCAACATATACAAGATGAACATTGGTTCCATCTGGAAAGGCGGGACAACTGGAAGCAAACCCGGGGAGACTCGAAGCGGGGAGGGGCTTCCAGGTCATACATAGGTAGATAGGAGACAAGTGATCGCATTCTTTTGAGTGTCTGATGAGCCTCTCCAAAGGAGGCAATCAGAGATGCACTTATGTCAGTGAGCAGAGGGGTGACTTTGAATTTAACAGGAGGCAGATTGGCCCTAACCAGTTCCCAGCTCAACTTTTCCCTTTAGCTTAGTGATTTGGGGGCCCCAAGATTTATTTTCTTTTCATAGAATGTACATTCTGCAGTTGTTGGGTAGAATGTTCTGTGAATATCTGTTAAGTATATTTGTTTTATGGTATACTTTAAGTCTATTGTTTCTTTGTTGACTTTCTGTCTTGATAACCTGTTTAGTGTTGTCAGTGGAGTACTGAAGTCCCCCACTGTTCCTGTGTTGCCCTCTATCTCATTTCTTAGGTCTAGTAGTAACTATTTTATAAAGTTTTTTATAAATTTGGGAGCTCCAGTGTTAGGGGCATATATATTTACAATTGTGATCCTGTTGGACTAGTCCTTTTAGCATTATATAATGACCCTCTTTGTCTTTTTTTAACTGTTGTTGCTTTAAAGTTTGTTTTGTCTAAGAATAGCTACTCCTGCTTGCTTTTGGTATCCCTTTGCATGGAATATCTTTTTCCACCCCTTTACCTTAAGTTTATGTGAGTCTTTATGTGTCAGATGAGTCTCTTGAAGACAGCAGATTCTTGTTTGGTGAATTCATATCCATTCTGCCATTCTGTATCTTTTAGGTGGAGCATTGAGGCCATTTACATTCAATGTCAGTATTGAGATATGAAGTACTGTTCTATTCATCATGCTATTTGTTGCCTGAATACCTTGGGTTTTTTTTCATTGTGTTGTTGTTTTATAGGTCCTGTGAGATTTATGCTTTAAGGAAATTGTATTTTGGTGTGATTTGAGGATTTGTTTCAAGATTTAGAGCTCCTTTTAGCAATTGTGTAGTGCTGGCTTTGTAGTGGTGAATTCTCTCAGCATTTGTTTGTCTGAAAAAGACATCTTTGTCTTTTTTGTCTTAAAAAGTATCTTTCCTTCATTTATGACACTGGATACAAAATTCTTGGCTGATAATTCTTTTGTTTAAAGAGGCTAAAGATAGGACCCCAATCCCTTCTAGCTTGTAGGGTTTCTGCTGAGAAATCTGCTGTTTATCTGATAGGTTTTCCTTTATAGATTACCTGGTGCTTTTGCCTCACAGCTCTTAAGACTCTTCCCTTCGTCTTGACTTTAGATAACCTGATGACTGTATGTTTAGGTGATGATCTTTTTGCAATGAATTTCTCAGGTGTTCTTTGAGCTTCTTGTATTTGGATGTCTAGGTCTCTAGCAAGGCCAGGGGAGTTTTACTCAATTATTCCCTCAAATATGTTTTCAAAACTTTTAGATTTCTCTTCTTCTCAGGAACACTAATTATTCTTAGGTTTGGTCATTTAACATAATCCCAAACTTCTTGGAGGCTTTGTTCTTTTTTAAAAATTCTTTGTTTTTGTCTTTGTTGGATTGGGTTAATTCAAAAGCCTTGTCTTCAAGCTGTGAAGTTTTTTCTTCTGCTTGTTTGATTCTATTGCTGAGACTTTCCAGTGCATTTTGCAATTCTCTAAGTGTGCCCTTCATTTCCAGAAGTTGTGATAGTATTTTTTTAATTCATGTTATCTATTTCACTGGAGATTTTTCCATTCATACCCTGTATCATGTTTTCGATTTCTTTAAGTTGGATTTCCCCTTTCTCTGGTGCCTCCTTGATTAGCTTAAGAGTCGACCTTCTGAATTCTTTTTCTGGCAATTCAGAGATTTCGTCTTGGTTTGGATCCATTGCTGGTGAGCTAGTGTAATCTTTTGCAGATGTTAAAGAACCTTGTTTCGTCATATTACCAGAATTGTTTTCCTGGTTCTTTCTCATTTGGGTAGACTATGTCAGAGGGAAGATCTGGGACTCAAGGGCTGCTGTTGAGATTCTTTTGTCCCACAGGGGTGCTCCCTGGATGTGGTGCTCTCCCCTTTCCCCCAGGGATAGGGCGTTCTGATAGCCAAACTGTAGTGATTGTTCTTTATCTTCTGGATCTAGCCACCCAGTAGAGCTACCAGACTCTGGACTGGTACTGGGGAGTGTCTTCAAGGAGTCCTGGGATGTGATCTGTCTTCAGGTCTCTCAGCTGCGGATACCAGTACCTGCTCCAGTGGAGGTAGCAGGGGAGTGAAGTGGACTTGGTGAGGGTCCTTGGTTGTATTTTTGTTAGGTGCACTGCTTTTGTGTTGGTTGGCCTCCAGCCGGGAGGTGGTACTTTCAAGAGCCCATCAGCAGTGGTAGGATCAGGTGGTGGATAGGGCCACAGAGCTCCCAAGAAACTATGTCCTTTGTCTTCAGAGTTCCTCAGCTGTCCCATGGAGCCTGCAGCGGCAATCCACCTCCTTCAAAGGAGTCTGTGGATTCTCTCAGCTTTCCTGGTATATTCCTGCAGTAGTTCTTGGAGCAAAAGTTCATGATGTGGGTCTCCACATGCTTCTCTGTCCATCCAAGCGAGAGCTGCAAGTTAGTCCTGCCTCCTATCCGCCATCTCCCCACAATTGTGGTTCTTTTTTTTTTTTTTTTTTTCTCCTGAGACGGAGTCTCTCTCTGTTGCCAGGCTGGAGTGCAGTGGCAAAATCTTGGCTCACTGCAACCTCCACTCCTGGGTTCCAGCGATTCTTCTGCCTCAGCCTCCCGAGTAGCTGGGATTACAGACATGTGCCACCATGCCAGGCTACTTTTGTATTTTTAGTAGACATGGCATTTCACCATGTTGGCCAGGCTGGTCTTGAACTCCTGACCTCTGGTGATCCACCCGCCTCGGCCTCCCAAAGTGCTGGGATTACAGGCGTAAGCCACCACGCCCGTCCAACTGTAGTTCTAAATCACCATCATGTTCCAAAGAAAGACTGACCAACGGGACTTGAATGCTGTAGAACAGTCTTCATTGCCTGAACTTTGAATTGTTCGGTTTTGATCCGTTTGGTTCACCGAGCCTCCTGTTAAGGAGTGTGCTTCAGTTTCTTGTATCATCCTCCCAAAAGCCGTCAGAACAGTCTCTCTGATACGCTGTCCCCTCAAGTGTCTTAAATGCTTGTATGCAGCCATCCTTAGTACATCAAATGGTCTCATCACAGTTAGAGGAACAAAACATGAAGAAAACATCATCATCCAACTAACTTGACACGGTGAATATGAATTTCACACTGAGACCAAACAAATCCATTATGATGGTGACAGAAAGTGACGCCAGTGCCCAAGGTTTCAGTCAATCTCTCAAAATTGAGAGGCTGCCTAAAAGAGGCAAAGGTTAAATTAACTTAAATTTGGCCTAAAGCTGCCTCAGCATATGGCAAACCCTAACCTGCCTTAATCTGTAAATAAACTGCAGCCTGGGAGTATACTCAAGCTGCAGTTTGTTTACAGATTAAGTCAGGTTAGGGTTTGCTATAGTCACAGGACTCTTTGGAAGAAGTCACTGAGTCTCGGCCCATCAGAGCAGCTGAGCTTTCAGCCAGTCACAGGCTGCAAACTACTCAGGCAGGTTCAAAGAAGGCAAGCACCCAGTTGTAGCCAATCAGACGATTTCTGTGTCACTTCCTTTTTCTGTCCATAAATACTGCCTGCCCAAGTTGCTGGATGGAGCTCTCTGAGCCTCTACTGGTTCGGGGTGCTGCCTGATTTAGGAATCATTTCATTGCTCAAATAAACTCTGCTAAATTGAATTCATCTAAAGTGTTTCTTTTCTATTTTTCTTTTCTTTTTCTTTTTTTTTTTTTTTTTTGAGACAGAATCTCGCTCTTGCCCAGGCTGGAGTGCAGTGGCACCATCTCGGCTCACTGCAACCTCTACCTCCCGGGTTCAAGTGACTCTCCTGCCTCAGCCTCCCAAGTAGCTGGGATTACAGGCATGTGCTACCACACCTGGCTAATTTGTGTGTTTTTAGTGGAGACTGGGTTTCACCATGTTGGCCAGGCTGCTAAGTAGCTTCAGGGACGAGAAGGTGTAAGGATGTGAAAAGCACCTGGTACTGTACCTGGCACAGCAGGTACTCCAGGAGGGCTGAGGGTGTGCACATCCCTGACTGGGCCTCACACCATCACAGGCCAGACCTTGTTCAGCTCTGCGTCAGCACCTACCCCCCCACTCCCCTGCCGCCTCTTCAGTGTGATGGGAAAGTCCCCACCCTTGGGGTCCTGAGTCTTCTGCTGTTCCCGCCAGCTCTGGGCTGGGTGGGGCAGCTCATCTTTCCAGCTTCACCCCCTGTCAGAGGCCGGGAGGAGGGGCAGTGCAGGCTGGGGGCTCAGAGACAGGGCTACTGGGCCAGAGCCATTCTGAGCTACTTGGTGGGCCCCAGTATCACCGCCGATAGAACCCCACCCTCCACAGGCTCACTGAGGGCAGCTGGCCACTCCTGACCCTGGGCTGGGCACATCAGGGGTGCCCCTGAGTGGAGAGGTGGCACTGTAGGGCATCACAGTGTTGGGGGTTCGCACATAAGAGCCCATGTCATCGGGGAGAGGGTGGCACTTTGGGGAGGGGTGTTCTCAGGGCCGTAGCAGGGGCCTTTAGGGCTGCCAGCATGGTTTAGGGGACCCACAAGTGTGGAATTAAGGCCAAGGTCCACTCCCAAGGATGGAGAAGTGGAAGGGGGAGGGAGTGGTCCTCTGGGTCCTCGGCTGGGCAGGCGGCTGAAGGCCTGGTGAGACCCCTTCAGAACCCACTTGAGGCCAGGTGGGACGGGGAGTTCTGGGTCCCAGTGGGGCGAGTCCCTCATTCACTCCTGCCAAGGCAGCCCAGTCCTGCCACGGCCATGGGAGAGGCCTGGGGAGTCGAGGTGGGAGCAGCCCTCAAGTGTCTCCTGGGGTCCCCTCTCCCAGGAGGCCTCCCAGGCTCATCTGTTCTCTTGTTCCTTCCTGCTCTGGTCGTGAGGGGCTTTGCTGTCACGCAGGTCACCTTGCACCCTCATGTCTCAGTGTCCAGCGCTGGCTGGGGAAGGGCTGGCTGCCTCTCCTGACCCTGGGCTGGGGTGATAGGTGGGGACCCCTTGGGGTGACGTGGGAACCTCACCACTGTTGAAGGCCACAGCTTCCCCTTCCCAAGCCCCACATGGGCTTCCCCTTCCAGATCTCAGTGTGTTCCTGAAGGTCACGTGGCTGGCAGGGGGTGGTGGTGGGGGTGGGGGGTGACAGGAGAGGGGGTGTTTTGGAGGGAGGCGGGTGGGGCACGCTGTTGTGTACAAACACCCACCTCCCACGGCACAGGGGCCGGAAGTGGCCCCAGAATAGAATGTGCTGCTTTCAAGTTCCAAATTGGGCTCTGGGGGTGAGAGCAGGCGACTCTGGATGTAAAAATAGAAAAGCCAGTGCGTGCGTGGGTCCTGGGTCCTCCACCCACAGGCCTGGTATTACAAAATAGAGCTTCCTAATGGGACCTGCCTGACACTCTCGTTTTATGTAGAAAATTGACTCAAGCAAACCTCAGAGGACAGAGCCAGCAGCTGACCTGGGCTAGAGGTGTGGCAGCCAGGCAGGCAGGGCAGGCCCTCCTGGGGAGTGCTGGTGGCCTGGGGGCGCTGGCTGGCCCTTGACCTGGCGTGAACTCTGGCTCTATTTCCCTCACTCTGCCCTCTAGCGCTGTGCCCCTGCCAGGAGAGTCCTCCCAGGTTGTGGGAGCCCAGCTCAGTCCTACTGTCCCCAAAGAGCCTTCGCCGACTTCGTCAGCCTTTACCAGCTCTCAGGCTGGCCAGGAAGCCAGGCCTGTCCCAGGCACGAGGGGCAGTGGGCAAGCTGGCTGTGGGCCCCACCCTCCACAGGCTCACTGAGGGCAGCTGGCCAGAAGCCCACAGGCTGGGGCCACCCACTGAGGATGTTTTCTGAGCAGGGCCCCGTGTTGGACCATCCTGGGGACCAGAGCCACTGGAAGAGCCCTGACCTCAAGGCGCCCCAGCCTAGGGGGTGGGATGGGGTGGTGAGGAAGGCTAGTTCTGGGCAGTGTGGTGGGATGTAGGTGCACATCTGGGCATGACTGTGGGGGTCTGGGGAGGTCCCCTGGGGTAATGCTACTGAGCTGGCTTTCCCGGGATGACGCTGGAGGGCAGTGGAGGCAGAGGGGAGGCCAGTGTGCAGGGCACTCTGGCGTGGGGTCTGGCTGAGACCTGAGCGGGCCTCCATGCTTCCACCCCTCAACCAGCACACACGTCCTACCATCCCACCCAACCTCCACTGCTCCCCCTCCAGCCCCAGGCTGCTCCTTTCCCCTTCATTCGGTAAAGGAGAAAATATTCCCCATCCCACCCAGGGCAAGGCGTGAGGCAGCCAGGCCTGGCCTGGGATGCAGAGATGGCCCAGAGCCTGGGAGGGGCCACTCCTGTCCAGCCTGCCCTCCCTGCCAGAGTGCCTGCCACCAGCCCAGCCTCCTGGGAGAGATGCCAGCCCCCAGCCCTGTCCTCAGAGCCAGACTGATGCCTGCGTGTGAGGCCCAGCCTGCCTCCTCAAACTCCTCTTCCCATGAGCCACAATCCTCCCCCACACCCCCTCTGCCCCTCCCTCCAGTGCTGGGCTGTGTGGCCAGGGGACTGGACTGTGTGGCAGGATGACTCCACACAGCCTCCCCCAGGGAGTGGGGATTGGGGGAGGTAGGGTGGGAACCTGTCCCCTCCTATCCCCAGGGAAGCAGGTGGGAAGCCTGTGGCCTTGGCCCTACTCAGGAATTGCCTCTCCTAGCGAGGCGGCCTGGTGAGGTGGTACACTGTATCACTGTGGGGCCACTCCTGGGGACAGGGACAGGTGGGAGGGCAGGGTCCATGCTTCCAAGGTCCTCTGGACACGGGACCCAGGTGGCAGCTCCAAAACCTGGCTAGGATGGGCACAGTGGCTCATGCCAGTAATCCCAGCACTTTGGGAGCTGAGGTGGGTGGATCGTTTGAGCCCAGTAGTTCGAGACCAGTCTGGGCAACATGGTGAGACGCTATTTCTACAAAAAAATAAAAAATATAAATAAATAAAAATTAGTTGGGTGTGGTGGCACATGCCTATAGTCCCAGCTGAGGTGGGAGGCTCACCTGAGCCCAGGAGGTTGAGGCTGCAGTGCCACTGCACTCCAGCCTGGGCAACAGAGTGAGACCCTATCTCAAAACAAAAGAACAAAAACAAAACCTACCTAGCCCCTTCCTTGGGGCTGCCCCTTGAGGCCTTTGTCTGTTCATTCACCAATCATGCACTGGGAGTCTATTTTGTAACTCAGGTGCCCTGGAAGCAGAGCCCAGACCAAGGGAAGCGAGGGGTCCAGGCACACCCGCCAAGGGTGATCTAGGGGCAGGAATGGCAAGTGCAAAGGCCCTGAGGTGGGAATGTGTCTGCGGTGCTGGAGGAGACAGGAGGCCAGTGTGGCCAATGCTAAGCGGGGCTATGGAGAGAGAACTCAGGGAGCAGGCAGGTGGCACAGGCTCGGTCTGGGCCCTGCCCATGCAAGGATAGAAGGCATTTGCCTTGGGGGAGGTGGGATCTACAGAAAGTTCTGAGTGAAGAAGTGACATGACCTGACTCACACTGTGACTGCACCCCTCTGGTGTGATGATGGACACTGCCAGGCAAGCGCAGGAGAGGGAGGATGAGGCAGGCAGGGGCTGAGAAAGGCAGGATTCCAGGTGTGCTTTGCCAACAGAACCTTCAGGGCGGACGGGATGTGGGGCGAGCAGAGAGGCATCAGTGCGGACGACTCCAGGGTTGCTGGCCCAGGGAAGGAAAAAGAGACTTGGCAGGCGCATGAAGCCCCCTGCTGGGACGCCTGTGACACGTAGACCAGCGGCAGATCTTGCCCTCGCCATCCTAACCGTCAGCCTCACCCTCAGCAGGTCCTGCCCTACCCCCCAGACAGCAGCTGCCTCTGCCTGTTCTGGGTCCTGCCAAATCAGTGGCATGGCCGATGGCACACGGGGGATGGGTGTGGCGGGGGACCGGCCCCCTTCTCTTTGGCCTTATTCTGTGGGTGTGATTGGGGCATCACCATGGGCTTCTACCCCGGATGTGCCCTGTGGAGGTCTGCTCCCCAGCTCCCTGCCGGCCAGGGGTCCTCGCCTTACCTCTGCTCACCTGCCCTGCATACCCTCCCAGCAGGCGAGGTCATCCTCCTCACCCATCCCTGCTCTGTCAGCCTCAGCGGAACCCCTGGGTGCCCAGAGGCTCTGGCCACAGCCTCCAGCAGCTTCTTGCTCGGAGGGGCTGCTGGGAGCTGCCCTGAGGCCCCAACTAGGAGTTCCTTCCTCCCACGCCCTGGGGTTGGACTGGTAAGGGGGGAGAAGGGGAGGAATATGAGGTGTGGGATTCTCCCCACGGTGGAGGCTGCACCCTGTTCCCCCTGTTTGGCTGAGGTGCCCTGCACAGAGGTGCTTTGCATTTCTGGGTGATCATTCTCTAGGCGCCTGGTCCGTCCACACTGTCTGCAGTGACCCTGCTCCGTCAACTCTGAGCTTGGCATCTGAGGCCAGCCCTGTACACCCTGCCCTGTAGTCAGGCCCTGGCGGGGCCGCACCGACGTTTGGCTTTGCTCCACTCCCCTCCCGGTCTCTGCCCCTTTCCCCAGCTGGTCCCCTGGGAACAGGACACTTGCTGTGACCCAATGGCATCTGCTCATTTGTCCATTTGCTCCTCTCGTGAGCCACAAGGGTAGGGACTTCCTTGTATCATCTTGGGTCCCCGGGGTCTGGTGTGGGGCCAGGCATTTATTTAGCTGAACTGGACATCAGGGACATCAAGATGTACAGCCCCAAGGTCATGAGTGTTTTGTCAGGAGCCTTAGACCAGTCTGGCCCAGCCTGGAGCTCCCTCCGCATGTGGCCTCTTACAGGAGTGACGCAGCCCCATGCGGTGCTAACAGTGGCAGCACTGAACGTCGGATGGGGCTGAGCCCAGCCACTTCCACAATGGCTGTAGTTCCTATCTCTTCCTCCCTGCTAGGAAAATGTGAAATAGCCCAGAGTGGGGGGTGGGCAGAAGAGTTGCAGGCTACCCAATGCTGGGATGAGCAGAGTTGAGACCTGGGGAGCCAGGCCCAGGACACTTACAGGTGGGGATGTGAGCAGGCACCCCAGAGAGTGAGCACCCCAGCCAGCCAGCACCCATCTACTCCCTCACTGGGGTCTAAGTTCAGCCCCGAGAGCTAGGCTGTAGGTGGGTAGAGTCACAGCCCCAGCGCCGGTGTGAGGGGTGGCCCTGGGCCAGGTAGAGTGAGTATCTGCCTGCTGTCATGCCCCATCCACTTCTGCCGCCTCCCCAGTAGAGGACCCCCTCCATTTCACAGATGGGGAAAAGGGGCCCTGTTGTCTGAAGACTCTCCCATATCCTCCCCTGCCTCTGCCATCCCCTGCTTTGTCCCTTCCCTTCCAGAGGCCCTGCCTTGGTCCTGGTCACTTCCTGGTAGGCACTGGCTCTTCCTCTATGCCTGGGCTCAGGGCCTGGCCACCTAGTTTTCTGACTCCTCCCACTTACTCCCCTCCCCAGTTAACCTCTCTGATCCCAAGTGTGTCTCTCCAGCAGGGAGGAGGGCTATTGCAGCCAGGGATCCCCTTTCTGAGGCTTGGGACCCATTATTGGGCAGCTCTGGGACAGGTGGACGGTGACTTGGCCCACACTCGGTCCAGCTGCAACCCTGAGAACCCGCTTGGTTTGGCTGTGTCTCCTGGAGGCCCTCAGGTATTTCAACCTGTAGGACCCAAACCCAGTCCTTCACCTGCTGCAGGGCCAGCCCTGGACACCCCTGCCCCTGCCTGATTTGGAGCAGCCAATTCAGCCCCTGTCATTGGACTCTGGCCTCTTGTGCTCAGTACAGAGGGTCAGACCTTGGCCGCCTGCCTGGACAGGGCCAGGTCACCACCACCCACCCCCAGCTCCCTTGGGTTCCCAGCAAGATCCTGTCCTTCCTCTACTCACAGCTTCCTGGGCTCTGGGACCTGGGGTCCAGTCCCCACTCCTCATGGGGAGGAGTCCCCCCACGCCCCAAGCAGTTGACTCCCGCACTGGTGGGGGGTCCGCTCGCCCTCAAGCTCTGCAGGCCCAGCTTGGTCTCCCCAGCCTCTTCACTTTCTCCACGGCTCCCTCCACCTACCTGGCCCTGAGAGCTCCCCAGGGAAGCCATTTCCTCCCAGGAAGCCCCTCCTCTTCTCGCCCCTGCCCTTACACCAAGGCATCTGGGCCTACTCTTAGGGAGAGGGTGATGGTGGAGGAAAGGGAGCCTCAGAGGAGGCCAAGTGTAAAGCACCCGGTCTCCTGTGCCTCCCAGCCCCAAGACGACCTCTGGGCCACCGGAGTCCAGACCTGGTCCAAGAGGCGAGGTCCCCCTGGGAAGTGCCTGAAAAGTACCCTGGAGGACATTTGGAAACAAAGACAAGGTTTCCTGGTGCCCAGCAAGCCCTCCCCCACCTCCCCTGCTCCTGTCTTGGCCAGGGCCTAAGTCGCACTCACGGGGCAGGGGTGGGGCCGCCCAGGATCAGGACCACGGGGCTGGGGGGGTGGACAGCGCCCTTTCCACCTGGGTCGCTGGGCACTGGGGTGTCACTGGGAGGGACACGCAGGAGGGACAGACACGCTACCTCACTCACGGGCGAGAACTAAGCACCTACTGTGGACCCGGCGTCTAGGCCCGCGACAACGCCAGTCTTCGCCCCCCAGGGGCCTCGTCCCGGGGCCGCGGAGGCCACGTGCAGTTCCCCGCCCACCCTGAGGTACCGGCCCCGCCCCACGCCCAGCTCGGACCTCCAGGATTGCGGGACCCGCCGGGGAGGGGCGGGGCCGGGGCGGGGCCAGGAGGAGGGCGGACTGGGCGGGCGCGGGCGGGACGGAGCTGCGGCGGCGGCGGGTCCCGCGGGCGGGAGCGCCTGGCGGCCGAGTCAAGCCGCCGCCTCGACCCAGGGCCCGCGGGCCAGGAGAGCGCTCGGCGGGTAAGCCTCGGCGGCGGGTCTCGGCGGGTCTCGGGGGTCTCGCGGGGGGGCGGTCTCCGCGTCTGGAAGGGGCTCGGCGGGCCTTGGCGGTCTGGGGGCTCTCGGCGGGTCTCGGGGGTCTCGGGGGAGTCTCGGGGTCCCGACAGGTCTCGGCGGGTCTCGGGGGTCTCGGGGGAGTCTCCGGGGAGTCTCAGGGGTCCCGGCAGGTCTTGGCAGGTCTCGGGGGAGTCTCAGGGTCCCGGCAGGTATGGGCGGGTGTCGGGGGTCTCGGGTGCGCAGCAGCCTCCCCCGGGCCCCGGGGCCTCCGTGTCCTTGCCAAAGGACGCACGGGGCCTGGGCACGGCGGGCAGTGCCCGAGGGAGCGCGGCTTCGGGGCGGGGGCCGGGTGTCCCTTGCCGGGGGCTCAGGGGTGGGAGGCGGTGCGACGCGTCTGTTTCGCACCCCTCGCGCCCCTCTGGCCCCGCGGCGGGGCCCCTTTACGCGACCCTCCCCACAAGACTCAAAGGCTGCGGCGGGCACTCGCTCTCCGCCCTTCCCGGAATCCAAACTTCCCTCTGCAGCGGCCGCGCTTCACGGAGGGCAAGAAAAGCCGCCCACTGGCGCTGATTCACACTGAAGTGTGAGTGACTGATAGCCGGGCGTCTGAGACTCTCATGGGCAACAGGGAATCTCAGGGGTGGCAGAGGGACTGGAGGAGTTAGGGGGCGGGGACAGCCCCTTCCACCTGTACGCTGGCCTCCCTGCAGCCCAGCACTTTCCCGCTGCTCTGGGCCTCGGCTCCCTGGGGGTATTGAGGGCCTGAGCCCTGCTGTGGGGAGCCTTCTGCTGGTGCTCCTTTCCGTGAGCACCTCCTATCCCCTCTCTGTGCCTCAGTTTGCTCATCTGTTGACACTGGGGACAGCTGTGCCTCCTGGTCTAGTGGCCACACTTAAGTCCTTCGAATTGGCTGTGGCCAGGGGCGGGTACTCCGTGTGGGCTGCTGGGGTGGACAGCCTGCCTGGATGACATGTGTGTGGCCTTGCAGGTGACATGGGCCGGTGATGCAATGTGTAGAATTGTTTCCACAACCGCCTGAAGGCAGGGCCCACAGCCTCCTCCTTGCCGAAGCAAGCCTCTGGGTTCAGGTCAGCCCTGCACCAACTCCATGAGCCTGGACAAGCTCCTGCCCTCACTGGCTCAGGCCCTGTGGGACCAGAGGAGGGGCTGGGCTCCACCCCCTCCTGGTTCTTCCCACTCTGTCCACTGTCTCCTCTACGTAGACACCGTCGAAGGGCCCTCTTGGAGCCCAACCTCAGGGCCCCACTCCAGGCACTCCACTCCTGGCAGGACAGGAGGCCTGGGACGAGGGCTGCAAGGGAGTGAGGATTCTGTCTATCCCCTCTCCCTGCCACCCGCCAGGCTCCCTTTGCCTGGCTCTGTGCCCTGCGTTAGGCACACCCTGGAGGGGGCAGGCAGAAGGAAGACAGATAGGCAGCCGTGTCTAGGAACTGCCAGCCAGGGCCATCTGGTGAGAGGGGTGCTGACAGGGGACCTGGCCTTTCAGGGAGTCCCCAGGCCTCCAGGATCATGGGGGAGCCCACCAAGGAGGCTGGCCTGAAGAGGCAGACAGAGGGAGGACAGGCTCTGGGCCTGCCTTGGCCCTTTCTGCCCACATGGACAGAGGAAGCAGGGTGCTGAGTCAGCTGGAGCTCCCCACCCCCCAGGGATGCACGCACACAAGCAGGCCCACAGACGGGAAGTCCAGGGGCCCAGAGAGACGAGATGGCCAGCCTTGGTTCCTGAGGGGCAGGGAGGAAGGGCGCAAACTCAGCCAGGATCTTGGGTGTGAACTCAGATGCCACCAGTTTCCAGCTGTGTGATCATGGCCAGGAGGCTTCCCCCTGCCACCCCTCCGTTTTCTCATCCATGACCTGAGGGCTGTGAAGCACTTTGTACCTGGTGGGTGGCTATGAGTGTCCGTAGGGGGGATGGTGGTGGTGGTGACATGTGCTTGGTATTCAGTGACAGTGGGTCGCTGAGGGTGCTCTCCCTGGTCCTCAGGGCCGCTGTATGTCCTGTTTTGGGTGGGGGCAGGGACTGGCCTGGAGAGGCCTGGGTAAAGGCCAAGGCTCCCAGGTTCCTGCCCACATTGGACTAAGGCCTGAGTCCATCAGGAGTGGCCAGTGTTGGGCAGCCCCTGGGTCTTCCTGCGTTCTGTCCTCAAAAGCTCCCTTGTGGGGACACCCCAGGTCAGTGACTATGTGTGGCAGGCTCTGCCCTCCTCACTCTCTGTCCTCTCTTGACCTCATGATCTGCCCACCTCCCAAAGTGCTGGGATTACAGGCGTGAGCCCCCACGCCTGGCAGAGTATATAGTTCTTTAATAACCGGGTGGCTTGGCCATCACTGTGCAGCCTGGGTGGGTGAGGAGAAGGGCAGGCTGGCGGGGAAAAGACGGGGAATTTGCCACAAGGTGAGAGCTGTCCTACCCCAGACGCAGTGGAGCGGCTCCCACCCCTCGGGCCAATGAATACAGGGTGGGCCGTCAGGAGGAGGGATCTGAGCCGGGCGGGCAGCCATGCAGGTACAGACAGACTAAGCCAAAGGCGGGCGGTAGGGAGGGTGGGAGACCAGTTTGACGGGAGTGGCCTTTGCATGCCAGGTGTGGTGAGGGTATGGAGGGGCCTGGGAGGCAAGGAGAAGGGGCCGTGCAGACCCTGGAATCCTTCCTCCAGGATAGGCGGCTCCTCCCCAGAAGGCCTCTGCATTCTTCTGGTGGCCCTGTCTGGACACCGAGGGGCTGGAGACAGTCCCACGTGTGGGCTGCCTAAGTCCCAGAGGGGGTGGTAGGGAGCATTTCAGGCTCACTGGCTGGCCCCCTTCCCTGGGGCACTGGACCCTCCTCACCACCCCTTGGCCTGTGCACGGGAGGGTAGACAGGATGGTGCCAAGAGCAAGGGACTGGCCCTCAGCCACGGGCCAGGAGACCTGAGCCTTGTAGGCGAATTGCACTTCCTGACCCTCAGTTTCCTGATCTGCAAAACGGGATGACAGAAGTCCCTGGCTCTGGACCACGCTGCTGGATTTGGGTTCCGTGCCGGGCCCCTGACTACACTCATCCTTCAAGGGTGACGCGAGAGAAGCACGTGCCCAGGTTCGGGGCGGGTGGAGACCTGGGTCAGACAGGAGTTCGAGGTGGTGCAGGCTCCCAGGAGGGGAGAAAGGTGCCCTCCCCCAACCTTCTCTCTTCTCCCCAGGCTCTGTAACTTCCAAGGCCATGAGAGTGGTCAGGCCCTGCTTGGTTTCCCGGCCCCCGATCACAGATCGTGCTGGAACTGCTGGCCCCAACGCCCTGAGGTGACTGGCCCTTTCTTCATGGATTCCGGTCACATCTGGTCCATCTTTGTCAGCTGGCCTCTGGGAAGAATGTGGGCTCGGCCACCTGGAGCAGTTGCCTGGGGAGATCAGAGGAGCCCTGAGGGGTTGGCAGAGCGCCCTCGTGGTATCCATACCCCCATCCCTGTAGCTGAGCTGATTCCAAGAAGTGCCCTCTGCTTCCTTGTGAATCAGATGTTTACTGCGCTCCTGCTGAGCCTGCTCCAGGCAGCTGGGTGGGGCGTAGGGTGCCTGTCTGCTCAAGCCTGCAGAGGGAGGCCAGCTCCCCACCCCAGGGTCAGCCAGGCTGGCAGGCAACAGCCTCAAGAAGGCAGTGTGCGTGCCATGGCACACGGGGCTGAGGCCGCGAGGCAGGGGCCGAGGGAAGCGGCACAGAGCTTCTCTCAGGCACCAGAGGGGAGCTGAGTTCTGGGCTCAGAGCAGGCTTCGTCTGAGGGCTTCAGCGTCCTCCTTGTGAAATGGGGTGAAAGTAGGTCTAACTCATGGGAGGCCAGATCCCCAGGCCCGAGCTAGGGCCTCCCTGCCCTTGACACTGTGTGAATGGGCAGCTCCGTTTGGGGGAGTTCCTTCAGCCTCGATCCAGGGGTGTTGTAATCTAGTGATGCTCTTCTGTGGCATTTGAGGGTCCTGGGTCCCCATGCCCTGCAGCCCTGTCCACTGTCCTGAGCTAGGCATAGGGGTGGGCCCTTGCTGCTGGCTGCCCCTGGACAAGGTGGGAAGGGATCAGGGGTCATTCTGGGAGCCTGGAATGCTGGGCGGTCCTTGGCTTTTTCTCAGCCTTGGGAGTCTGGGGCAGTGGTGCGCCTTTACCACCCACCCTGGTTTCTGCCTCTGGGGCAGTGGTGGACCTCCTTCAGAAGGCTGCTGCCCAGCCCCGGGCCCCACTCATGCAACACTGGGTGCCTGTGTACTGGGCCCTGGGCTAGGCATGCACTGCAAGAGCAGACAGGCCACAGGTCAGAGGGCAGGACCGCTGGCAGGTGCCCATGGGTAGCAGCTCACCTGCCTGGCCCACCTTGCCACTCTCTCCCTTAGAAGCAATTTCAGCTGAAGACATAAGTGTCTGTCCTGCTTGGTGCTCAGGGTACCCTCCCTGGCCACCCCCAACTCCACCCTGAGCTGGGTGCCTTCCTGAGCCCCCAGCCTGGTCTATGGCCACCATGCATGTTGACCCATCCATGGTGACCTGTCCGCCTGCCCCTCCTGCTTGGGAACTCAGGAAGGTCAGGGTCGCGTCTGAGAGCCCATGCCCTGGTGGTGCCCACGTGGGCCTGTCCCAGAGGAAGGGTGAGGGGAGTGCCGGCTCTCCCAGCCTCCCACTCCTGGGCAGGGAAGTGGCGCGGGCAACGGGCGGGCTGTGCCAAGCTCTTTGAAGGTGGCTTGTCACTCCCCCCACCTGTGTTTAACTCTACTGAGCATCAGAGCCTAATGTGCCAGTCAGCCTGGCAGCTGCCGCCCAGTTGGTGGAGTTTCCAATCAGATAATATCAGACTGTTGTGCTTTGGTCTCCCACGAAACTCTTCAGGTTTCCATCACAGCCTCCTCCCTTCCCCCTGCGGGCTGCGCTGTGACAGCCACCGCTGCCTGCCACCCGGCAGCAGGGACCCAGCTGCTTCTGGGCCTGGTCTCGGTGGCCCTGGCAGCGGTAGATAGGGAGGACCAAAGCCTGGTGAGGAAGAGCCGCCGAGCGGAGTCGGTGTCCCCTGTCCTCTCCCTGAACGAAAGTGCTTTCTTTCTCTGTAGCTGCTCTTCCTAAACGTGTGTTGGCTTGAGATTGGAGTTAGCCTGGCCTACCTGTGCCACCAGGGCTTTGGGTCCCAAAGAGCTGGCACCTGAGGCAAGTCCAAGCAAAAGGCCGGATTTCTCACCATTAGGAGGGCAATGGGGAAAGATCCAGAAAAGCTGGCCTGGGAGCCCTGAGTGGCAGGTGGGGGTACACAGCCCTGCATGGAGACCAGGCTCAGAGCCAGAGGAGGCAGGCCAGGAAACTCGGCACTCATCTCCTCTCTCGGAAACGCCCCTCCCTGACCCCAGCTGCTTCCTCTCCTCCTACTCGAGGCCAGAAAGGGAAGCCCCTTTCCAGTGGGGTGAGTGGCTGGCGCTGCCCGAGGCGGTCCGCTGATGGCTGGGCAGATAGTGCTGGGGCCTGGCCTGGCAGGCAGATCAGTGGTCAGCAGAGTGAGTTTGACCAGGGCAGAGGGGAAGATGACGGGGGTGCATCCCCCGAGCTGGGGGAAGTGACTTCCCGTTGCCATCACCTCTTGTGGCCTCAGGCGTTCCCAGGCTGAGACCTCTAGGAACACAGGTGCTGGGTGGCTCAGGTGGCTCCACCAGGCCAGGCCGTGTGACCTGGGCATCCTCCGCCTTCTCTGGGCAGGGCAGGGACAGGAAGTGCAGCCTCATGGGATGCGTGAGGGTGAGGGTGTGCCCATCCAGCTGCTGGGGCGGGGTGTGTGGGAGTGGCCCCCCAGGAGCTGCACGCAGCACGGGGCCTGGGAAACTCCAAAGCCGGCGTCAGGTCATCGAGGCCTCCGGGCTGATTAGGACTAATGGCGCTCAGGGGTGCAGCCTCAGCCTCCACCCGCCACCCGTACCCGCCCTGCCTCAGGACTTCGTTCCTGCTGTACCCCTGCTGGCTGCCTGTCCCCACAGGTGGCTCCTTCCTCCCCACCGGAGGAGCTGCTCCCAGGCGGGACCCTGGGGGTGGAATCTCTGAAATGCCTTCCCCTCGGGACCCTCACCGCGACTGGACTTCGCTCAGCTTCAGACCCTGGGCTGCAGCTGCCTAATGAGGTGGGATGGGGCCCTGGGTGTGTAAAGTGGAGGGAGGGGCAGTGGCCACCTCTGAGCCCTGAGCCATCCTGGGGTCCTGGGTGCTGGCTTCAGGAAGGTTTGCTACTTGGGGCAGGGGCTCTCTGAGATCAACCTTCCCATTTTCTTGAGGATGTGACCAGGAGGGTGATGTTTTGTGGTCGGGGTGGCTGTGCCTGCCTCTGGGGCAGGAAGTTGCTGGGGAAGGAAGAAGATTGAGAAAGGACCCCCAACCCCCACCTCTGCAGAGGATCTAGCGGGCCTTGCCCCATGCCAGGGTTCCTGCCGGCTGGCATCAAGGGGACAGCTATTCCAGGGCTGGTGTCCTGAGAAGCAGGGGGGACCCACTTGGGACCCAGGCCCCCTCGAAGACCTACCCAGAGCCACCCTTGCGGCAGGCAGGGTCCTGGCCCTTCCAGTACGAAGCTGGGAAAAGGCAGCACCAAAGATGCCAGGGGCGCCTCACGGATCCCCCCGGGGGGGCCTCCTTGAGGGGGAGCAGGAGGAGGGGCCAGGCTGAGGGCTCAGGCTGTGTGAAAGACACCCTGGTTTTGAAAAGGGAGAGGGGCTAGAGAGGTGGGGCCCGAGGGCCTGGTGGGGCTTCCAGCAGGGGCTGGCTTATGTTTTCAAGCTTACTCTGGGGTCTGGAGACCACTGCCGAACATACGCCCTCCAAGCAGTGGCCACAAGAAGACCATGAGGAGCTCGGGCGGGGTCTGGGGAAAGGGTGGGGGCTGCCACAGACAGAAGTGGGTTCGTCGAGGCTGCAGAAGGCTGGGTGGGAGTGGAGGAGGTGACGTGACCAGGATGGGGTCGGTGACCCCTGCACAGGGGCTACAGGGGATGAAAGGGGAGGGAGCAGCAGACTGCTGAGATTGGGGTGGCATTGGCCCTGGTGGGACTGACTGTCCCCGGCTCAGTCTCCCTCCTCCTTGGCTGGCTTTTCTGGCAGACAGTGGCATGGTCCAGAGCTGCCTCCCTGGGGAGGGAAAGGGCATCCCCAAGTCACTCCTGAGGCTGTGTCCCCAGAGTGTCCACCGGGCTGTGCCACCTCCCTGTCTGATGCAGCCTGCCCCTGCCTGAGCTGCCCGAGCCTGCCCCGTGGCTGCTTCCCAGCCAGGAGGAGGCCCTAGGGGCAGACACCGGCGGGCTTGCTTACAGGCCCTGCTGACTCCAGAGTCTTACTGCCACCCGAGCAGTACGTGGAGGTGCTTGTCCTGTGACCGCCCCCCCCCCGGGCTGATGACGGGCCAGGTGGCACTTCACCTGGGGGCTCTGGGGAGGCTGTCTCGGGCTCCCGTGCCAGGGGTGGGTGCAGGGAGGCTGGGCAGGCAGGAGAGCTCAGGCCTCGGCTCCCACGGGTCTGGGGCTGTGGTGGTTGGGGACCCTAACTAGAGCCATTCACCCCTCTGAGGAAGGACCTGGCCTGGAGCGCCATCCCCAGGGAGCAGTAAGGGCATTGGGGGTGTCTTGGGGTGACCTGGCCGGGGGCAGAAGGCCAGGCGGGAGTTTGCAGGTGGGGAACGGCTGGAGGAACTCGTGGAACAGCCTGAGAGGTGTCCGGCGAGGTAGGGCATGGGTGGCCTTGAGCCCTGAGGCTGAGCGGAGCTGTCTTTGAGAGCCACCTCTGCTGAGGCTGCAGCAGAAAGGCTGTGACAGGCTGGCTCCGAGGGAGGAAGGAGCTGGGCTGTGGGCGGCCTGGCCTTGGGAAGGGGGCTGGACAGTTGCATGGTTGGGGGCGGAGAGGAGGAGACCCTGATCCAGACTCCACCCCTGCCTGTCTTGACCGCGGAGGACCGGGGCCCAGACTGCAGGGGTGCAGAGAGGCTGCGGCAGAGGCTGGGGGCTGGGCTCCTTTCCCGGCAGGCCGGGCCCACCGCCAGACCCTTGTCCTCACTGGGCCTCTCTGAACAGTGGAGCGTTGTGAGGGGCCTGGGAACGTTCAGGTCACCCAGGCCCCCTCTGGGCCACGCTGAGGGTGAGGACAGGAGCCAGCGGGCATGAGTCATCCTGTCCCCTGCCCGGGCCCCGAGGCTCTGGGGTTCCCAGGCTGAGGAGGAACACACAGCTCTCGGTTCCCCAACCCGGGGTCTGGCCCACTCCTTCTTCCTTCTTTTTGCCTCTCTGTCAGCACCTCTTCCTGTTGCCTCCCTCTTGCTCCTGGGCCTGCCTGCATCTCCCTTCCCCTGTCCGGCCAGAGACCCCGGCCTGGGAGTGGCTGTGGCCTGCTCTCCCACCCCGATGCCTGCTGCAGCCCCAGCAGAGGGGCTGGCCTGTCGCCTTGAGCCCACCTGTGCTGGCCTGTGAGTGGCCCCAGGAGGAAGCCAGCGCAAGGACAAGACCCAGCCTAGACAGGAAACCTCCTGAGGCCAACCTAAAATTTACTAAGGAATAAAAAATGACAAGAAGCAGAAGGCAAGGGAATAGAATAATAAACCCAGAGAGTAAAAACGAACAACATCCGGGAAAAAAACCCATGTTAGAAAACAGTTTAAAAATATTAGCCAGGCGTGGTGGCTCATGCCTGTAATCCCAGCACTTTGGGAGGCCAAGGCGGGTGGATTAGTTGAGGTCAGGAGTTCAAGACCAGCCTGACCACCGTGGTGAAACCCCGGCTCTACTAAAAATACAAAAATAAGCCAGGCATGTTGGCGCATGCTTGTAATCCCAGCTACTCGGGAGGCTGAGACGTGAGAATTGCTTGAAACTGGGAGGCAGAGGTTGGAGTGAGCAAAGATTGTGCCACTGCACTCCAGCCTGGGTGACAGAGAGACCTGATCTCAAAAAAAAAGGGGCCGGGCGCAGTGGCTCACACTTGTAATCCCAGCACTTTGGGAGGCCGAGGCCGGCAGATCACCTGAGGTCAGGAGTTCAAGACCAGCCTGGCCAACATAGTGAAACCCTGTCTCTACTAAAAATACAAATTAGCTGGGTGTGGTGGTATGACCTGTAATCCCAGCTATAGGAGGCTGAGGCAGGAGAAGTGCTTGAACCAAGGAGACAGAGGTTGCAATGAGCCAAGATCGTGCCACTGCATTCTAGCCTGGGCACCAAAGTGAGACTCTGTCTCAAAAAAATATATGTGTGTGTGTGTGTGTGTGTGTGTGTGTGTGTGTGTGTATGTATATATGTGTGTGTATATATGTGTATGTGTATATATATGTGTATATGTATATATATGTTTGTATATATGTGTATATATATATGTATGTGTGTGTGTGTATATATATGTGTATATATGTATATATGTGTATATGTATATATATGTTTGTATATATGTGTATATATGTGTATATATGTGTATGTATGTGGTGTGTGTATATATATATGTATATGTGTGTGTGTGTGTGTATATATATATGTATATATGTATGTATGTATATCTATATACACACACACACGTAACGTTAGGGAAAAAGGATCACAGCGAATGCATTAAGGCAGCAGAAAGACCTAACCCTCAAGTGCTGAAATGAGTGGACAGAGGGAAGGGACCCTGTTGTGCTGACTCAGCCTTGGTGGGTCCCAGCCTGTGGCACCCGCTGACAGATGGTGACAGGGTTCCTGGGTAAGCGAGGGGCCCAAGGACCCTCAGTGGTGCACAGAGGAGCCATGATGGGGGCCACGCCTGGGCCCCAGCGTCCTTTGCCCTGACCCAGGAGCTTGTCCAGATAAAACGCCGTAAAGTGCCTGGGCTGAGCCCGAGGTGTGTGCAGGAGCTGCATGGTTTTGTGCGGTCCAAGGGAGGCCGCCAAGACCGCCACGGTACGAAAAGTACCACGGTGATGAGTGAAAGGGACAGGCGGCGCAGGGCTCTCAGGCCACTTACTGCTATACGGTCCCAAGGCCCACCCTGTAGGGCTTACACAGCTGCCTACACAGGGTGCCCATCGTGGTGGCTCCTGACCTCTGCCGTTGGCTCTGGGTGGGAGCAGTGGGGCTGGGTTTCTCTGACTGGCGCCCCTACTGCATGCCACCCCAGCAGGAGCCCCAGGGCCTCGGCATCTCCACTCTGTTCCCTTGTTATCTCGCCCTGGTGCTGGGATCCGGGATAAGCAGGGTGCTGTCCACTTCCAGGGCCTAGGGACCCAGTGCTGGGCCAAGTGCCTATGGCAGAGTGCTTGGGAGCTGTCTGGTTTGGTCCTCAGAGTCCTGTTGCTAATAAGCGTGGAGGGGGAGGACGGAGCAAGGCTCAGGGAGTGAAGTGACTTGCCCCTAGTCTCCAGCTTAAGGGACCAAGGCTGGGACTGGAGCCCAGGCGTGAATGGTGCCCAGGAGCTCATCCCAGGGAAGGTCTGAGATGCTGTCTGCCTCACCTGGGCATGTGGCCTGGACTGGCAGTTCTAACTAAGACCCACCTCTGTCTCTCATGTCAGAAGGTGGGTGCCTTCTCTTACCTGCAACCCCAGGGCCTTTGCACAAGCTATGCTCTGTCTGACTCTATGTAATCCCATGCTTGGCTAACTCATGTGGAAGATTGCTCCCAGGACGCTGGCGGATGTGTCAACGTGTCTGGGTGGAACAGATGTCACAAGGATGTGAGTCAGAGGTGGCTGCCTCCCTAACAGATTGGGAGCCCAGACAGAGGGTGACAGTAGCTTGGATCCCGGGTGCAGGGTGTGGCGTTTGCCTGTAGGTGCTGTGCCTGAGTGCCTCCCCTGTGCCCGATACCATGAGACTTCAGGCCGAGTGGAGTGACACTGTGCAAGAGAGACAGGGTCCGGCTGACCAGCCTCACCATGACTCCAGCCGAGCCCACTGAATAGGTGGGCTACCTTCCACCATTCCCTGGCCTCGGTTTCCTGCTCTCGGTTTCCTCAGCTGCCTGGTGGGTTCCACTGCAACTCTCTGGGGGTCTCCTTCTGTCCCGGCACCGCCTGCTCCTGTTCCTCATCCGAGTCTCTGCGGATGCGTGGACCCCGCCCTCTGTGCAGCCTCAGCACTAAGTCCTGGGTCCAGCAGCTCCGGGACTGCCCCAGTTACTCCTGGGGAAACTGAGGACTGGAGCTCTGCTTCTTTGCCCGAGTTTTCTCTAGGGTGAGCACCAGACCACTCTTTCTTCAAGGGAACCAGCAGCATTGAGCGGGACCCAAAAGGGGGCTGTGGCCTGGGAGAGCTTCCCAACCAGCCTCCCCAGGGGCTCTTGGGATCAGTTTAAAACAGAAGCAGCTCCTAACTCCTCAAGGGTGGGCTGGAGCCCCTGCTTCCCCAGGCCTTCCTGTCCTGCTGAGCTGGGCCCTGCGGTAGCTTCCTCCCTGTACCCCACATGGCGTGGCCCACCCTGTGTCCCCTGGCCTCCTACCCAGAGCCCTGCCCCCTCCACAGAGGCCAGGGCCCACCCCCACTGTCCTTAAGGTTGGTGGGCTTCCTTCTGAGAGTGGGCCTGGGGTTTCTCCTCTCCTTCTTACCCACCCCAGAGCCAGGCTCAGCAGGAAATGCCTGGTAGGGGCCCTGCCAGGGCCATAAGGCTTTCAGGGCACCCTCAGGTTGTGTTGTAGGGGTGGGCCAGGTGGCCCCAGGCTCTGGGTGACACTAGCCACGCTGGCTGGGTAGCCAAGCGTTGCAGCTCACTCAGCCTCGAGGTCCTAATCGGGAGAACAAAACGAGCAGTTGGCGATGGAGCGGGCACAGAGCTGGCGCACTCAGAACACAGTGGACATTTCCTTGGGGGCTCCCTGCCCCTCCCTTGGTCCAGCAGCCTAGCCCTCCTATCACAAGAGGTGACTGTGGGCAGGGAAGCACCCCCAACCTTCACACCCACTGTGCCCGTGGCCCAGGCGTCCCACGCATCCCAGGAGGGTCTGGTTGGCGGGAGCCCTCTGCTTCTGCTTCCTCTAGATGAGGAAGGTGCCCGGCAGATTTCCTACCTAAGCACACCCCCTGGGCCCGGAGGGTCAGCAGCCAGGCTGGTGTGGGCGTGGGGTGTCCCGGCCACAGCTGATCTGCTCAGTGACTGCTGCTGCCCTTGCCTATCGATGAGGATGCTGGGGCCGGGAGGTCACCCTGGAGGCCCAGGCTGCGCTTGGTGGGTGCAGAGCCCCTGGAGTGCCCCCCTCCTGCAGCCAGGGGTCCCCCGAGATGGAAGAAGTGGGGTGCCTGGGGCTGGCCAGATGGTGTAATTCAGCACATGAGCCCATGAGCTAGGCCCCACGGAGAGTAGGGGTTCCAGCCAGCTGGGGTGTGGACGAGGTCTGTTCATGCTGCAGGAGGCACCTGGTGCCAGTGTCACACTGGGCACTGTTCAGGCACCAAGGACATGGGGGACGGACATGCAGAGATCTCTCCCCACAGAACTGGTGTCAGGGGAGGGGCAGATAGCCAACAGACATGCTGAAAATGCCACAGCGTCGGGGGGTGCCGGGTGGGGGCTGCCTCTCTGAGGAGTGGGGGCCCTGCCGTGGACTGAGCCTGTGTGGGAGAAGGCCCAGGGCCTGCGGATTGGGGTCCAGCCCAGGGGAGTGTGGTCTAGATGAGGGGCCAAGGGGCAAGGGCGGGGCAGAGGAGGTGGAGAGGGTGGCGTTCCAGGTGGAGGGCACTGCTGCTGCCAAGGTGCAGAGAGGGAAGGGGTGTGGCACTGGGAATGTGGCTCTGTCTGTGCCAAGGGCCGCGGGGAGACGCCTGTTCTGGAGGCCAGGCCCGCAGGCAGGAAGGAAAAGCACGGCCGGACGCTGAGCTGGGCGGTTCCTCCCTTCCCTTGACACTAGAGCAAGCCCAGCAGCCAGCTGCCCCACCCCCACTGCTCAAGTGAGGAAACTGAGGCTCAGAGTGGGCCACAGGCCAGGAGGAGGGGATTGAGCCAGGCTTGTTCCCACCAAAGCCTGCACGCTGACCACGGCTCTATTCTGCCTGCCAAGGTCACATGCATAGAGCGGCCCTCTCTGGTGGGAGCCACTGGGTGGGGCAGGACTGCCGCCCCTCTCGGGACCCTGCGGGGCTGGGGCATAGGGTGCCCAGGCTGGCTGCGGTGAGGGACAGTGAAACCCTTCAGGCCAGGAGAGGCGAGGCAGGGTGGGGAGGAGGTGGGCCCCAGCCTTGGGTGGGAGCCAGGAACTTGGGGTGGTGGACCCGGCCCACCCCACACATCAGGACTCTGGAGAATTTTTTCTCAAGTGATTAAAAGGTAGAAACTCGTCAGTGTTTGTGAAGAACTGAAGTGTGAATCCTGAGCCGCCTCTGCTGCTTGTGGTTTGAGACTGGAGAGTGGCTCCAGGCGAGCAGCAGTGCCAGCCGTGGCTTCCCCCAGACCCACCTCGCCTTGCCTCACTTCACTGTCTCCAGCCCCACCTCACCGTCTCCAGCCCCACCTCACCCTCACCACCCTCGGCCTGGAAGCCCGCCCTGGCCTCCTCCCTCCAGCCAGTGTACGGCCCCTGCCTGGCCAGGCCAGAGCTCCGCCTAGGGCAACCCTCTTCCAGGTGTGGAGGCCCCCGGGCAGTCCCGACTCCCATGCCCATCTCAAGAACCTTTCCTGGGGACAGAGACACCAGGCCTGAGAGAGGAAGGCCCAGTGGGGCATCCGGAGATGTGAGAACATTGCAGCTTCCCTCTGAGGACAGAGCTTGAGGGCCAAGCATCCACCAACAGCTTGGCCTTGCTCTCTGAAGCCCAGGTGCCATGCAGGCAGCTGTGCCTACAGGGCCCTTGTCTGCATTTTTCTTAATTCCCTTTGTCCGTTGCACACAGCAGTGGCCTGACCGTCTCTGCCTCCACCCTGCACCGCTCTGTGAAGCCCCTGGGGCCTCTGAGCCCCGAACACACTGCGTCTTCTGGGAACACTGCTGTCTCCAGTGCACCAGCCTTTCTCTGTTTTGCAGCGAGCAGCCTCACGTGCGTGCCCAGGGCTGGCCGGCGGCTTGTCTCACTGGGCAGAGGTCCAGGGGTGTGGAAGGGCCTCAGCTGCGGCCGTGCTGCACTCCAGTTCTTTGAAAACCTCTCTCATTGAGAGTCCAATTAGCGCTAAGTCACAATTTTTTCACTCTGAGCTCTGAAGGATGTACTGGTTACAACCTCGCTGGGGTCTGGCCTCATGTATGGACATGACAGTGAACTCATCTGTTTGTCTGTCTGTCCTTCTCTTGGGTCCTGCCATGGGCCTGGTGCCCATCTGGGCCTTGGAGATTCAGTGGGACTTGGACCCGTGGGGAGTGCCAGGGACACATGGGGTAATGCTGGTGGCAGAACTGTGCCATTGACTTGGAGATTTCAGAGAAGAGGGCAAGGTTCTAGATGGTTCCATCCTCAAAGGATGAGGGAGCGTTTGGTTTCCATGTGGAGGTGACTGCAGGTACCAGGATGGGGCAAGTGCATGACAGGTCCAGTGTCGGGGGCCCAGGGCAGGAAGGGAAAGCAGGCGCCGCACCCCATCCACGTGGACAGGGAACCAACCTCGCTGCTGCGCCGTGGTGAATGTGGCCTGAGACAAGGAAGGGCAGGCCAAAGGGGTGAACGCGAGGCCAGGAGGTGGGGTCAGCAAGCCTGGCGGGTGTGGGTCAGGCATGGCAGGTGAGGCTGGTGGACCCTGTGTGCAGGAGGGTGGGAGGTGGAGAGCCCAGCCTTCAGGAGGCTGTGGGCACCTGCGGAGGCAAGCTCAGCAGTGCCCGCCCAGGTTGGTCACAGCCTTGTGGAGCCTGTCTCTCCCTGACAGGCACGCCCACACTCGGGATCAGACTAAGTGGAGCCTGCAGTTCATCCTGGGGAAGGACTCAGGTGAGTCCCCGTGTGGATTCATTTCCTGGGGCTGCCCTAAGAAAGTTCCACACACGAGGGGCCTGAAAACAACAGAAATTTACTCTCATGATTCTGGAGGCCAGAAGTCCAAAGCTGAGGGGTCTACAGGGCTGTGTTGCCCCGGTGGCTCTGGGGAAGCCCCTTCCTCCCCTCCCAGCTTCTGCTGGTGGCCGGCGATCCTCGGTGCCCTTGGTGTGTGGCCACATCCCTCCAGCCTCTTTTCCATCCTTACATGGTCCTTTCCAGGCATCTTCTCCTACTCCATCTCTTACAGGACAGTTGCCTTGGATTTAGGGCCCACTTGGTCAATCCAGGATGTGCTGCTTAACTTAGTTACATCGAAGACCCTTTTTCCAAATAAGGTCGTGTTCACAGGTTCTGGGGATTAGGATGTGGACAAAGCTTTTGGGGGCCACCTTTCAGCCCACTACAACATGTGGCCCCAGGCAGGGTCCTTCTTTCTAGGGTTCCCTCTCCCTCTATCCCAGTTGGGTAGTGCCCAGTCCGAGTTCCCGGGAATCCTCCCAGTCCTGCATCATGGGACAGCAATCAGAATGGGGCATAGAGGGAAGGGGCTTCTGGCTGGGGAGAGCCTGGGAGGGTCCCAGGGATGGCTGTGGAGCGGACCCAGGCCCCATGGGAGGGGCTCATGCAAAACATCTTATTTTGAGAGCTTGAGATTTTCCCTGGGGGTGCCCGCCTTCCCCCAGGCTCTGTGCCCACCCACCCTCCTAGGGCTCAGTGCCCACCTTCCCCCAGGCTCTGTGCCCACCCACCCTCCTAGGGCTCAGTGCCCACCTTCCCCCAGGCTCTGTGCCCACCCACCCTCCTAGGGCTCAGTGCCCACCTTCCCCCAGGCTCTGTGCCCACCCACCCTCCTAGGGCTCAGTGCCCACCTTCCCCCAGGCTCTGTGCCCACCCACCCTCCTAGGGCTCAGTGCCCGCCTTCCCCCAGGCTCTGTGCCCACCCACCCTCCTAGGGCTCAGTGCCCGCCTTCCCCCAGGCTCTGTGCCCACCCACCCTCCTAGGGCTCAGTGCCCGCCTTCCCCCAGGCTCTGTGCCCACCCACCCTCCTAGGGCTCAGTGCCCGCCTTCCCCCAGGCTCTGTGCCCACCCACCCTCCTAGGGCTCAGTGCCCACCTTCCCCCAGGCTCTGTGCCCACCCACCCTCCTAGGGCTCAGTGCCCGCCTTCCCCCAGGCTCTGTGCCCACCCACTCTCCTAGGGCTCAGTGCCCACCTTCTCCCAGGGTTAGTGCCCTCCCTCCCTCCCTGGGCTCATTACCCACCTTCCCCCAGGTTCAGTGCCCTCCCTCCCTCCTCTGGGCTCAGTGTCCACCTTCCCACAGGCTCAATGCCCTCCCTCTCTCCCCTGGACTCAGTGCCCTCCCTGAGCTCTGCAGACCCTCCTTGGCATGTTCAGCACCTGAGCCTCTCCTGAAGGTGGCAAGCAGGTACCAGGCTGGGTACAGGGTCCCTGGGTGCCAGTCCCCATGCCACTGATCCCTAGCTTCCTCTCTGAACCCCAGAGATGCAGATGGCAACAGGACTGTCCTCTTGGGCTGTGAGCCTTGAGATGAGGCAGGTGCCGTGAGGCAGGAGGTGCCAGGGCAGGGTCAGCTCCGTGGTGGCTGCAGACACCACCCACTGTGCTGGGTGTTTGCCTTACTCCTGAGCGGGCTGAAGGCTCCCAGAACCCAGTGAAAGCTCCCTCCCTCTTCTTTTTCAGGCTGACCCTTGGCCCTCTGCCTGCCCTGCTGGCTGGCTCCCACTCATCCTGGTAAGTGCCCTGTGTCTGGCATGGTGGGAAGTCCCCAAGCCTGGCAGTTTGAGGCACCAGCTCAGGGGCAGGGGAGCAGCTGCAACTTGGGAAGGATGGAGAGGGACACCAGGGCTGCCCATTGAGGCGGCCCCGGCCATGCCCCGCTGCACACACCCCCTGCTTGGATGCAGGCGTGGGGTCATCTCCATGGTTACCGGCACAGGGTAAATGTCAAGGAGTGGCCATGGCTGAGGAGGGGAGAATGGCCTGTGTTTAGGAATATGAACGGCAGTGTCATATGCCGCAGGGATGAAGAGGAATTGAGAGAGCAATTGGAGAAGCTAAGGCCCAGAGAGGAGGGGTCTGCAGAGGTCACCCAGCAGCCCAGGACTCCCAGCTCCAGCTTCCCTCTGGGAAGATAGGGTTGGGGAAGGGGCTGGTGTGGATTTGTCCCCCACCCCCAGGGTCCCCTCACCTGGCCTGCTCCTCTCCTCTGGGCTGGACTCCCCCTGTAGCATCACAGCATTGGACCAGGGCTGTGGGGGGAATGGGCCTGGGCCAGGGTCAGGTGGGTCTTCTGCTTGCTTCTGCCTCTGCCGAGTCTATGAGTGTGGGGCTTTTGGCGGAGCAAGGGCAGGGGCGAGCCTGGCTCCTGCTTCCAGCTCAGGCCTTGTCCGCTCTTGCATTTGCCTGCCCAGTAAGGGGTGGCGTGTTCCTGAGAGCGCCGGCTGCCTCTGGGTTCTTATCTTCATGGGTTGTCATCCCTGAAGCTGTGCGTTGGCCACCTCATTGCCTGTGGATTCCTCCCAACCCTGGGGTGTGCTCACCCCAAGCCCCTTCCTCCCGTGGCTCCCTCACCCCAGCTCCTTCCAGCAAACTTCCTCCTCTATCAAAGCTGGGCCCCTCCTCTGGGAGGCGTTCCCCAGTCCAGAACCCACAGGGCCTGGTCCCTCCTCTGGACCCTGCAGCCCCAACTGTCAGAACTGCCTGCCTCATCGTCCAGGCTGGGCAGTGGCCCAGGGGTTCCTCACCTGCTGTTTGATCTCAACCCTCCTGCAAGGAGGAAAGAGAATGGGAAGAGGCCCCACTCTGTCCGTGCCCTCCTCGCTGCCCTCTGTCTGTCTGCCTGCTGTGGCCAGCCTTCTGCTGAAGGTGTGGTCTGCCCTTGGCCACCTGAGGGGACTGAGGCTGGCACAGGCTGGGGACGCCAGGGTGTCTGTGCCCATGCTAAGGAGGCCCCAGACCTAAAAGCCCAAGCTCCTCACCCTCTAGGAGACAGTGGGGTGTCTGCAGCCCAAACGGGCCCCGAGGGGGACCTTGGCAGCAGGGCTGGGGCTGCAGACACAGCTGGGGAGACGGAGCTCCTTAGCCTGGGAGCTGCCTTTTTTGAGTGACCCGACACCTAGGCTATGGGACAGCTTGGGACCTGCACAGCCGGTTACGGGGCTGGGGTCCAGGGTTTGTTGGGAGGCTGATTTCGGGGGGCCGTGCCCTAGGAAGCCTGGCGGGCAAGATGAGACCCCTGCAGCTTTGTGGCCTGTGCTCTGTGGCCTCTGTCACCCTCAAATCCTGCTGTGAGGGTGGCCCCAGGCCCCAGAAAGCCCCTTTCTCCAGCTGCCTCTGCCCAGGGGTCCTGTCCTCCCTGGGCAAGTTCTGGGAGGAGAGGGAGGGCGCTCAGCAGCCAGTGGCTAGAATCCCCATTCCCTGCTTCCGGGCTCTGGGCCTGGGCAGGGCACTGGGCTTGGTGGGGGCAGAGCAGCCCTGGGAGGGGCCGAATTCTGAGCGGGCCTTGGGGCAGGGGCCGGTGAGTACGGGAGCGTGCTTTGCCACTCAGCCATAATGTACTTTCTAGCAAACCAGATGTTAGCAGAGCTGGTGTGGTTGCGGGGACGTGAAAAGGCTGGGGATAGAGTAGGAATCGAGGAATGCCAGAGCCCAGGCCTAGTCCCTCAGTCCCTTGGTGTCAAAGGGCACAGAGATGGCCACCTTGAAATTCATAGAACCGGGTGCAAGACATAACAGCCCTCTGTGTGGCCTCAGATGGCAGAGCAGGGTGGCAGCAGCTGCCCTGGCAGGAAGAGCATGCTGGTAAGGTGACACCATCCCTGTGTGTGTTGTAAATGCTGCTCTGTGCTGGGCCTGACACCCAGGGTGCAGGTTGTTTCATGGTTTGCTAGGGAGAAGCCGAGTATTCAGAGGTGGCCCTGCGGGGAGGCAGCAGGGAGCTTCCTCCCAGGGATGCAGCTGACCTTGCGCTGGAGCCAGAGAGCCCTGGCCTCTGACCACAGGATGGGAGGGCAGGAGCAGTGGAAGGTAGGAGTTAAAACCCGGATGGTGGATGAGGGGCAGCCCTGGGCCCCAGGCAGCTTTCAGGACCTCACAGGGTAGAAGGCAGGAAGTGCCGGCTACTTGGTGCTGCCCAGGGAGCAGGGAACAGGAAGTCCCGGGTGGGGAGGAAGCACCGGCGGCCACAGGCCTCAGAAGCAGCAGGAGTGAGCTGTGGGCACAGCTGTGGGGCAGCCAGGCGCGTCAGGCCTCACATGTCTGGGAGATGTAGGCTGCCTGGGCTGGTGGCCCCTGAGCCGCATGGCCTCCCTGGGCCCCAGGACACCGGCCCCGAGCAGGTCACGAGGACGGAGGGCCATGTGTTGGGTCAGCACCATCAGGTCAGTGGGGCGGCCCCAGGACTGGGGCTCGGGAGGCGGCACTGGTCTAGCACCTGAAGAACCAGTAAGGGGGCCCCACGTGGGAGCCACAGCCTTCCTCGGGGCTGGCCGTGGGAGCCCACAGGAGGTGGCCCTGAGCCTGCAAAAGGCAACAGGCTCTGAGGAGAGTGGCCTCTGTCTGCCTTGAGAGGCCCCCGAGCTGGCAGGCACAGGGGGAGGCCAGAGAGGGAATGTGATACTTAGAACCCCCCCCACCCCCCCATCACATGCGGCCGACAGGGAGGCGGGGGCCAGCCTGCTGGGGTGGGGCCCAGGTCCGGGAACTTCTCATGATACAGCCTGCAGGGTGGCCTTGGTGTTTGGGTCCTAAGTACACACGTTGTGTATGTGAGTGTGTGTTTCTGTTGTGGGGGGGTAACGGAGAGAGCTGTACAAGGTCCCTGCTGCCCACCTGGGGAGTGCCATGCTCTGAAACCTGCAATGTGGAGGACCCGCAGGGACCTCAGGGACTGCCGGGCTGGGGCTGTGCTCGCAGAGCCCAGGCTGGGCCACCCTGCCCCTGGCCAGCAGTGCTTCTCTGGCATAGCTGGTTACTGGGCCTTTACGGGAGAATTTTGGTTTTGATTATGTTAACAGAGAAAGATTCTGGGAACAGGAAGGAAACAAGGGAAACCGAAAAGGAAGAGCAGACAGCTGTGGGGAGGCAGGGCAGCCAGGGCTCCAAGGTGGAAGCCGCCCCATCTGCACATCCCACGCCCACCACCGGCCACCCACTGTGCGCCAAGCTGGGCCGTGGCTGTGCTGGGCCGGGGGTGGTGCGTGAGCCACCATTTACTGGCTGTGTGACTTTGGCCAAGTTTCTTCGTCAGTGACTTGGGGAGGACTCTGGTTTGAAGCTCAAGGTGTTGGATGATGGGGCGATCACTGAGAAGCACAGAGCTTGGCCCACAGGGAGTGCCCAGTGCGCTCGGCACAAGGCCTGATCCTCTCCCAGCCTCTATACCCAAGTCTGTAAAATAGAAGTAAAGTATTGAGCTCAGGTGGACCCTGGTCGATTTAGTGAGCTGTGAGGTACAGCTTGGCACTGGGCCCTGGCAGGGCTGGGAGTGGTGGTGATGATTCTGTGCTCAGGCTTCAGGACACGGAGACACAGAAGACCGCACTTGACAGGTCTTGTTGGTCGTTGGAGGCTGTGTGTGTGTGAATGAGTGCTTGCATATGCATGAGTGAGTGTGATGAATGTGTATATCAGTATACATATGGGTGTGAGTGTGCACGTATGAGTAGACATGAGTGCATGAGTGTGTATGAGAACATGAGAGCGAGTGGGCATGCGGGAGAATGAGTGTGTATATATGTGTTAGTGTGGATGGTGTGAGTGTTAACTGTACATGCATGAGTGTGACAGGATGCGCATATATGAGCGTGTGAATAAAGTGCACAGGGTGACCTGGTATCTTCTCCCTTTGGGCTGGATCCCCAGCCCCAACTTGCCCTGTGGCTCCCACAAATGGGGCCAACCTGATCACCACTAACAGTAAGTCCTTGACCCTGTGGTCACATGAGGTGCTGGCTCCCTTACCACAGCCAGGATGATCCTGCAGGAGCCCAGCCTCCCAGAGCCCCCACCCTGCTCCTATGCAGGGGCTCACGCCTGTGTGCATGCGAGCTGTGCAGCTCATGTGCACGTCCTGTGTGAGTGCACCACCTGTGACATTAACTGGGTGTGCAGAGACACAGCGCACATGAGGGCCTGCACAGGCCATGACCACACACGCCACAGGGCTCATGGGGCCCCAGGGTGGTGGGAGCCACAGAGCCTGCATTAAATGGAACCCGATGGGGTGTCTCTGTGGGACTGAGCACTTTTCACCTGACTGCTCTGCCCCCCACCGCAGCAGCCTCAGGCCTTGGGGTCACCTGAACCAATTGCAACTTTGAGAGAAGGTAGGGAGATGAGCACAGAAACAGAGACCTGGAGAGTGTATCCCAGGTGCCCCGTCTTCCCTAATGTGCATGTGCACACACACACACACACGCACACACGCACAAGTGTACAGGCTCAAATGCAAATCTCCACGTGTGCACACATGCAAAGATCACATACTTTCTGGAAGGGCTCATGGAGCCCAGCAGCCACCACCAGCTTTGGCCGCCCAACGCTGGCCCATGTGTCTCCAGAGCCCTGCCCCAGAGAGCAGCTGCAGAGGTGTCAGGGGACTCTGAGAGTGGACTCCTCCATACCCACTTTACACTGGAGGAGGTGGGGGCTCAGGGGAAGGAGGGGCCCCAGGAAGGATGTGAACCCAGATCTTCAGCACTCTCCCTCACAGCTCCTGCCCATGTTAACTCAGCCGACACCGCAGCAGCATGGTGACAGGTCCCCCCAGGGTGTCTGCCTCTACAGAGGAAGGGACTGAAGCACCCAGAGAGCTGGCAGGTAGGCCTGTGGAGTCCCCTGGAATGAATGAATGGAATTTAACCATCAGGTCCCTGGAAGAGGGGCTGGGCACTGAGAAGCACAGCCAGGGAGGCCTGGCCAGCTAGGAGTGTGGGTGCTCCTTGGGGATGCCCCCTGGTTTTCCCGAGCACAAGTGGGGCCAGATTCTGTGAGCTGGGCTGAACTTCCCCAAGAGCAGCATGGTCACCACGGCCTCCATGGCCCATCATCACCCTCAGCCTCAGCCGACCTTTCCCCTTTCTGCTCTCAGCCTGGCCTGGCACTGGGCTCCTGGCCAGGTATCACCCCCTGGCACAGGGCAGGGCCAGGTGGGGCAGAGGATAGTAAGGTGGCAGGGGTGGGTTTCCCCTTGAATGGCCCCTCCTCTGGAGAGGGGCTGTGGGTGTCAGCGTCTGTCCCTGAAGCGAGGAATTCCCAGGGGAGGTGAGGGTGCCACATGACCTGCCCTTGTCATGACCTGTCCCCCTGCCCAGGGTCAGCTGATGATCACCTAAGAGCCTTCATCCTGCCCACAGCGGGACAGCAGCCAGGCAGGAACGAGCCCCTCACAGGCCTGCCCCTATCTGGCCACTGAGCTGGACCCATGTAGGACTGTAACCTGTCCCTGTAACTCTTCCTGCTGAGCCTTGTCCAGGTGTGGAGCCAGGAGGAGGTGGTGGGTTCCATCTGTCCTCACAGTGGCTCCTCCCACTTTGACACACAGGCCAGGTCTTATAGCTTTTGGGTGGCGGGGGCACAGTGGGGTGTGATGCCCCAGGGTAGGGGCTCTGTTTCAGCTTCCTGTGCCTTCCAGGCAACTTGCAGTCCCTGTCACCCACAGGGTGAACATTCCATCCTTCTTTTGGGGCTACCTGGGTGTCCCCCCTGGGCTGGGTCTGAGCTGGTGAGGATGGGAGACAATGACCAACTAGTGTGGTCAGTGTTAGGGGCAGAGAAGGCTATGCTAGCCCCAAGGGAGGGACACAGGACTCCAGAGAGGTTATGGGAGACTGCCTGGAAAAGGGAACGCTTGAACTAACTCTTCCTTTCATTTTTGGATTGTTGCTAGTATATAGAAATAGAATTGATTTTTGTATGTTGATCTTATATCCTGCCACCTTGCTGCTCATTTATTCTAATAATTTTTTTTTTTTGAGATGAAGTCTCATTCTTGTTCCCCAGGCTGGAGTGCAATGGCGCAATCTCGGCTCACTGCTACCTCCACCTCCCGGGTTCAAGCGATTCTCCTGCCTCAGCCTCCCAAATAGCTGGGATTACAGGTGCCTGCCACCTGGTATTTTTAGTAGAAATGGGGGTTTCACCATGTTGGCCACGCTGGTCTCGAACTCCTGACCTCAGGTGATCTGCCCGCCTCAGCCTCCCAAAGTGCTGGGATTACAGGCGTGAGCCACTGCGCATGGCTATTCTAATAATTTTTAAGTGGATTCCTTGGGATTTTCTGTATGTAAAATAATCTAATCAGTGAATAATTGTTCTTTCTTTCCATTCTGGATACCTTTTATTTCTTTTTATTGCCTAATTACTCTGGTGAGAATCTCCAGTACTATGCTGAATAGAAGTAGAGCAGACATCCTTTCCTTGTTCCTGTTCTTGGGGGAAAAACTTTCAGTCTTTTACCACTAGGTATGTTAGCTGTGGGTTTTTCATAGAACCCTTTATCAGATTGAGGAACTTCCCTTCTATTCCTGGTTTGTTGACTCTTCTTATCATGGAGGAGTGTTGAATTTTGTCAAACACTTGTTCTTCGTCTATCAAAATCATGTGGTTGTCCTTTATTCTATTGATATGGTGTATTACATTAATTGTTTTGAATATTAAACCATCCTTGTATTCCTGGGATAAATCCCACATGGTCTTGGTGTAGAATCCCTTTTATATGTTGCAGGATTCAGTTGGCCAGTATTTTGTTGAGGATGTTTATGTCTATACCCATAAGGGATATTGGTTTGTAGTTTTATTGTGATGTCTTTGTCTGGTTTTGGTATTGGGATAATGCTGCTCTCATAGAATGAGTTCCCTCCTCTTCTATTTTCTGGAAGTTTGTGAAGGATCCATGTTCTTTTGAGCCAACTCTTGATGGCTGGGTTAGTTCAGTTTCAACTTTAGGCTGTGGCAACAGCAGGGGCTGAGGCCTGCAAGTGGGTGCTTGCTCGATTCAGGTAACTGGAGCCATAGGGTCTGGCTGGCGTAAGAGCACAGAAGGTAGAGGGCAGGAGTGGCTGAATCAGGAAGGGCCAGGTTGGCATGAGGAGGCCCTAGAGGTTTAGCACTGAGCAGTGATGGGAATGGTGTGCGTGTTGATTCTGTGCTGGGTGGAGGGGGCTGGAGGCAGAGGAAGCCTGAGGAGAGGAAGTGGAGGGGGTTGCCAAGAGGCAATGGAGAGGGGCCTGGCAGGGCGGCTGGAAGGAGGTGGGATCCTTGAGGCAGGCCAGACAAGGGCACTGAGAACAGAGGCACAGAGATGGGACAGAGCCTCGAAGGCTGGGTGCAGTGGGAAGAAGTCCAGATAGCGGGCCTGAGGTGGGGCCTTGAAACCAGGGTGGGTGCCCAGGATGGACAGCTAGGTAGGGTCAGGCCCAGGCTGTTAGAGCCACACCTGCATCTGGCCCATCTTGGTGGCAGCTTGTTTGCAGGTGGAAGATGGAGGAGGCAGGATGCCTGGGAGGCCAGCAAGGGCCTCTGCCGGCCTTTGGCCACCCCAGGGGACTCTCCTGGGTGAGGTGCCTGCGTTTGGGCAAGCAGGTGGGAGGTGCCAAGGACCAGACCCCTGGCTCCTTGGAGAATCCGGGGCTGGAGGCCCATGGAGTCCCGCAGGAAAGTGGAGAAGGTGAGGGCGGGGCACGTGCCCGATCCCTTGCCCCGTTGCCGCCCTCCATGCAGGTGCCGTTTTGCAGAGGCCACTTTCCCGAGGGAGCTGGTTGCAAGGGCCCGGCGGGATGGGACCTGGGCGGGGCCTCAGAGCCGAGGCTCCCGCGCCGGCCGTGGATTTCCAACCAAGCTGTGTGGACTGGCAGGTGTTGGGGGAGTGGAGCGGGAGGCCTCGTTTGCATCGAAGGCTTCTTGATTCCAGGCTGCACCAACAGATGTGGGCCTCCTGTCCCAAGCGCCCACCAACCTCCTTGCAGCGTGGGGAAACTGAGGCCCGCAGGGGGCTCACGTGCCTCCCGCGCACGGTGACGCGGCAGGGGGCGGGGCCGGGAGGGGCGCGCCGGGATCCTCACCTGCCCGCCCAGTCCCCCGCCGAGAGGGGAGGAGCCGGCGGCTGCCAGGCCAGGGCCGGCGGGCATGGCGGGCTCCGGGCCGCGGCCGCGGAGCTGGGGCCGGCGGGAGGCGGGCGCCCGGGACGAGGCGGCGGCGGCCGGGGGACGCGGCCCGGGGCCGTGCCGGTGCTCGCAGGGGAGGCGGGCGTGGATCGCCCCGGGGAAGCCGGCCATGCCCGCCGCGTGGACGCCGTGAGTACCGAGCCCCGGCCCCCGAGCCCCGGGACCCGGGCCGCGAGCTTCCGGCTCTGGACCCCGCACCCCGAGCCCCTGGACCAGGGCCGCGAGCCCCGGGCGCTGCTGGTCGCCCACGCGCTTCTTGGGGGAACAAAGGCGGGCGTGGACCGTCCCGGCGGGCGGATGGGGGACTCAGGCCGGCACGGGGCTTGTCGATCTGCGGGCAGCTCCCCGCGGGCGGACTGGGCACGGGGCTCCCTCCTCCATCCCCACTGCGGGGCTCCTTCGGGCCGGGCGCGGTTGGGCGGGCGGCGGGGTGTGGCGGCGCCTTTGTTCCAAACCTTGGCCTGTGGTTGGGGGTCCTGCGGCTGGGACCCGCCCCTGACCCCTCCCTGCCCAGAGGGGCTGTCTTTGGGTGCAGAAGGAGCTGGTGGGGTCCAGCCGGGTGACCCAGGCCGAGGCCGGCAGAAGACAGCCTGATGCCTTGAAGACTTCCTCTTGCACTTTTGTTGGAGGGTGCTGGTTTGCTAAAAGCAGAGAGTATTTTTCTTTTTATTTATTTTGTTTTTAATTTTTTAATTTTAGCTCCAGCTCAGTTGCCCAGACTGGAGAGCAGTGGCCAATCATAGCTTACTGCCTCCTGGAACTCCTGGCTCAATCGATCCTCCTGGATAAGCCTCCTCCGGGTACTATAGGTGTGCACCACCAAGCTCAGCTAATTATTTTTTAGAGATGGTTGTCTCTATATGTTGCCCAGGCAGGCCTTGAACGCCTGAGCTCAAGTGATCCGCCTGCCTTGGCCTCCCAAAGTGCTGGGATTACAGGCGTGAGCCACTGCGTCCGGCTATTTTATTTATTTATAGAGACAGTGTCTCACTTTGTTGCCCAGGCTGGAGTGCAGTGGTACGATCATAGACCACTGCAGCCTCAAACTCCTGGGCTCAAGTGATCCTCCTGCCTCAGCCTCCTAGAGCAGCTGGGACTACAGATGCACCCCACCATGCCTGACTAATTAAAAAAAAATTTTTTTTTAGAGATAGGGTCTTGCTATGTTGCCCTGGCTTAGTTTTCTTTATGTATGTTTTTTGGGGTTGGAGCTGTAGTGGAACCAGTCCCAGCCCCACTGGGCATCTGGGTCTGACCTTAGCTGCTCCACTAAGGGCTTAACAGGACACTGGCCACAGGCCTGCTCCCATCCAACTCCACTGGGGCCACAGGAGTGACCCTACCCAGGATGGAGTGAGGGCAGGCACAGACCAAACAGTGCAGGGTCGGGGGGTACTGTTCACTGGGACAAGAGATGAGGAAGATGCTGGATTTAAGTGGGCAATGAGGGTGCCTAGCAGAAGAGGGGACTCTTAACCTGGGTCTTGATGGATGAGTAGAAGTTCTCTGCATGGGAAGGGGTGGAGGTCATTTCAGGCAGAGGAGGAAGCATTAAACAGCATGGTGTATCTCAAGGAGAGCAGCTGGAGCATGAGTAAGGGGGGCTGGAGTAGGGGGCAGGGCATGATGTTGGGTCCTGTGGGCCTGGGTTAGCCCCAAGGCAGTCACTGGTCCTCCACTGACTGTGTGGTCCTCGCTTGGGCTCAGAGGGAAGGGGAGTGATATCCTGGGCTGGTGGGGTGGATAGCAGCCAACCCACCAAATGGTGGTCACGACCACTGCTGACAACAGTGTGCTGTGTGCTGGGCTGGGTGTCCACTCTGTCCTCCAGCATCTGAGGCTTGGGATCTCCCAGAAAGTCACACCAGGATGGGAGCCCAGGTCGTTTGAGCTGGGTGCTCTTGGCTGCTCACTTGCCTTCTTCCTGTCTAGGCCCCTTATAGGTTCACCTGGCACTGGGACTTGAAGTAGTTATGGCCTGAGGTCTCACTTACCTGGGCTGGCAGTTTTCTGAGTTCGTTCATCTCTACCCAGCCCCCGTGGGGCCTTGCGCTCAGTGGCTGTGTGCAGAATGAACCAGTGGAGAGAAAGGGCTGCACGTAGCGCTCAGGATCCTGGGGTTGGGTTTGTGGCTGAGTGGACCAGGGGCTGACTGAGTGGAGCCCGTGGCTCTGTCTCTCCCTGGGGTCCCACCTGGAAGCCCAAGGCCCTCAGAAAAGGGGTTTCCTTGCCTGTCATGGCCCTACCCTCCAAGCTGTGTCCTGGATCTTGGCAGTGTCCCCCTGAGCGCCCTGGCTCAGCCATCTCCTGCCTGACCGTAGCTGAGCCACGTGCCTTTGTCCTTTATTGCAGCTTCATGGCGGCTGAAGAGATGCATTGGCCTGTCCCTATGAAGGCCATTGGTGCCCAGAACCTGCTAACCATGCCTGGGGGCGTGGCCAAGGCTGGCTACCTGCACAAGAAGGGCGGTACCCAGCTGCAGCTGCTGAAATGTGAGTCCCTGGGGTGGTAGGGTGCACAGTAGGAGGGCATGGGGGCAGGGCTAGCCATGTAAGTAAGCATCCTCTCCAAGCCTCTGCTTCCTCACATGGTGTGCCCTCTGGATTTTCCCATTCCCTCTCTGGTGGCTGGCACCCCTGGAGAAGCAGAGGTTGACTTCCCTAGCCCCCAGGACTGTAGCAGGGTCCGGGGTGGTGCACAGTGCTGGCCAGCTGGCAAGGGGAGCTGCAGCCTGCAGCCAGGACCTGGGGACCACAGGTGGCCAGGTAGGTCTGGCCTCTGGTGCTGCCCTCACTGAATCCGTGAATGTTCAGTGAGTTAGTTGGTCACTTCGCCCACAGTGAACCTATGTGTCAAGTCCTGGCTGGGTGCTGGACCTCTGGAGCTGCACAAGACCCAGGCTCTGGCCCCCAGGACAGCTGGCTGGGAGGAAGAAGCAGCCCTCAGGCTTGAGAGATACCCAAATGCTGAGATACTGAAGGCCAAGAGCATCAGGGCCTGAGCAGCAGGTGCTCCATGCCTTTGCAGTAGCAGTGCCCTCTGCCAGGGACTCCCTGGTCCTGGGCCGCCTGGTTGAGATGTCCAGGCTGGACTGATTGGTTCCTGTACGGGCACTGGTTGAGCTGTTCTCCTCTTTGCACAGACAGCCTCCTTGGAGGAGCTGTAACTGGCTTGTCCCCCAGCCTGGGACAGGGCTGGGGCAGTGGAGCTAGGGTGGTTTCAGTGTAACTTTCCACCTAGGGGTGGCCCCACACCAGTGGCTCTCACTGGCAAACTCTCCGGGCTCCTGAGTCTCCCTCTTTTATTTTATTTTTTCGAGACAGGGTCTTGCTCTGTTGCCCAAGCTGGAGTGTAGTGGCGTGATCATGGCTCACTGCAGCCTCAACCTCCCAGGCTCAGGTGATCCCCTCAGCTGGGACTACAGGCATGCCACTATGCCCTGTTAATTTTTTTTTAAATTTCTTGTAGAGATGGAATTTCATTATGTTGCCCAGGCTGGCCTGGAGCTCCTGAGCTCAAGCGATCCATCCGCCTTGGTCTCCCAAAGTGCTGGGATTACAGGTGTGAGCCACCGCATCCAGCCTATTTTTTATTTATTTTTGTTTTTTATTTATTTATTTTTTTGAGATGGAGTCTTGCTCTGTTGCCCAGGCTGGAGTGCAGTGACTTGATCTCAGCTCACTGTAACGTCCACCTCCTGGGTTCCAGCAATTCTCCTGCCTCAGCCTCCTGAGTAGCTGGGATTACAGGAGTGTGCCACCACGCCCAGCTAATTTTTGTATTTTTAGTAGAGACAGCGTTTCACCATGTTGGTCAGCCTGGTCTCGAACTCCTGACTTCAAGTGATCCTGTCTTGGCCTCCTAAAGTTCTGGGATTACAGGCATGAGCCACCGCGCCTGGCCTATTTATTATTTTTATGTCTCACTCTGTCACCCAGACTGCAGTGCAGTGGGTGCGAACACAGCTCACTGCAGCCTCGACCTCCTGGGCTCAAATGATCCTCCCACCTCAGCCTCCCAAGTAGCTGGAACTACAGATGTATGCCACCGTGTCCGGCTAAGTTTTGTATTTTTTGTAGAGATGGGGTTTCACATGTTGCTCAGGCTCACCCCATCTTTTATTTTTAGAGACAGTCTCACTCTTGTCACCCAGGCTGGAGTGCAGTAGCACGATCTTGGCTCACTGCAACCTCTGACTCCCGGGTTCAAGCAATTCTCCTGCTTCAGCCTCCTGAGTAGCTGGGATCGCAGGCGTGAGCCACTGCACCCGGCCTTAGTCCCCCTCTTTTAGCTCTGGGGTAGTGGGAGCCTCCAACAGCCCTGCAGCACCCAGCAAGTCAGCTGTGGCCTCCCTGGGCCTCTGGTCCTGGCTCTGCCTTGCCTCATGCTGGCTCCACACAGCCCCCCAAATCTACCTCTTCTTTGTGGGCAGCCAGGCCTGCCCTCGGGTGGCACTCTGGGGCTAGCCAGTGTGCCTACAATTTTTTCCGTATTTGGCCCCAGAGTGGGCTCCTGGGGAGGGGGCAGCATGCCAGCCTTGCTCCCTGCTCTTCCATTTGGTAAGGCTTAGAGGCAGGAGGCCTGGCCCCAAGTTGTCCTGTGGAGGGTCCTCACAGTGGGTCTTGGCAGCTGCCCCTCCAGGCTCACCTTCCTGCCCTTGCCACCTCCCACAGGGCCCCTGCGCTTTGTCATCATCCACAAACGCTGCGTCTACTACTTCAAGAGTAGCACCTCTGCCTCCCCGCAGGGCGCCTTCTCCCTGAGTGGCTATAACCGGTAAGTGCCCGACCTGCCTGCTGACCTCGGGCCCCCACAGCCAGCGGGTCCCTCCCAGCAGAGCCCCAGCTGGGCCTGCCCCTTATTCCCGCCCAAGGAAAGTGCTTTCCCGAAGCAGCCTTCGTGCCCATCCCCTGTCCTCCCCGCCCAGCCTCCACAGTGCCTCGCCCTCTCCGCGTGTCCTGCCCTCAGGCGCAGGACCTTGGGGGTGCCAGGGTCTTCCTGTGGCTTTGTGCACAAGTCCCAGAGGCCTGGACAGCCTGCTCTCCAGAGTCTCCACTCGGCCACCACCCAGTGACTTCTGCATCTCTCCTCCCTCCCCACCTTGCCCCTTCACCCACCATGACCTCTTTCCAGGCAGCCCAGACCCCAGCCAGCCCAGGCCCTGTCCCAAACAGAGGCTGGGCCCTAGGATTCCCTGCTCCAGGGTCCTCCCAGGCCGGGATCAGTTTCCAGCTTCACGCATGTCCTGGGCTGGGCTCTATCCAGTGATGGGCCATGAGCTGCCCTGGAGGGCCTTCTGCACTAACAGGCAGGTGGGCGGTGGCCAGGTGGCATGTGGGTGGGGGAGTGCACTGGCACAGCCCATGGCCTGGGGCCCACACAAAGGGTTAATGCTGGCACCCAGCTCTGGTTCTGGTTGCTATCCCATCGGAGCCCTGCACCCCACAGCATTTATCTATGCCTCTTACCACCCCTTAAGGGCCCAGCCCCTCCTGCCTATGAGGAACCAAGGGTCACATGGTATCAGTAGTGGAACTGGGACCTTTGGAGTGACTCTAGGCCCCGGCCTGCACCCTGGCCACAGGCCTGGTAGGGCAGCCTTGCCAGAGCACCCAGCCTGGTGCCAGGCCCCCATGCTGGCACAGAGCTCCGGGGTCCCCTGGGGAAGGTCGTTCCCTTTCTGCAGACAGACACAGCGCCTTCCGGCCTCCAGCATGTGCCAGCCATGCCATGAACCCTGGGCCCAGTGGCAGATGCAATCATGCCCCAGGGAATTGTCTAGCCCATCAGGGAATGCTGGGCCTGAGGAGTTTTGGCCAGGCTCTTATGGGCCGTATAAGTGCACCTGCCCCGGTGCCTGGCTGGCAGGGCTCCCCACGTGATAAACTCAGCGCAAACCCCACATCCTGGCTGTGTGAGTGGGCCGCAGAGCAGGCACGAGTCATTCCCTGAAATGCACTCAGGGCTGCTGCTGGGCCTCAGGGGCACGGAGCCCTGTGGGGTACCCCAGGGAGGCCAAGCAGGCCTGGGCAAATGGGGCCAGAGGTGGGAGGGTGGCGTCCATGTAAAGTGGCATTGGCGGGCATCGAGGCAGGTTTGTCCTTGTCTCCTGTGCACTGCTGCTCCCACGAAGCCCACCCAGCACCCCTCTTCCATGCCCCTCCATGCCCCCTTACGCCTGCCTGGGCATGAAGCTCACTACTGGGAGCATCAGCAGCCAGGGCCCACCCGATCTGCCCTCTTCCGTTGGGGCGTGGTGCTGGTGCCGAGACGTGTTCACAGGGGGGTGCTGTGGGAAGGCCATCCCTATAGCTGTGAACCAGGCCGTGACCCCTGGCGCTGTGCCCCCAGGGTGATGCGGGCGGCTGAGGAGACCACGTCCAACAACGTTTTCCCCTTCAAGATCATCCATATCAGCAAGAAGCACCGCACGTGGTTCTTCTCGGCCTCCTCCGAGGAGGAGCGCAAGGTGACTGGGGGTCCGAGGACGAGTGCAAGGTGACTGGGGGTGTGGGCCTGCAGGCACCAGGCTGGACCTGCCTTGGGGGCTCGCTGGTCCTGGGGCGCTGGCCTCTCAGCCCCGGGCAAAGAGAAGGTGTGGCTGGGACACAGGCAGCTGGGTGGGTGCTGCCCCAGCTCCATCCCCATGCCCAGAGCCTGGTGCCAGCGCCCACACAAGGAACATGCTGTCCTGGGAGGTGCCCCTGTGGGCTGAGGGGAGCCACACAGCCATGTTGTATCCAGCCGGGTCGCCTCCTCTGACCTTGGGAGTCACAGCAGAGCAGGCAGGGCAGTGAAGGTGGAGGGGTGCGGTGGGGCCCACCCTGGTGGCACCGTGCCCACCACAGCCCCGCTGACCTGCAGAGCTGGATGGCCTTGCTGCGCAGGGAGATTGGCCACTTCCACGAAAAGAAAGACCTGCCCTTGGACACCAGGTGAGCCCGGGCCCAGGGCATACCGGGCAGTGAGGGTCCCTGGGGCGCCTGGGCCTGACCCGGGTGTCCGCCTCCCAGCCCCGGGCTTGGCATAGAATTCCGTCCTTAAAGGTTTCCTGGAGGTGCCAGCTGGGCTGCGTCTCTCTGCTCCTGTCTACAGATAAACACAGATACAGGACAAGCACAGATGTTCACACACAGACGAGCGACACGCGGACACGCACACACAAACACAAGCAACACGCGGACATGCACACACACAGAGCAACACGTGGACATGCGCACACACACAGAGCAACACGTGGACATGCACACACACACAGCAACACGTGGACATGCACACACACACAGCAACACGCAGACATGCACACACAAACACAGAGCAACACACAGACATGCACACACACACAGAGCATGCACAGGTGTGCATGCATCTCTCTGCTCCTGTCTACCTCCAGCCCCATCTGTCACATCTGTTTCTGTGTTGCCGCCATGGGTAGTTCCTGTTAGGGGATCATGTGTGTTTATACGCCTGCCACCAGGGAGGCCTGGCATGGCAGCAGCTGGGCACTTTGGGTTCCCAGCCCCCTACGCCCACCCTGGCTCACTCAGAGTGAGACCAGAATGATTCTCCTGGCGGGGCGCCACTGGGCAGTCTGAGCCTTGGCAGCCTCCCCCGTGAGCTGGCCCGACGTGCAGCAGATACTCTCTGGATTGGGACTTCCTGGCCCGAGACGATGTGGAGGGAACAAACCTTCCTGTCCTTTCACAGGTGGGGACAGGAGGCCCAGGGAGGGCTGGGCACAGCCAAGGCTGCCCTGCAGGTCCCTGCCTGACTCCGGGCTCCCGTCCCCTGGTCCAAGCTGTTCAGCCTCGGGCCCAGCCCAGAGTCGCCCAAGCCCTCTTGAGGCAGGAGCAGGTGGAGACGTGGGCACAGTCAGGGCGGCCATCCTTGTGGGCCAGAAGGGGCACCTAGTGGAGGCACCACAGCCTCCAGTTCTTCTGTCTGTCCTTGTAACTGTGTGTGCATGTCCGCGTGTTGCTCCGTGTGTGTGCATGTCCGCGTGTTGCTCTGTGTGTGTGCATGTCCGCGTGTTGCTCTGTGTGTGTGTGTGCAATGTCCACGTGTTGCTCTGTGTTTGTGTGTGCATGTCTGCGTGTTGCTCTGTGTTTGTGTGTGCATGTCCGCGTGTTGCTCTGTGTGTGTGCATGTCCACGTGTTGCTCTGTGTTTGTGTGTGCATGTCCGCGTGTTGCTCTGTGTGTGTGCATGTCCGCGTGTTGCTGTTTGTGTGTGCATGTCTGCGTGTTGCTCTGTGTGTGTGTGCATGTCCGCGTGTTGCTCTGTGTGTGTGTGTGTGCATGTCTGCATGTTGCTCTGTGTGTGTGTGCATGTCTGTGTGTTGCTCTGTGTTTGTGTGTGCATGTCTGCGTGTTGCTCTGTGTGTGTGTGCATGTCCACGTGTTGCTCTGTGTGTGTGCATGTCCTCATGTTGCTCTGTGTGTGTGTGCATGTCCGCATGTTGCTCTGTGTGTGTGCATGTCCGCGTGTTGCTTGTGTTTGTGTGTGCGTGTCCGTGTGTCGCTCGTCTGTGTGTGAACATGTGTGCTTGTCCTGTATCTGTGTTTATCTGTATACTTCCATGTCTGTGTGACAGAGTCCTTGTGTCTGTGTGTCTACATGTCTGCGCGTGTCCCTGTGTCTTTGTGTATATATATCCATGCCTGTGTGCCTGTGTTCCTGCGTGTGCTTGTGTGTGCACGTGTGCATTTGTGTGTTTGTCAGAGTATGTGTGCATGTGTGTGTCTGTCAGCGTATCCATGTGTGCATGTGTGTGTCTGTCAGCGTATCCGTGTGTGCATGTGTGTGTCTGTCAGCTTAACCATGTGTGCATGTGTTTGTCAGTGTATCCGTGTGTGCATCTGTGTATCTGTCCATGTATCCGCGTGTGCCTGTGTGTACCTTTGTGTGAGCATCAAGGGACCTCCCAGGCCTGGTGCTCACCGTCCGCCCCAACGCACCCTGCATTGCAGCGACTCCAGCTCGGACACAGACAGCTTCTACGGCGCAGTTGAGCGGCCTGTGGATATCAGCCTTTCCCCGTACCCCACGGACAATGAAGGTGAGGTCTTTCTCCGCATCCACTGCCCGTTTGCCTCTCCCCACCTGGCCTCCTCTTGGCCGCTGTGGAGGAGAGGGAGGTGTGTTCGGCTGTGCTCCTTGCTCTGGCCCTTTGGCAGTGCGCAGTAGCATCCCTGGGCTCTGGCCTTCAGCGGCAGGGTCTGGACTCACAGTCCTCCCAGCAGGTGCTTGCCCCTTGCCTCCTGGACTCAGCCCCATGCATGGAGCATTGCTCGGAGACTGGGCCTGGGCCGGTTTGGCTCTCACCACCCCCCTCTCCCCATGCAGACTATGAGCACGACGATGAGGATGACTCCTACCTGGAGCCTGACTCCCCGGAGCCCGGAAGGCTTGAGGGTAGGTGGGGCGGGTGGGCCCGGGGAGCTCTGGGTGTGTAGGAAGCAGGGGCTGGGACCGGGAGCAGAGCCCCTCCGAGGCTGGGGATGCTGGCCCAGGTACCGCTCTGGGTGGCTTCCGCTTCCCTGCTGTGTCCCAAGTATTATGAGGATTGGAGCAGAAGAGGTGTAGCTGCTGCCACCTCTGCTCATTTCCTCCTCCCACCTCCCAGGAGGAGGGACAGGCACATGGCGATAAGTGGCAGGTGGAGCCGGGGTGGCCCTGGGGGTTAAGCATGGGGAAGGAAGGACGCTGAGGAGCGCGCAGGCTCAGGGCAGGTCCATGTCCCCATGGCTGCCAGCTTGTGTGGACACTGCTGCAGGCCAGGTCGTTGTCCCACCCCACCCCATCCCATCCCAGTGTCCACCTACCTCCTGCAGCACATGGCCTAGTCAAAGAGACAGGCTGATACAGGTGGTCACACGTGGATGACGGAAGCACGAGCTGGGTGGGGAGGACGTGTCTCTGTCCTCCTCTGTCGCCTCCCTCCCTTCCTCCCTCCCTATTGTCTCTCCAGCCCCCTCATCTTGTCAATTTCCTCATGTCTGGGGCTGATCCTTGATCCTTCCATTTTCCCTGCGTCCGCCCTGCCTCCTTGTTTTCCAGCCTCCTGTTCTCACTGACTTGGCCTCTGCCGACCCCAGCCCCTGACCCCGTATCCTCTCTGCCTCCCATCCACTCCCACCTTCAGGCTCCCGGGTCCAGCCCCTCTTCTCCTGCCGCTCCCTCCCTCCTTCCCTCTGGGGTCCCAGTGCCAACAGTCCTTCAGCCCACGAGGGTCTGCGGGCCGCTTGCCTCAGTTTCCTTCCATGCAGAGCTCTTGTCTCACAGTGTTCACCATGCCTGTCCCTTCGCCCACACACTACTGCCTTCCGTCTTAGCCTGGCTGGCCAAGCCTTGGTGAACTCAGACTCCGTCTGCCCAGCCCTGAGCTGCAGCCCAGTGAGGCTAGAGATGGGCCTGGGGAGCCACCAGTGCTCCTGCATGCTACTGCTCCACTCACCCTCCCTCTGTACCCCCTTCATCCTCTCCCCGAGACATTTCTCGTCCAGGACGCCTGTGGCCTCCCCATTCCCAGTTCCAGCGCTCAGTCCTGAGCCACACCAGCCTGGCGCCTGCCCTGTTCCTTGCCAGCCCGTCCTCCAGGCGCCCCGTGCTCCCGGGGTCCTCTTTCTCCTCAGCTCCTGTGCTGGCCCCATGAGGGATACCCGGGACTCAGACCTCACTCCTCTCCCGAATTCCCTGGGTGACAGCCTGGGTCATCTGCAGGCTGCCCGCTCCGAGTCATGTCCAGCCTGGATTTTTGAACTCTGCACACATTCCCTGACCCCGCATCCCCTGGCATCTCCCAGCTTTCTGGATATGTTCTGAGCAAACACGGGCCTTCACCTTCCTCCCAGCTGCTCCCCTCCCCTGTCCTTGGGAATTCCGTCCTCCCTCTCGCTCCAGCCGAGCCCTGAGATCCTTCTTGACTTCTCTTCCTTTCTCTTCCTTCCACCTCTGGGAACCTGATGGGCTCCTCAGGTGTCCTCTAGGCTTCAGGAAGCGTCCACAGGCTGCCATAGGGAGGATGAATGGGGAAGGCTGGGGGTGGTGGGTGGTCTGGGACCCTGGGGAAGGCAGGATGGGAGTGCTGGGTGCTGGGCTGCTGGGTGGGCAGGCTGTGGGGTGGGCCTACCATGGGTTGCACTCCTGGTTGGCCTGGCTGACCACTGCCAGCAGAGGATAGTGTTGGCCCAGTCTCTGTCAGGGTCCAACCCGGGTCTCTTTGCTCTGCAGATGCCCTGATGCACCCACCGGCTTACCCACCACCCCCAGTGCCCACGCCCAGGAAGCCAGCCTTCTCTGACATGCCCCGGGCCCACTCCTTTACCTCCAAGGGCCCCGGTCCCCTACTGCCACCCCCGCCCCCTAAGCACGGCCTCCCAGATGTTGGCCTGGCTGCTGAGGACTCCAAGAGGGACCCACTGTGCCCGAGGCGGGCTGAGCCTTGCCCCAGGGTACCTGCTACCCCCCGAAGGATGAGCGATCCCCCTCTGAGCACCATGCCCACCGCACCCGGCCTCCGGAAACCCCCTTGCTTCCGGGAGAGTGCCAGCCCCAGCCCGGAGCCCTGGACCCCTGGCCACGGGGCCTGCTCCACTTCCAGTGCTGCCATCATGGCCACTGCCACCTCCAGAAACTGTGACAAACTCAAGTCCTTCCACCTGTCCCCCCGAGGACCACCCACATCTGAGCCCCCACCTGTGCCAGCCAACAAGCCCAAGTTCCTGAAGATAGCTGAAGAGGACCCCCCAAGGGAGGCAGCCATGCCCGGACTCTTTGTGCCCCCCGTGGCTCCCCGGCCTCCTGCGCTGAAGCTGCCAGTGCCTGAGGCCATGGCGCGGCCCGCAGTCCTGCCCAGGCCAGAGAAGCCGCAGCTCCCGCACCTCCAGTGAGTTTGTGTGGCGGCTGCAAGCCCTGCCTCCAGCTACAGGGACCCTGGCCTGGCCTCTGACGGGCACTCTGCCCACCTCGCTCCCCTGGCACTCTTAGCCCACGACGGGGTACCAGGTGCAAGGGTAGGAAGGTTCCCGGTTGCCTCCAGTCCGCCTTGGTGGAACGTGGAGCATGTCCATGACTCAGCCCTGAAGCTTGCTGGAAATGCTTTGTTTTTTTTTCTTTTTGAGACAGGGTCTCACGCTGGCAACCAAGCTGGAGTGCAGTGGTGCGATCTCAGCTCACTGCAACCTCCACCTCCGGGGTTCAGGTGATTCTCCTGCCTCAGCCTCCCAAGTAGCTGGGACTACAGGCACCTGCCAACACGCCCGGCTAATTTTTGTATTTTTAGTAGAGACAGGGGTTTCACTATGTTGGCCAGGTTGGTCTTGAACTCCTGGTCTCAAGTGATCCGCCTGCCTCGGCCTCTCAAAGTGTAGAGATTACGGGCGTGAGCCACCGCGTCCTGCTGAAATGCTTTCTGCTTTATTTCTGGGAAGTGCCAGGAGACCAGTTTGTCCCCCACTCCCACAGAGTTACGCCAATGGCTGTGGTCAAAGGCATCTGGGACCCCAGGTGGGCTTCCTGCCTTGCCTGGCAGGCAAAGGGTCCAGGAACTGGAGGGGCAGGTTTCGCATGGGTGTGCTGGCCGGCACGCGCACCCCCGAATGCCCTTGCCCACGGTGCCCTTCTCCCAGGGCTCTGCGAACACCTCTGAGATGCCTGCTGCCTGTGTGGAAGTGCCTCTGAGCAGCCCTTGTCACACTCGTGGTTCTAGTTCACCAAGGGCTGCAGAGATGCAGATGTTCGGAAGTCACGTTTTTCCATGACTGTGGGGATAGCGGTTCCAGGGCTCAGCCTCACCCACAGGCTGGCCTCCCATGCTGGCGTGGCCCGTTAATCCTCCCTAGAGCCTTTGAGGCTTTGCTGAGCAGGACCGGCTAGCCACACAGGGAGGCGTGCAGGGACGCCATGGGCGTCCTTTGGGGTCACACTGCATTGTTCATCCAGTTCACGTCCACTCCCCTGTGGCTCTGAGTGGGCTGTGATTTGGCCATGACCGGACCTCCCCTCCCCACGAGCATCCAGAGCACTTGTTGACGGTGTGATGACACTGAGCTTGGGAACCCTGGACTCCCTTGCCAGCATCCATGGCAGCCCTGACCCCTGACTCCGGTGTCGGGCGATTCCTGCTGTCCCAGGGCAGTCGGCACGAGCCCTACCCGGATCTCTGTTGTCCTGAGCTTTTTAGGGTCACAGGGGCCATAGCAGGCAGCTTGCCGTCCTCACACAGAGGGTGGAGTGGGGAGGGGAGCAGAGGGTGGCCGCCCCGTGTCTGACAGTGAAATGGTCCTGCCTTCCTCTCCCTGCCCCTCCAGGCGATCACCCCCCGATGGGCAGAGTTTCAGGAGCTTCTCCTTTGAAAAGCCCCGGCAACCCTCACAGGCTGACACTGGCGGGGACGACTCGGACGAGGACTATGAGAAGGCAAGGCTGAGCGGCAAGCCTGGGTCCCAGTGGCCAGTAGGTGGACAGGTGGTGGGAAAGCCATAGGCCAGGGCGGCCCCTCACAGACCGTCCTGAGCAAGGACCCCCCGAGAACCCGGGAGCCTAGGGGGACACAGCACCATGTAAAGCCCCGGATCCCGGCACCGGGTGGCCACCGTCCGGGGAGTGGTGGTGCGGGTGGATCACTCCGACGTTGGCACTGACACCGTCAGCCTCTTGCAGGTGCCACTGCCCAACTCGGTCTTCGTCAACACCACGGAGTCCTGCGAAGTGGAAAGGTCAGCACAAAGCCCTGTGTGTGCTGGGTCCTCCGCCATGCCCGGCTTCCTGCTTCTGTGTCCCTCTCACTAGCTTCCGTGTTGGGGAGTTGCTGGCACAAGTTCATGGCCCTGCGTGCAGCAGAAACCAGAGGAGTGGACCTCCCTGCTCTGTCCCATGCCCAGCTGGCACCCTGGCTGGCCAGGGCTCTGCTGGGCTGCTTCTGTCAGCCTCACGGCAGCCCGACGTGCTCAGCTCCTGAGACCTACAACAGCGAGAGGACAGAAAGCCAGGCTTGGGAGCGGGGCGGGAAGGTCCGTGTGAAAGCTGCCCGAGGAGGACTCACCCGCTAATATGACTGTCTTATTTTAGGTTGTTCAAGGCTACAAGCCCCCGGGGAGAGCCCCAGGATGGACTCTACTGCATCCGGAACTCCTCTACCAAGTCGGGGAAGGTAGGCGCCAGGGGAAGATGCCCCAGGGCCCCTCTGGCTCTCCACACACCCAGGCTGTGGGTGGGCCCAGGACTCCACAGTTCCTAAACCACTCCCCTTGTGGACTCTTACTTGGTGTCTCAGCTGAATTCTCTTCCCAGCAGCACCCCCCAATCTATTCCCTAATAGATCTCCATCTGCAAATTGGGGGCCATGATGGCCACCTCCCAGTGGGGGCCAGGACTCGGGTGGGGTAGGGCTCATGCTCTGGGGTGGCGGAGGCCACATGGGGCAGGGGAACGCCAGGTCTGCCCGTGTCCCTCCGAGCGTGAAGTTGTGACCTCACTGAGCCATGCTCTCCCGGGTGTGTCGGAGTGGTTATTGGTGGTTATGAGCTGTTGCTCATCAGAGGCTCTCTGAGGGCTGCCAGTGTCGCCCCCGCTGTCCTTGTGCAGGTGGTCTGGAGTCCCTCCCCGCCCCCCGAGGGCCACAGGACCCAGCCTTGATGGTTCTGCCCCCCTATCCCCAGCCCATGGTCTCCCGAGGCTGGTCCCGCTGTTTCTCAGGGAGCCGTCAGCCTCCCGCTTCCGTCCTGTAGGTCCTGGTTGTGTGGGACGAAACCTCTAACAAAGTGAGGAACTATCGCATTTTTGAGAAGGTGAGAGGGCTCTGAGTGGGACGGGGACCCTGGCCGCATGGCCTGGCAAGGGGCAGGGCAGAATCTCCCTGATGAGGCATAGGCAGCGGGTAGACTGAGACTGGCACCTCCAGGATACCGCCCTCCCCTTCCCCTCCACCATCGCTCACCCCCCACCCCTCCTGCTCAGCCTCCCTCCTCTCGTGGCCTACCTTTGTCCTCCACTGACCCTAGTGGGGATGGGCGGTCAGCCATAGACCCTGGGTTGCTTGTCTTGTCTTTTTCTTTTTGCGGGGACAGGGGTCTCACTGTCTTTCTCAGGCTGGTTTCAAATTCTGGGGCTCAAGCAATCCTCCCACCTCGGCCTCCCACAGTGCTGGGATTACAGGCGTGGGCCACCGTGCCTGGCCTAGGTTCATTTCCTGACCTTGTCTGAAGTGCTCTGGGTGCAGGCTCCTGGACATGGAGGACGGAGGGGAAGTGAGGTGGGAACATGGAGAGCACAGGCCTGATGCGGAGGCCACCTTGGGGGCACCACCGACAGCCAGGGGCCAGCCTGGTGATGCCGCTGTTGATGCTGCTGCCTTGTTTTACAGACGGGGAGACTGAGGCCTAGAGCCGCAGAGTGGCCTGGCCCTGCTGACGCTCCCCCTTCTCTTCCCCCACAGGACTCTAAGTTCTACCTGGAGGGCGAGGTCCTGTTTGTGAGTGTGGGCAGCATGGTGGAGCACTACCACACCCACGTGCTGCCCAGCCACCAGAGCCTGCTGCTGCGGCACCCCTACGGCTACACTGGGCCTAGGTGATGGCAGTCCATGTGGCTGCCAGGCCAAGGCAGTCACAGGGGCCCTGACCCCAGGCCACACAGACGGACATGGGCCCACATGGGAGGGTGAGCAGGAGCAAGGCTGTGCTTGCCTAGGGCCTCTGTGATGGACATCTCGTAGGACCCAGCCAGTCTCATCCAGCAGGTTGGGTTCTAGGGCTGAACCAGGCGCCAGGCTCCAGAGGACGAAGGGACTCTGTTGCCCCACACTAACTTGCCCTGTCCCAATCCCAGAAACCCAGGACCAAGCTGTGCCTGGGCTCCAAGGACAGGAACACTGGTCCCCCCATCACACTCACCCCTAAGTGGGCTGGGAGCCAGGCAGGGCCAGGGCAGCTGGGTGGGGGCCGGGGCTGGCCCTGGGACCCCCAGGAACGCTAAGACACAGGCTCCAGTAGGGGCTGTTGCCTCCAATAAAGCAGCAGTGAGCTTTGCCTTGGTGGCTGGGGCTTGATTGGGAAGGAGGGGATTACCAGCTTACTGGGTGCCCATGCTGATGTCTAAGTGGTGACCGCAGCAGTACCCGGGAACCCCAACAGTTGGTTGTCTTGTCTTCCAGGGTGCAGGTCACTGAGTGACTTCCCCAGGGTGCACAGCGAGTAACAGATCAGGACCCAAACTTGGGCAGTCTGGGCTGGGAGCCCACACCCCACTCACCAGTTCTGCTGCCTCAGGTCAGGCCAGGGCAGTGCTGCTGCAGAGCTAGAAGGCCCTGCAGCTACAGCTGCTTCATTCCCTGCATTAGTGCCTGGTTACTGGGTACCTCCTGAGTGGCTGTCCCCGTTCCAGAACTTGCATACACTGAGCGGGCTACAGAGCTAGAAGGCCCTGCAGCTACAGCTGCTTCATTCCCTGCATTAGCGAGCAGTTATTGGGTACCTCCTGCATGCCTGGTCCCATTCCAGACAGGGGCCTCTGGCCTGGCTGAGTTCACAGCCCAGTCTGGGGACAGCTGGGTATGAGGTGCTTACGGCACAGTGTCCAGGGCAGCTGGGTGTGCAGGGACTGGGGGCTCCCGGAAGATTTTTTGGAGGAAGTAACAGCTACGATGGGATGGGAACAGTGGACCCTAAGCAGGCCAAGGGTGCGTAGGGACGGTGGTACCCAGATGCCCAAGTCTTCCAGGCAATACCTGGCTCAGGCCCAGCCCCAATCCATCCCCTTACTTTCTGCCATGGAGTTCCAGCAGGTCACTCTCCCTGGCACACCTTCCAGGCTGGATTTTTAATGAAACAGACTCAGGGAGGTAGGGGCTGGCAGGGACCCTAGAATCCTTGTGATTTTTCTTAGCACCTTATGTCAGGGAAACCTAAACTGAGGTCAGCACTTGGGCCCACTGACAGTGACTGACTGGGGGAGAAGGTCCTGCAGCCCCCTTCCCCTGGGTGTGTTCTGGGGACCTGTGGTTTGCTGGCGGAAACAAGTGATGAGGCTGGTTAGCGGATGTGGGAGGCTGTGACCCCAGGGGGCCATAGGGTGCGGTGGAACTGCAGGCCCTGCAGATGACGGCAGCCAGCTGCTTCCAGGAACCAGGTGTCCAAGGCCACCTCTGCAGGGGTTTCCTCTTCAGCCTGCCTGGGGTGAGAGGTCAGTGCACCACAGCCGAGGCTGGAGCACAGGGAGCTTCTGTTGTTCTGATCTATCTCTGGAAAACCAGCCATTCCTCCTCCCTGCAGTCAGAATTCTTTGCCCTGTCTGACCTGAACTTGCTTAGGGAGTCATGCCACTCCCCACTGTGGCCATAGTTTCTCTTCCTGTAAAATTTTATTATTTTAGTTTTTTGTTTTTGAGATGTAGTCTCACCCTGTCGCCCAGGCTGGAGTGCAATGCCGTGATCTCCGCTCACTGCCACCTCCGCCTCTCTAGTTCAAGCGATTTTCCTGCCTCAGCCTCCCGAGTAGCTGGGATTCCAGGCGCCCGCCACCACGCCTGGCTAATTTTTTGTATTTTTAGTAGAGACGGGATTTTATCATGTTGGCCAGGCTGGTCTCGAACTCCTGACCTCAGGTGATCTGCCCACCTTGGCCTCCCAAAGTGCTGGGATTACAGGCATGAGCCACTGTGCCTGGCCCCTTCCTGTAAAATTTTTAAATGGAGAATTGGGTGCGAGATGTGGTTTCCAGCCTGGTGCCTGGGGTGCTGAGCTAGTGAGTGGTGCAGTCCAGGACACCTTTGCTTTATGTCACTTACACGGTCACCTGGAGCCGGCTCAAGTGGCTAAAGCATCCTGGGGCCCAGAGCCAGGTGATAGGTCCCTCTGGCCAACTGGACAGTTGAGGCCTGTGGTTACCCGAAGCCCAGCTGGGGCCCTGGTCCAGCCTCGCCTCCCAGACTCTGCACCTGCTAGCACAGCTGTCCACGTCTGTGTGAGCTGCTCTAGGCCGAGGGCCTCAGTTTCAAGAGTGTGTTGGGGTGGGATGGGGCAGGCCGTGGTCCTCCAGCATGAAGAAGGAGCCATGAGGAGTTCCCATGACCTCCCGAGACTTGCCATAAGTGTTCTAGTCCACATATAAGGGTAGGGTTGGGATTACCATTTACTGACCACATCTGTGAGGTGCCGAGCTGGGTGCTTGACATCATTTGCTTGGAGAAGCAGCTGCTAGTAGACCCATTTTACAGGTGAGAGAACCAAGTCTCACAGAGGCCTGGGTTCAAGTCCCACCTCTGCCACTAACTGGCATGTGACCCTATCTATCCTTCACTGCTCTGAGCCTAGACCCTGGCCCCTGCCTGGCTCCCTGCCAGGCTCCCTGCCACCCCTCACGACCTCTGATGGTCGTTGTGGGGGTCTCTTGCCTGGCTCCCAGGGCTAGGGTTAGGGCTCTGGAGGTGCTTTCACTCAACCAAGGGGGCCACAGCACTGGGGAGTGAAACTGCCCCGCCTCACCCTGCGTTGCCCTCTGGGTCTGTGAGGGTGGGCTGGCAGGAGGCCTAGGCCTTGCCCTAGGGGCAGTCCTGCTTCCTCATTTTATAGATAGGGAAACTGAGGCTTTGGGAGGACTCACTGACATACCTACCTTCAAGATGAGTTCAGGTGGGCTCAGTTCTGGGGCTTGGGAAAAGGGCCCCAGTGGCTTTGGGAAGCACCCCCAGCCCAGGGTGAAACATGCTTCTTCTCTTCCTGTGGTTCCATCCGAAGGATTGTGGTGAGCCCCGTGCCTTCAGTTAATAAAGATTTGTATTGTGAAAAGATTTTTTCTTTTTTTTTTGGGACACAGTCTCACTCTGTCGCCCAGGCTAGAGTGGATTGGCGTGATCTCGGCTCAATGCAAATCTCCAGGGTTCAATCGATTCTCCTGCCTCACCCTCCCATGTAGCTGGGATTACAGCTGCCTGCCAAATTTTTGTATTTTTAGTGGAACCGGGGTTTCACCATGTTGGCCAGGCTGGTCTTGAACTCCTGACCTCAACTGATCCGCCCACCTTGGCCTCCCAAGTGCTGGGATTACAGGCGCGAGCCACGGCGCCCAGCCTTGAAAAGATGTTTTTAGAACCAGAAGAAACCTCGGTTCCCACTGATCCTTCTGGGCCACGTTGTGCGGAGCTCCCCTGCTGGTTGGGGCTCAGCGCAGCCCCAGGGAGGTGCTTCCTGCACCTCAGGATGGGCGAGGGTGGGCATTGGGGGAGAGGGGGACCTGGGACCTGCGGCTTAGTTCCCTGAGGCAGGCAGGGCTTATTGGGGCCATTTCATAGAAAGGCAGATTGAAGCTCAGCAGGGAAGAGGCTTTTGAGGGTGATCCAGGCGCTGGAGGGATGGCCTAGGACACCAGGGTCACACCAGGAACATGGGAGGGCCGTGCTTGTCTCTAGACGAGGGGAATGGGGGAAGGGCCACAACCTCTGTTTCTGTGACCCAGCAGCATCAAGCCCCTCGCTGGGCACCTCGCACACACCCCCTGCCTTATCTCTGCCTGCACGCCCTGTTCCCTCCACCTAGACTGCCTGCTGAGGGGGCAGTGCCAGGAGGTTGCCTGTCCTTGGGGAAGAGGGGCAGTGACCCTGTGAAGATGCTTGACAGACAACCCCCACCACCTCAGAAGTGTGTGTGAGTGGTGAACCCTTTTAAGCCATCTTCCAGCCATTCTCACTGGAGGGAGATTTGATGGGTACAGAGCAGACCCCTACCTGTCTACCCTCCTTCGGACCCCTAGGAAGCTTCGCAGGCCTTCCAGGCTGCCAGACAGCTGCCCTGGCGTTGCCGTCTGCTTCTTCCCTGGCCCCACTCTGAGGGGCTCAGAGCTGAGGCAGAATCCCTTTTTCATTCATTTCCTGCAGAATAAAACAACATACAGAAAAGTGAATAAAACATAAATGCACAACCTAACACACTGTTAGGAAGTGAACGATCTGCAACCACCATCAGGAAATAGTTTTGCCAGCACCCAAGTGCCCTCCCCTCACAGTGTCACTTCCGGCCTCTCTGCCCTGGCTTATGTGAGTCTTGTGTTCTTGTTTTTCTAAAAAGTCTTCAGCACCCAATTATGCAGGCATTGCAGTATTTTCCTGTTTCTGTGCTTTATCCCCTTGAATCATACAGATGCAAATTCTGGCAGCTGGCTTCTTTGGCTCGTTATTATGTCTGTGAGATTTATTCATGTTGCTGTGCGTAGTATAGTTTGTGCATGTTCATTGCTAAAAACTTCCATTGTTTGGCTGTATCGTAGTTCACAGATTCATTTCACTGTCAGTCAAGCTTGTCCAATGCATGCAGCCCAGGATGCCTTTGAATGTGGCCCAACACAAATTTGTAAACTTTCTTAAAACATTATAAAGATTTTTGTTTGCGATTTTTTTTTTTAGCTCATCAGCTATAGTTAGTGGTAGTGTATTTTATGCGTGACCCGAGACAGTTCTTCCGGTATGGTCCATGGAAGCCAAAAGATTGGACATGCCTGCTGTAGATGGACAGTTGGTTTGTTTCTAGTTTGGGGTAACTACACACAATGCTGCTAGCAACAGTTTTGTCCATGTCTCTGATGCACGTGTGTTTTTTGCAAATGGTGCACAAATTTTTCTAGGGTTTGTACTCAGGAGTCTGACTCCTGGGTTCTAGGGTATGAAGATCTTTCTAAATATTGTTCTAGTTTACGTGCCCACCAGCAGTAAAACAGAATTCCCTTGCCTTCCCATCCTTGGCAGACATTTCACTTTTGCCAGTCTGGTGGGGTGTATAGTTATGGCCTTAATTTGCATTTAGCTAATTACCAAGGAGATTGAGCATATTTTTATGTTTTTATTAACCATTTTGATTTTGTCTCCTGTGAAGTGTCTATCATCTTTTGCCCATTTTTTAACTTGTTGTCTTTTTCTTTTTCTTTTCTTTTTTTTTTTTTCTGAGACAGGGTCTCACTCTGTTGCCCTGGCTGGAGTGCAGTGGTGCAATCTCAGCTCACTGCAGCCTTGAGTCAGGCTCAGGTGATTCTCTCACCTCAGCCTCCCAAGTAGCTGGGACCACAGGCCCACACCACCAAGCCCAGCTAATTTTTTGTATTTTTAAGTAGAGACGGGTTTCATCATGTTATGCAGGCTGCTCTCAAACTCTTGAGCTCAAGCGATCTGCTGGCCTCAGCCTCCCAAAGTTGGGATTATAGGCGTGAGCTACCAGATTTTTTCTTATTAATCTAATAATTCTTTGTATAGTCTTGATATTATCCATAATGTGTATTGCAAATATCTTCTCTAACTCTGGCTTGACTGTTTATGGTGTCCTTTTTTTTTGGGGGGGGTTTTTTGAGACAAGGTCTTGCTCTGTCACCCAGGCTGGAGTGTTATGGCACAATCTTGGCTTATTGCAGCCTCAATTCCTAGGCTTAAACAGTCCTCCCACCTCAGCCTCCTGAGTAGCCGGAACTACAGTCACGCACTTCCATGTCCAGATAATTTTTTTTTTTTTTTTAGAGATAGGATCTTACTATGCCCCAGCTGGTCTCAAACTCCTAGACTCAATGAGCCTCCCATCTTGACCTCCCAAAGTGCTGGGAGTACAGGCATGAGCCACTGTGCATGCCAGTTCTTATTTTTAATGCAGTTGAATTGATCAGTGTTTTCATTTTGGTTAGTGCTTTTTGTGGCTTAAGAAATTCTTTCCAGGCTGGGTACAGTGGCTCACACCTGTAATGCCAGCACTTTGGGGGCAGAGGCAGGAGGATTACTTGAGCTCAGGAGTTTGAGACCAACCTGGACAACATGGCGAAACACCATCTCTACAAAAAATACAAAAATTAGCTGGACATGGTGGTGCGTGCCTGTAGTCCCAGCTACTCAGGTGGCTGGGGTGAGAGGATTGCTTGAGCCCAGAAGGTCAAGGCTGCAGTGAGCTGTGATTGTGCCACTGCACTTCAGCCTGTGAGACAGAGTGAGACCCTATCTCAAAAAAAACCAAAAAAAAAAAAAAAAAAAAGAAAACCACTGAAATTATTTCCACTCCAAGGTCATGAAGATAGTCTCTTAGATTATATTCTGAAATCCTTATAAATGTAAATTTCATATTTAGGCCTTTAATTCACCTAGATTTGGTTTTTTGCATATGGTGTGAGGTAAGGATTCACTTTCATTTTTTTCTCTCCATAGGGTTACACACCTGTCCTATCATTGTTTGTAATCTAACTTTCTGCGCCCATCTGCAATGCCACCTCTGTCATATGTCCACATATGACATATGTAGATCTGTTGTTGGATTCTTTCCTCTGTTCCATTAGTCTGTCTGTTCTTGTGCCAATATCAAGCTGTCTTCATTATTATCAATTATGTATTGAGATCTGATAAAGTAAGTCTTTTCCACCTTATTTTTCTTCTTTGAGAGTGTCTTGACTATTCTGGCTCTTTGTATTTTCATGTAAGGTTTTTCTCCCATATAAGTTTTAAAATCAGCTTGTCAATTCCAACAACAATGATGCACTTGATAGTTTGGGAATTTATTATAGCTATCAATCAGTTTTGGGAAAATTGACGTCTTTACAATATTGAGTTTTCTGATTCATGAACATGGTTTACCTCTCTTTCCATTTGGGTCTTCTTTAAGGTTTACCAATAGGATTTTATATTTTTGTCCATTGTGGTCTTGCTTATCTTAAGTTTGATTTGTAAATATTTTATGTTTCTTTTAGTCTATTGTAAATTGTGTATTTTTAATTTCATTTTTTTTTTTGTTAATAGCATATAAAACACACCTTGTCTTTTAACTGGAGCATTTTGTCCATTGTGTATTTAATGTAATTAAATCTACCATCTTATTTTATGCTACATATTGTCTCACTTGTGTTTGTGTTTTCTTCCTCCCTTTTCTCTCCTTTTCCCCTTCTTTGAGATTGAGCAACTTAAAACAAATCATTTCATTTCCCCCCTTCTCCTAGTTAGAAAGTTAAACACTCTCTATTCTTACTGAAGTCTAGAGTTAACTAATAAATACTTTTATCCTCCTCCTGGACAACATAAGGACCTCAGGTGACTTTCATTGGTCTCCCTCATTACTTGATATTATTGTTGTATATATCTAATTCTAACTCAATGTATTTTAAAACTCTCACCTAAGACCGTATTTGTTTTTTTGTTTTTTTTTTTTTGGAGGCAGAGTCTCTGTCACCCAGGCTGGAGTGCAGTGGCGCCATCTTGGCTCATTGCAACCTCCATCTCCTGGGTTCAAGCAATTCTTGTGCCTCAGCCTCCTGAGTAGCTGGAATTACAGGTGCCTGCCACCAGACCCAGCTAATTTCTTGTATTTTTAGTAGAGACAGTGTTCTGCCATGTTGTCCATGTTGATCTCTTAACTCCTGAGCTCAGGCAATCCTCCCGCCTTGGCCTCCCAAATTGCTAGGATTACAGGCAAGAGCCACCACGCCTGGACCTTTTTACTTTTTTGTAGTTGGAAAAGGAAGGAATATTTTAATAGCTTTAAAATTGTTTTATTATGATAAAATTTTCATATTATAAAGTTTATCATTTTAATTATTTTAAAGTGTACAGTTCTGTGGCTTTGCGAATATTCATATTATTGTTCAGTCATCACCACCATCCATCTCCAGAACTTTTTCATCACCCCAAGCTTAAACTCTGTACCCATTAAACACTAAATCCCCATTCCTCCAGCCCTTTGCAACCACCATTCTACCTCCTGTCTCTCTGAATTTGACTACTCTAGACACCTCATACAAGTGGAATCATACATTTATCTTTTTGTGATTGGGTTATTTCACATAGCATGTCTTCAGTGTTCATCCATGTTGTAGCATGCGTCAGAATTTCCTTTCTTTTGGCCAGGCATCGTGGTTTATGGGTTTATGCCTGTAATCCCAGCACTTTGGGAGGCTGAGTTTGGATTTGGGAAGATTGCTTGAGCCTAGGAGTTTGAGACCAGCCCTGGCAACATAGTGAGATCCCGTCTCTACAAAAAATAACAAAAATTAGCCAGGCATGTTGGCACGTGCTGGTAGTCCCAGCTACTTGGGAGGCTGAGGCAGGAGGATCCCTTGAGCCTAGGAGGTCAAGGCTGCAGTGAGCCATGGTTGCAACACTGCACTGCAGCCTGGGCGACAGAGACCCTGACTCCAAAAAAAAAAAAAAAAAAAAAAAAAAGGCACAAAACCCCAATAAATAGAATTTCCTTCTCTGCATAATGCTGCTATGAACATGGTACAAATAGCTGTTTTCATTTCTTTGGGGTATATATCCAGAAGTGGAATTGCTGGATTATGTGGTAATTATGTTTAATTTTTTGAGGAACCACTCTACGGTTTTCCACAGCAGCCACACCATTTTACATTCCCGTCAGCGATGCACAAAGGGTTCCAATTTCTCCGCATCTTTGCCAACACTTATTTTCTTTTTTTCCTCTTCTTCCTCCTTCTCCCCCCTTGAAACTTTTTGTTTTCTTCTCGTTTTTGTAGAGAACAGGGTCTCCTTATGTTGTCCAGTCAAGTCTGCCAACTCCTGGGCTCAGGCTATCCTCCTGTTTCTGCCTCCCTAAGTGCTGGGATTTTAGGCTGAAGCCACTGCGCCCAACTCCCTGCTTCTTCAACTGCCATCCTAATGAATGTTAAGTGGTATCCCACAGTGGTTTTGATTTGCGTTTCCCTAGTGATTAACTATGGGAAGCAGAAGTGAATGAGACAGAATTGTGATCTTGTCAGAAAAATCGTCTTGGAAAAGCCAACGTCCAACAGAAATGGTTAGAACAGGGGTCGCTGGCTTCCATCCAGACAGTATCCCTGACCCTTGTTGGGGCAATGTCACAGAGGCTCCTGCTGAGCAGGGAGGTCTGGATTCCACACTCTTCTGCCACTGCCCAGCTCTGGACCTAAGCTTTCTATGGGTGTCAAGAGGACAAGCAGCCGTGCCCATTTGTCTCGCTGCTTGTTTTTTTGGGTGTCAGATGCGCCAGCAGGAGGGACAGTGTGCGGGAAGGTGCTGGTCTGAGGCTGGTCCTGCCAAAGCCCCGCAGGCTCACTCCCTGGTCGTGCGGAGGTGGCTGGTGCTCGCTGGTCTCCTCAGCACCCGCAGGCCGGGCCCGGGGGCCAGGCAGTTGTCCTCTGTGGAGCCTTATCGGGGCCCACAGGCCCTGCTGCCTTGACCCCACCCGGGCCCCAAAACTCGGCCTGGGGACTGCACAAGGCGGGGCTACGCGGGGCAGGGCCCGTCTGCTGGGGGAGTGCGCTGGGCGGCGGCGGGAGGGCAGGGTCCCTGGGCTCCGACAGCCCCTCCGGCGGAGGTCAATCACAATGAAACCGTGTCCAGCGGACCCGGCAGGGGCTCGCCGCAGTCTACCTGGCCACCGTGAAGCCATGACCTGGCGCCCGAAGCTGCCGGCCGGGGTGTACTCCGCGCGGGACCCTGGGCCTCCGCAGGCCCCGGCGGGGTCGCCCCGAGGCGGGCCTGGCGAGTCCAATCGCCCTGCCCGCAGGGGACCCGCCCCTCATGGGTCCCGCCAATCGCAGGGTACGTTGCTCGGCAGTGCTGCGCGGCTTGGCCTATGGGACGGCGCGTTGTTGGGCTGCAGCGCCGCAGGCCGCACCCAGGTCGGGCGGTGGGGGCGAGCGGAGGGGCTGAGGGGCGGAGAGGCCTGGCGGGCCGCTGCTGCGGGCCAGGGGACGGGGGCGGAGCCGGAGCCGGAGCCGACGGGCGGTGGCCGCACTGGGACCCCGGAATCCCGCGCGCTGCCCACGATTCGCTTCTGAGGTGAGGCTAGCTAGCGGGGGCGGCGGGGGCCCGGTTCGGGCTGAGGCGGCGGCGGGGGCGCGGGGAACTGGGCCGCGGTTGCGGCGGGCGGGGGCCGCGGGGCCTGCGGCGGCCCGGGCAGCCTCGGGGGCGGGGAGGCCGCTGCGGCGCCGAGGGCGTCTTGGAGGGGTCCCCGCGGGGCCTTCGGCCTGGGCCGAGCCGGGGAGCGAGGGCGCCGCAGATCTTTCATCGGGATAGGACCCCGGGGACTAGGCTTTTCCCGGGCCGCTCGTTCCTGGCCGGCTTGTGGGCTGCAGGGGTGGGGGCGGAGGAGGACGACCCTGGCTGGACGCTGGTCAGCATCCTGCTTGTGAGACCGGTTCCGCGGTCCGCAGCGCTGGTGGCTGCAAGGTTTGTGTACGGACGCATCTGTCGGCTCTCGTATTTAAAAACGACGGCTTCTGCCAAAAGAGAAAAGCCATATCTGCCGACGGACGCTCGAGAGATAATCGTGGAACTTTATCAGCGATGGGGCTGTTGGTCACCTTTGCCCTCCCTCTCTTTTCTTTTTTCTTAATCTTTTATTTTCGTTTTTTGGGAGATGTCAGAGGGCCTTTCCCTGTTAGGATGACTTTTATCTTTGCTCTTGTAATGGCTCAAGATAGTTGGGAGGTAATTTGCATTCACTTTATGCATACCCACCTTGAAAAACGTATTTTGGTTCGCCTGAAACTGTTGTTGGTTTGAGCATAATTTATGTTTAGAAAGACAAAAAGCAATTGTCATATCTCCAAAGACCAAAGACATAGCTGATAGCTGTATGCATTACTGGTAAGTTAAAGAAAGATTTTTTGTGTGAAAAATTGACTGAGATCTTAATGGGGATAGGAAATAGAATGCTGATAGGTCGACTGTGTCTATGAGTAGAGGCGCCTAGTGAAAACAAGCTTGGAGTGGATGAGTAGGAGTTCAACAGGCACCAGAGAGAGGAGGGCATTTCAGGCAGAGGGTGTGAATTGTATGAAAGTGAGTTTGTAAACTTTGGAGCCTTGAATGGACAAAGGCCCGCGATGATACCTTTTTTTTTTGAGACGGAGTCTCGCTCTGTCGCCAGGCTGGAGTACAGTGGCGCGATCTCCAGTCACTGCAATCTCCGCCTCCCAGGTTCAAGCAATTCTCCTACCTCAGCCTCCCGAGTAGCTGGGACTACAGGCGCGCGCCACCACGCCCAGCTAATTTTTGTATTTTTAGTAGAGACGGGGTTTCACCATGTTGGCCAGGATGGTCTCAGTCTCTTGACCTCGTGATCCGTCCGCCTAGGCCTCCAAAAGTGCTGGGATTACAGGCGTGAGCCACCGCGCCTGGCCTACGTTAAAATTTTAATATACTCCTTTGATTTTGACAGTGGAGAAAACTAGAATAGTAAAGTTGTCTTTTCAGGAAGTGGATGATTTGGGCAGTCAAAACTGCTTTTCAGAGTTTCGATGTGGTTTACAATGGTATGGACAGCTGGTATGATTTGTTAGTTTTCTACTTGTGGTGTCTTTAGGTTTTAAAGTTTCGGAGAGTCGCTGAGTGATGTGAGTCTAAACTCTAGCCAGTCCCCGAATTGTGAGATAGTTTTCCTTCTAAAATATACTTCGTACAAGCTGGTCATTTTTCCCCTTAATTCTTTTGATGTTATCTGATATACTGAGAAGGTTTTGTTTGGTGTTCAGTTTTGTGTTACTGATTTTGCCATAAAAACTGTTTATTTACATGATTTTTAGTTTTTAGTTCTTATAGTCTTTGAATTGAATAAGAAAAGTAAATACTGAAATGCTTTGAAAGATAACAAAATATTTACTTATTGCTTGAAACTTAGAGTTAGATTGACTGCCCTTCCTTTCTTTCCTTCCATGTTTACCTCTTAACATATACACATATGTAGAGAGAATAGTATAAACCCCTTTTCTCAACCAGTTTCAACAGTCAATCTTGCTTCATCATATCCCCGCAGTCCTAGATATCCTTTAACCGTTAAATAGTTCAATATGTATATCTTAAAGACTTAAACAAAAGGTAAACATGAGTACCACTATCACAGAAAATGAATAATTCCTTAATACTTTCAAATATCCAGCCAGTGTTAAAATTGTCAGAATTCTCATTTTTTTTCTTAACAATTTCAATCGATCCACATGCTATCTATACAGTGTGACTCATTTTAATTGATAGTTTCCCCTCCATATTTAGTTTTCTCTTGTAATTTATTTATGGATGAAACCTGGTAGTTTGTCATGTGGAGTTATGCACAGTCTCAATTTTACTCTGTGGCATAGTTTCACAGAATTTACTGAAAACTGGTGGTTAGATCTAAAGGTATGATCAGATTCAGCTTTACTTTTGTCAAGCAAACTTCTTAGGTAAGTAGGCAGAAATGATTAGTAGTCTTTGTTCGCAGCCCTTGATTGTCAGTGCCTACAGTCATTTCAGCAAGCATTGAATATATTGATATTTGAATTCTATAACTTCTTTTATTAAATAGAATATTTTTATAAAGATAATTTTTCATGCCTCCACTATTTGGTTATCTTGAGGTATCTCTTACAGAAAAGGGAGGATAAATGCTTAATTCTTCTCCATTATTTACTAGGTTTCACATAATGAATTGTTTCGCTAATATCCTTCAAAAGTAGCCAATGAAGCTGGGCATGCTAGGATGGGCCTGTAATCGTAGCTGCTCCTGAGGCTAAGATGGTACGAACCTGTGAGCCTGGGAGGTCGAGGCTACAGTGAGCCATGATCACTTCACTGCACTACTCTGTCTCTTTAAAAAAAAAAAAAAAAAAAAGCCGAGCGTGGTGGCTCACACCTGTAATCCCAGCACTTTGGGAGGCCGAGGCGGGCGGATCATGAGGTCAGGAGATCGAGACCATCCTGGCTAACATGGTGAAATCCCGTCTCTACTAAAAACGCAAAAAATTAGCTGGGCGTGGTGGCGGATGCCTGTAGTCCCAGCTACTCGGGAGGCTGAGGCAGGAGAATGGCGTGAACCCGGGAGGCGGAGCTTGCAGTGAGTGGAGATCGCTCCGTTGCACTGTAGCCTGGGCGACACGGAGCGAGACTCCGTCTCAAAAAAACAAAAACAAAAACAAAAAACAAGCTAGGTGCGGTCGCTCACAATCCCGGCACTTTGGGAGGCTGAGGCAGGTGGATCGCCTGAGGTCAGGAGTTTGAGACCAGCCTGGACAACAGTGAAACCTCATCTCTACTAAAAATACAAAAATTAGCTGGGCATGGTGGTGCATGCCTGTAATCCCCACTACTAGGGAGGCTGAGGCAGGAGAATCGCTTGAACCCAGGAGGCGGAGGTCGCAGTGCCATTGCACTCCATTCTGGGCAACAAAAGCGAAACTCCGTCTCAAAAAAAAAAAGGAAGTAAGACTAGGATTCTACTCAACCTTCTCATTTTTATATACCTGTATCTACTTTTCTTCTAAGCCAAACATTTTGGTTCTACTTGCTCACTGTTTCAACCCACACCGTACACATTTCAGTCTCAGAACAAGATGAACACGTGAACCTCGAAAATTTGAGACAGGTCTCGGTTAACTTAGAAAGTTTATTTTGCTAGTGTTGAGAATGTGTGCCTGTGACACAGCCTCCAGAAGTCCTGATTGACATGTGCCCAAGGTGGTTGGGCACAGCTTGGTTTTATACATTTTAAGGAGACATGAGACATCAATCAATATATGCTAGAAGTACATTGGTTCAGTCCAGAACGGCGGGGACAGCTTGAAGCAGGGAGGGAGCTTCCAGGTCACAAGTAGGTGAGAGACAAATGGTTGCCTTCTTTTGAGTTTCTGATAAGCCTTTCCTAAGGAGGCAACCAGATATGCATCTATCTCAGTGAGCAAAGGGATGACTTTGAATAGAGTGGGAGGCAAGGCTGGGCATGGTGGCTCACGTCTGTAATCCCAGCACTTTGGGAGGCCGAGGCAGGTGGATCACCTGAGATCAGGAGTTCGAGGCCAGCCTGGCCAGCATGATGAAACCCTGTCTCTACTAAAAATACAAAAATTAGTCAGGCTTGGTGGTGGATGCCTGTAATCCCAGGTACTCAAGAGGCTGAGGCGGGAGAATCACTTGAACCCAGGAGGCGGAGGTTACAGTGAGTTGAGATCGTGCCATTGCATTCCAGCCTGGGACAGAGTGAGACTCCGTCTCAAAAAAAAAAAAAAATAGGAATCTTAACATAGCATAATATTAAACTTTAATAGAGTTGTTTAATTGTTAATGCTTATTCTGGCCTTTCTACATTGAGGAACCTTGAGTTTAAAGGAATGAGGGGAAGCACATTTAATACAGTTTGCCTTTTGAGCTTAATTTTTCTAGAAGTACCTTTTTAAACAGTTGTTATAACTAATGTGTAACACTGTTTTTGATAACTGTCAGCTTAAACATGTTGAGCATATATTTATTTAATTAATTTATTTTTTTTGAGACAGACTCTTGCTCTGTCACCTAGGCGGGAATATAGTGATGTGATCATAGTTTGCCGCAGCCTTGAACTCCTGGGCTTAAGCCATTCTCCCACCTCTGACTCTGAAGTAGCTAAGACTGCAGGTTCATGCCAACAGGCTTGGCTAATTTTTTTTTTTTTTTGAGATAAGGTTTCAAAAGCCTGAGCTGTGTTGCTCAGGCTGGTCTTGAATTCCTGGTCTCAAGTGATCCTCCTGTCTCAGCCTCTGAATATGCTAGGATAACAGGCATGAGTCACTGCACCTGACCTGTTTCCAGGTTTTTACTGTTATAAGCAGTGCTCCAATTAATATTACATCTCCATATTGGGCACTTATGAGGTACATCTATAAATACATTCTCAGAAATGAAATTGCTATGTCAAAGAATAATTGCACTTTTCATTTGCATAGACATTTCCAAATTACCCTCCTGGCCCCAATTAATATTCTTACATTTCCATCTTTGGGCACCTATGAAGTATATCTATAGATACATTCTCAGAAGTGAGATTGCCATGTCAAAGAGTAATTACACTTTTACTTTCCGTAGATGTTTCCAGATTATCCTCCTAAGAAGTTACGTTGGTTTATACTCCTACCAACTGTGTATTTTCTCCACATAATTAAGTATGGACACTAAAGTAACAATAGTCCCTATCTTACATGGTTATTGTGAGGATTAAATGAAGTAAATGCCAAAAGGTACCTACTAAGCTGTCAGCAAATGACTTATATTATTAATATAATTATTGTTTTTTTCTGAACTTTATTACCAGAAATATTATAAACCTAGACAGTGCTTCATGAGGTTGGGAAAGAGGGTTCATACAATTGATCTGAGCAATATATGCCTCCAAAATACTGTTATCTGTATTAGAACAGACGAGCTCTGCATCTAGGCCTTGGGCCCAGGGAGTCTGGCATCTGGGGCTGACGTTAGGGGACAGAGTCCACAGGTATATCTCAAATTTGCTGGAAAGGGCATGCCTCAGGAATGGGGCGCAGTAGATGTAACTACATGTGTGCCTCTGCAGCCTGGAATGGCAGCTGTGGCTGTTTGCATGGGGAGGAGAAAGTCATCATTTGGGAGGGACCTTTAGAATATCCCATCCCAAACACTTCTCTCCTTCTCTTACTCTGAAGGGCTTAATTTAAATTTGCTTTGTGGATTAACGTATTGAGAATGATTTAGGGAGTTCCTTACCTAAAAAATGTTTTCCCTCATCTGCACACTGTCGCTTGAAATTTATTTCACAGGAGAGGGAGCCGTAACCATAGGCAGTGTGGTATTATGAAAGGAGTACTGGCTCTTCACTATGGGTTTACTGTGGTTTGCTGAGGGTAGTTGAGTGGGTGAGAAAGTCACTTAGCTGCCCCAAGCCTCACTTTTCTCCATCGGAAAATTAAGTAGCCATGTAATACATGAAAGAGAGAATGTTGTGAAAACACTTTGAGAATGCAAAGGCCAAGTGAAAACATATGTCCGTACAAAAGCTTGTGTGTGAATGTTCAGAGCAGCATTATGTTTAACAGACAAAAAGTGAAACACCCCAGATGTCCATCAGCTAATGAGTGGATCAACAAAATGTGGTCTGTTCATACGATGGAATAGTAGTTGGCAATAGAAAGGATTGAAGCACTCATACCTGGTACAACATGGATGAACTCTGAAAACATGCTAAGTGGAAGAAGCCAGACACAAGAGACCATGTGCTTCATGATTTTACTTATGTGAAATGTCTTCAATAGGCAAATCTTTTTGTTTTTTGTTTTTTGTGAGACTGAATCTCACTCTCTTGCCCAGGCTGGAGTGCAGTGGTGCGATCTTGGCTCACTGCAACCTCCACCTCCCAAGTTCAAGCGATTCTCCTGCCTCAGCCTCCTGAGTAGCTGGGAACAGGTGTGTGCCACCATGCCCGGCTGATTTTTTTTTCTGAGACGGTGTCTTGCTCTGTCGCCCAGGCTGGAGTGCAGTGGCACGATCTTGGCTCACTGCAAGCTCTGCCTCCCGGGTTCACGCCATTCTCCTGCCTCAGCCTCCTGAGTAGCTGGGACTACAGGCGCCTGCCACCATGCCCGGCTAATTTTTTGTATTTTTAGTAGAGATGGGGTTTCACCGTGTTAGCCAGGATGGTCTCAATCTCCTGACCTCATGATCCGCCCGCCTCGGCCTCCCAAAGTGCTGGGATTACAGGCGTGAGCCACCGCGCCTGGCCACGCCCGGCTAATTTTTATATTTGTAGTAGAGATGGGGTTTCACCACGTTGCCCAGGCTGGTCTTGAACTCCTGACCTCAAGTGACCCACCCGCCTCGGCCTCCCAAAGTGCTGGGATTACAGGTGTGAGCCACTGTACCTGACCCCCAGTAGGCAAATCTATACAGGCAGAAGGTAGATTTGGGGTTGACTGGGGCTCCAGCTGGGGAGAATGGAGTGGGAATGAGGAATGACTGCTAATGTGTATGGGGTTTCTTTTTGGGTGTTGAAAATGTTATAACGTTAGATTGTGATGATTAGTTACACAACTCTGAATACACTAAAACTCTGTATACTTCATTTAGAGACAGTCTTGCTCTATTGTTCAGGTTGGGGAACAGTGGTATAATCATAGCTGACTGTAACCTGGAACTCCTGGGCTCAAGTAATCCTCCCCACCTCAGCCTCCGGAATAGCTAGGACTACTGGTGCATACCACCACAGCTGGCTAATTTTTAAAAATGTTGCCACTCAAGATGTGTGGCCCTGGATCAAAATGGTGAAATTCTCTGAACTAATTTTTCTCATCTGCAGAAATAGGAGTAATAATAATAACAGTCATATCTAACTGGAGGTGTGAGGCTGTGGTAAGCAAACTTACAATGCTTACAGTATGTGAGGATTCTGTCAGTGTGCTTTCTTTCCTTCTTTTCCAGAACATAGAGGATGGAGGAGCAGGCCTTAAGAGGGAAAGACACAGAAGATGCAATAGAGAGCCTTGTAGCTCTTTTTTGTCTGTCTCTCCCTCTCTCTCAAAATAAAGCCTATGTAGAGGTATTTTTTTGTCTGATACAGCTGCATGTGTTTGCAGTTTAGTAGGAACTTTGTGGTTAAACCATGCTTTCTAAGATTTTCTTAAAAGGCCAACCTTGTTGCCAGATGATACCATTAATCAAGTTATTCAAGTTATTGTCACATAGGGCTTCAGGCAGGAAGGAAGGTTAGGAATGGTCTTTAGTCTCATAGAATGAACTCCCTTTTGGTCTGAGTGTCTCCTTCAGTAGGAAGGGATGTGATGTTAATTGACCAGTCTTTAGGGGGGAAATAGATGACCCCCACCATCCGGATACTCAGTTTTTATTCTTTTTTTTTTTTGAGATGGAGTTTCGCTCTTGTTGCCCAGGCTGGAGCGCAATGGCTCGATCTCGGCTCACCGCAACCTCCGCCTCCCAGGTTCAAGCAATTCTACTTCAGCCTCCCGAGTAGCTGAGATTACAGGCATGCATCACTACGCCCGGCTAATTTTTGTATTTTTAGTAGAGACGGGGTTTCCCCATGTTGAGGCTGGTCTCGAACTCCTGACCTCAGGTGATCTGCCCGCCTCAGCCTCCCAAAGTGCTGGGATTACAGGCATGAGCCACAGCACCCGGCCTCTTTTCTTTCTTTCTTTCTTTCTTTCTTTCTTTCTTTCTTTCTTTCTTTCTTTCTTTCTTTCCTTTCTTTCCTTTCCTTTCTTTCCTTTCTTTCCTTTCTTTCTTTCTTTCTCTTTCTTTCTTTCCTTCCTTCCTTCCTTCCTTCTTTTCTTTTCTTTTCTTTTCTTTTCTTTTTTTTCTTTTCTTTTCTTTCTTTTTTTTTTTTTTTGAAAGAGAGTCTCGCTCTTTCGCCCAGGCTGGAGTACAGTGGTGCGATCTTGGCTCACTGCAACCTCCGCCTCCCGGGTTCAAGCGATTCTTGTGCCCCAGCGTACTGAGTAGCTGGGATTACAGGTGCACAGCACCACACCCGGCTGATTTTTGTGTGTTTTTGTAGAGATGGGGTTTCGCAGATACTCCATTTCAGTTTTTTTCTGAGCAACGTCTCCAGGGACTGAAGCACACATACTTTGACAACAGAATCACCAGCAATGTCACTGACCTAGGGTGTCTGCAGCATTCAGTGTCTTCTATTTTCTGTACTAGGTGTTTTCTGTACTGTTTGTAAAGCAGGAAATATCTTTTTTTTTTTTTTTTTTTGGAGACAGAGTCTTGCTCTGTCACCCAGGCTGAAGTGCAGCGGTGCGATCTTGGCTCTCACTGCAGCCTTGACCTCGTGGGCCCGAGCAGTCCTCCCACCCAGCTTCCTGAGCAGCTGGGCCTGCAGACCCACCCCACCACACCCAGCTAACTAAAAAAATTTTTTTTTTAGTAGAGCCAAGGCCTTGCTATGTTGCCCAGGCAGGCCTGAAGGTGCTTTTAAACTCAGATAAGCAGGACATTTGTAGCTGTGGAAATAGCTGTAATCTAACCATCAGAGTTGTTTTAAGGATACAAATTACATATAGTGTTTAAAGCATAATGAATGTACAGGTTGCTAGATTGGGTTTTACTCTGTTCTTTCTGTAACTTTTTAGAAGTTGGTCACTTACTTTTTTTTTTTTTTTTTTTGAGACAGGTTCTCACTGTGTTGCCCAGGCTGGAGTGCAGTGGCACGATCTTGGCTCCCTGCAACCTCTGTCTCCCAGGTTCAAGCAATTCTCCCACCTCAGCCTCCCCAGTACCTGGGATTATAGGCGCCCACCACACCCAGCTAATTTTTATAATTTTAGTAGAGATAAGGGTTTCACCATGTTGGCCAGGCTGGTCTCAAACATCTGACCTCAGGTGATCTGCCCACCTCAGCCTCCCAAAGTGCTGGGATTACAGGTGTGAGCCACCGGCGTCTTTTTCTAGTATAAGTGTTTAAGGCTATATAGCTCTCTAGAAGCATCTCTTTAGTGAAGCCAATAGTTTCCAACTGTAATATTTTTGTTAGTAATGTATATTTAAATTTTCATTATGATTTCTTTTTTGGCCCATAAATTATTTTAAAATGTACCTTTAAATTTCTAAATATATGGTTTGAAGAAACTCTTCTGTTATTATGTTGTTTTTTTTTCTTTCAGACTGAGTTTTGCTCTCGTCACCCAGGCTGGAGTGCAATGGTGCAATCACGGCTCACCGCAACCTTCGCCTCCCAGGTTCAAGCGATTCTCCTCCCTCAGTCTCCCAAGTAGCTGGGATTACAGGTGCCCGCCACCACGCCTGGCTGGTTTTTGTATTTTTAATAGAGACAGGGTTTCACCACATTGGCCAGGGTGGTCTTGAACTCCTGACCTCAGGTGATCCACCTGCCTCGGCCTCCAAAAGTGCTGGGATTAAAGGCGTGAGCGACCGCGTCTGGCCGTTATTATGTTTTAATTGCATTGCACCCGGAGAAATGGCTTGTGTGCTGCTGATTCCCTGGAATTTGTTGTGATTTTCTTTATTGCCAGATATGACATGAATGTTTATAAACATTCCTTGTATTCTAAAGAATATGGGCTGGGTGCAGTGGCTCATGCCTGTAATCCCAGCACTTTAGGAGGCTGAGGTGGGCGGATCACCTGAGATCAGGAGTTTGAGACCAGCTTGGCCGACATGGTGAAACCCCATCTGTACTAAAAATACAACAAAATTAGCCCAGTGTGGTGGCACACGCCTGTAATACCAGCTACTCAGGAGGCTGAGGCAGGAGCATTGCTTGAACCTAGGAGGCGTAGGCTGCAGTGAGCCAAGATCATGCCACTGCATTCCAGTCTGGGCGACAGAATGAGACTCCATCTTAAGAAAGCAAGCAAGCAAGCAAGAAAGAAAGAATATGTATTTAATTTGTGTGAGAAAGGGAGGTGCAAGGTTCTGTATATCTCTAATGATCTAACTTTTTGCTTGCATTGCTCATATTTCCTATTTACTGTTACTGACTTGAGCAATGTGGTAGATTATTATGGTAATCTCATTATGGTAGATTTGTCAGTTTCTCTGTGAGTTCTAGCAATTTTTGGTTCATATATGTTGACAGTATTTTATTAGGTGTGAATAACCTTATACTTTTCATCTTCCTGTTGAGCTGTACTTAGGTTTATGGCCTTTTCCATTCCGAATAAATGCTTTTATTTTCTTGGTCTTCATTGTCTGATATTAATATAATTACTCCAGCTTTGTTTTGTTTGGTGTTTGCCTGGTATTTGTATTTTTGTCCATTTATTTTCAGACTGTCTGTGTTCTGTTTCATGGGTATATTAGTTTTTTGTGGCTCCTGTAACAAGTTACCACATACGTGGTGCTTTAAAACAGCAGAAATTATTCTCTCATAGTTCTGGAGGCCAGAAGTTTGAAAACAATATCACTGGACCAAAATCAAGGTGTCACTAGGGCTGTGCATTCTTCCTCTGGAGGTCGTATGGGAGAATCTGTTCCTCGCCTCTTCCAGCTTCTCATGGCTGCCACATTCCTTGGCTGTGGCTGCATCACTCCAATCTTTGTGACCCAGGTCAGATTGGTTTCTTGTCTTCTGTGTGGTTAAATCTCCCCCACCTCGATTTTATAAGGATACTGGTGATTACATTCAGGGCCCACCCAGGTAATCCAGGATAATTTCACAATCCCAAAATACTTAATTATATCTGTAGTCTTTGCCATATAAAGTAATATTTACAGGTTCCAGGCATTATTCAGACCTGTTAACTTGGGGACCGTTACTCAGCTTACTAAAAGAGTGTCTCTTATAAGTTACCTGTAATTTCTGTCTTTTAACTGGCATAATTTAGTACATTTATGTTATGATTCAGATAAATTTGTACTTTCTTTATCATCTTAGGTTTTGTATTCTGTTTGTCTTTTCTCCCCATGCTTGCCTTTTTAAACAACTGGGAGTTGTTTGTTTTTCTTTATATTCTTCCATCTTTTGGTTTGGAAATGACATACTCTTAATATTCTTTTAGTGATTACCCTTGAAATTTTGCTATGCATATTTAACGAAGTCTAAAACTAATATTCTGTCGCCCTCCTAGATACAGCAAAGGCATGAAAGTTCTTTAATTCCAATTATTCAACTCTCAAGTTACATGCTGCTGTTGTTCAGTGTTTTAGTCCAGACTTTTTTTTTTTCTTTTTAAAGAGACACAGTCTTGCTCTGACACTCAGACTGGAGTGCACAAGTTTTTTTCTTTTCTTTTTTTTGAGACAGGTTCTCACTCTGTTGCCCAGGCTGGAGTGCAGTGGCGCGATCACAGCTCACTGCAGCCTTGACCTCCTGAGCTTTAGTGATCCTCCCACTTCAGCCCCCAAGTAGCTGGGACTACAGGCACATGCCGCCATGACCAGCTATTTTTTGTATTTTTTTGTTGAAACAGGGTTTTGCCATGTTGTGTAGGCTAGTCTCAAACTCTGGGACTCGAGATCTGCCTGCCTCAGTCTCCCAGAGTGCTAGGATTACAGGCGTGCACCACCATTGGGCATGGTGGTGCATGCCTGTAGTCCCAGCTACTCGGAAATTATTTCACACAAGTTCTTTTTTAAAAAAAAAAAAAAAAATAGAGACGAGTCTTACTATTATGTTGCCCAGGCTGGTCTTGAATTCCTGGGCTCAAGTATCCTCCCACCTCAGCCTTCCAAAGTGCTAGGATTACAGGCATGAGCCACCACTCCCAACCTTCACCTAAGTTCTTGAAAGATAATTTTGCTTGATATAGAAATCCAGATTGACAGTTATTTCTTTTCAGCATTTTGGAGTTATCCTACTGCTCTCTACTTTTGTTGTTTCTGTTGGCAAGTTTGGCAGTAGTCGGTTTGTTATTCCCTTGTAGGTGATCTGTCTTTTTTTCTTCTGGCTTCTGTTAGAATTTTCTTTTCTTTATTTTGGCCTTGGCTATTCTGCATATTCATTACAATGTGTGTAAGGTATGGATTTATCTTTATTTATTTTGCTTGGTTTTTGTAGATTCATGTCTTTCAGCTCTGGGAAGTTGTCAGCCATTTTCTTTTGGAATATTTACTGTTCCCTATTTATTATTTCTGCATGTTACTCAAGTAAATGGTTACTAGAGTTTTTTTTTTTTTTTTTTTTTTCCTGAGACGGGGTCTTGCTCCGTTGCTCAGGCTGGAGTGCTGTGGCATGAACTCTGCTCACTGCAACCTCCACCTCCTGGGTTCAAGTGATTCTCTCGTCTCAGCCTCCAAGTAGCTGGGACTACAGGCGTGCACCACCATATCTGGCTAATTTTTGTATTTTTAATAGAGATGGGGTTTCACCACGTTGGCCAGGCTGGTCTCAAACTCCTGACCTCAGGTGATCTGCCCACCTTGGCCTCCCGAAGTGCTGGAATTACAGGTGTGAGCCACCACACCCAGCCAACGTTCTTATTCTGTTATTTTTTATTTTTTATTTTTTTTGAGATGGAGTCTTGCTTTGTCGCCCAGGCTGGAGTGCAGTGGCGGCATCTCAGCTCACTGCAACCTCCACCTCCTGGGTTCAAGCAATTCTTCTGCCTCAGCCTCCTGAGTAGCTGGGACTACAGGCTCATGCCACCACGCCTGGCTAATTTTTTGTATTTTTAGTAGAGACAGGGTTTCACCATGTTAGCCAGGCTGGTCTTGAACTCCTGACCTCATGATCTGCCTGTCTCAGCCTCCCAAAGTGCTAAGATTACAGACGTGAGCCACCACACCCGGCCAGGGCAATTTTTTCAAAGCTGTGTTTTAATTCGCAAATTCCTCTTTGTATCTAAGCTGTTACTCATTTTTTGACCTAAAAATTCAATTTAAATTTCTTTTATTCTAAAAGTTAGCAGGTGTGGTGGTGCTCCTGCAGTCTCAGAGTCCCAGCTACTCAAGAGGCTGAAGTTAGAGGATCGCTTGAGCCCAGGAGTTTGAGACCAGTGTGGGTAAATCGAAACCCTGTCTCTACATAAAATACAAAAATTAGCCGGACATGATGGGGTGCACTTGTGGTCTGAGCTACTCAGGAGGCTGAGGTGGGAGGATCACTTGAGCTCAGGAGGTGGAGGTTGCAGTGAGCTGAGATTGTGCCACTGCACTCCAGCCTGGGTGACAGAATGAGACCCTGTCTCAAAAAGAAAATCTGAGTGGTAGGGATTTTCAAGTATTTGCCTTAGTTGAGGTCTCCAAATGGAAATAGTGATTGGGCACTAGTTTAAAATGTACAAAAGGTGTATTCAGTGTGAGGTTGGTTCCAAAGTGCACGGTTTGACAGCCCAGGGAGTGAGTGAGGTGTGTTGGTGTGTTTTCCATGATACAGGGGAACTGACTCCAGTATGGCCAGTATACGAGACTTTGGTAAAATCATTACTTTGTTCTGGAACTCTATTTTAGCATCTGTAAAATGACTTCTAAAGTTCCTTCTGGGGCAGAAAATACATGCTTCTAAGGTTCTGTCTCATTGCTTTTTTTTTATTTTAGTAATTTAATAAGCATTTATTTAAGATCTGCTGCATTCAGAGCATTGTGTTAGGAATATTGGAAGTAAAGCATTGTAATAGCTCTTGCCTTCAGTAAGCTTGCAGTCTGGCAGTTGGATTAAAAAAATGACCATACGAAGCCGTGATAACAGCCTCTAGGAGGGAACTCTACTATGTGGTGGAGATATGTGTCCCCCTGCAAATACCAAGAAAGACAGTTAATTAGTGTCCATTACAGAATGTTCTTCTGGTGTCCTTTTTAAAGAGATTCAGTCAGTCTTTAAAGATGATGCTATTGCTGCTACTGCTAATAATAATAGTGATAGCTACCACTTACTGTTTACTATGTACCTTGTGCTAAACACTTGACATAAGTTAACTCGTTTAATCTTAAACCAAGGAAGTAGATAATGATTCTCATTTTACAGATGAAGAAACTGAAATAGACAGAGATGAAGAAATGTGCCTAAGGTTACGCGGTTTAGTGAACTGGGATCAGAACCTGGGTTCTCTGGCCTTAGACTATAAACCATAGATAGGAATTGAGCACATTTATTAATCAGCATTGCAAGGCTGGTGGAATTTTGATAAACACCCAAACCAGATTCTTTTCTGCACTAGTGATACCAGACAGATTTTGGAAATATAAACAGGATAGGGTGCATTAAAGTTCACTCACATTTGTTCAGTTAAACAGATGGTTGGCTTATCTTTAGTTGCTTCACTCAGTCATTTCCAAAACCACACCCAAGGCCAGGCAGTGGCTCATGCCTGTATTTCTAGCAGTTTGGGAAGCTGAGGTCAGAGGATCACTTGAAACCAGGAGTTTGAGACCAGCCTTGGCCACGTAGTGAGACCATGGCTCAACAAACAAAGAATAATAAACATATTTACTATTATGGGACGTCTATGTGCCAGACATTGTGCTAGACATTTTACATTTATTATTTCTAATTGCCCCAACAACCTGGGAACATATCACCGAGTGTATTTTATTACAAATGTGGAAACTGAAGTACAGAAGACAATAAGCCTATGAAGTGATCGTAGGGCGTTGCTGGTACAAAGTCAAAACCTGCATCATTGGGCCCTGCGCCTCTATGTCTGTGGGGAGAAGGGATTGTTGATGATGTGATAGCTGGAAAACATACCATTCATCAAAATAAATCCCAGGTGGATTAAAAAGAAATGTTTAAAATTATAGAGGCACTGTGGAGAAAAAGCAAAATAAAATGTTTATCAGAGATAACGCCTTAACATTTTCTTGGAACATTTTATTAGATGTGTGCCTGGGAAGGAATGATAACTTTCTTTTTAAAACCAGAAGAAATCACAAAGGAAAAGGTTTGTCAACCTAAATATGCAAAATGTTAAAATATTTTCTTATTGAAAAATAAAATTATAGAAGATAGTAGTCTGAGAATGACAAATATGATAAAAGGGTCAATACCTGTACTATTTTTTTCAGATGTGTAGAAATAAATACATCAAGATCTCAACAGATATGTGTACAAAGGAAATCATAGGCCATGGGAAATTTTAAATGTAAATAAGCATATAAAAAAATTCATGCTCACATACTGAGAGAGATGCCAAATAAAGTAGACATTTCTACACTCCAGCCTTGGCAACCGTGAGACCCTGTCTCAAAAAAGCAAAACCAAAGCAGACATTTCCCATCTACCAAAACAGAGAAATTTTAGTGATAGCCTCTGCTTCCTTTTCGGAGTATGTAAGCCAAAAGGAAATGAAACTTTTTATTTAATCCTCACCCATTTTGGAGGTTTTCTTTACTGTAAGGTTTCCTTTCCAGTGTCAGGCTTAACCTTCAAGCAGTTACCACTTTAGACACATTGTTTGCTGCCATTTCATTCAGCAGCTGCGTTATTCATAAGATCACTTTATAATGACATACTTTTCCATCTTACTGTTTTATAATTATTAAATGGTTCCCCTGATATTGCTCCATTTTTTTTTTTTTTCAGGAGAAACATTCTCAGGTTAGTACTGTTAATCCCTCCTTACGTGTTTAATTAGATTATAGAGTGTTGGTTTTTTCCTTCCTTATAAAATCTTACGTAGAGTTTTCTATACTGATGTGTCTGGTCAACCTGTGCTTCCTGACTTAGCTGAGTCTTCCTGCAGTCTTTATGGGGTTTCATAAAGTGAGCAGGTACCATGCTCACTTAGTTATAACTTCCCTGAGGTCTAGAAATCTCCTTTTCTTCTTTTCTTATTGTCCTACCTCTGGGAGTTGTTTGTGTGAGCTTTAGTCTCCAAATCGAGTCATCTAGAGGCAGACATACTAGCTACGTTTGCTTTATCAACTTTGGGAATTGACGTGATTTTGGAAACATAAGACCTTCTTAATTCAGAGATACAAAACCCAATTTGATATGCAGATTGTCCATTTGCAGTCTGGAATTTCCTTGTGAGTGGCGAACTTGTGAGTGAAATTTGGAGTGTTTTAGTTTGTTGCTGTACTCCAAGGGTCTCTTCAGTCGGACGTCAGTTGTGATTGAATGAAGCAAAGCAAAGGTTTTTCTTAGTCATATGCCTCTAGAAACAAAACTTAGATTAGCGTTGTTAGTCCAAAATGTTAGATCTGGAAATGTATTTGTTCTTCCATATGTATTAATTGAGAGACTATTACGTGACAGCTCTGTGAATACAGTAGTGAATGAGACAGACCAGTTTCTTGTCCTCTTGGGAGTTTTATTATACTAGGGGAGATAGTTTATTTCTGACAGTAATACTAAGAGTTAACACTTAAGTACTTCCTATTTGTCAGGCACTTATTCTAAGCATTTTACATGCATTAACCTGTTGTTAAACTCATATTTCAAATGTGGAAACTTCCACCAGGGAAGTTAAGAAATCTTGCCAAAATTACAGAGTCAGTAAGTGGCTGAGCTGGAGTTTGAACTCAAGCAGTCTAGCTCCAGAGTCTGTGCCCTGATAGTGATGGTAAGTACTTTGAAGGGTAAGAAAACACAAAAAGTCCAGGGTGATTTGAGAGAGCTGGGAGTGGGGACTATTCTAAATAGGGTGGGCAGGGAAGCAAACTTCAAAATTTCCAGTTGAAATTTGACCTGCAGCCTAACTGATAAGGACTAAGGCATTCAAAGTAGCTGGAATAAATTCTTTGTTCTAGGCAGAGAGGACAGCAAGTACAAAGACTCTGAGGCAGGAAGGGGCTGGGAGTGTTTGAGGACAGAAGGGAGACTAGTGTGTCTGGGAAATGGTGAGCAAGGGAGCGTGGGGGCTGGGGGCCAAAATGGGAAGGCCCCTGCATATTGGGGTCAAGAGTGCAGATTTTATTCTAGGGACTGTGGGAAGCCATTGAACTCTTGGCCCCAAGTGGTCCTTGGCCTCCCAAAGTGCTGGGATTACAGGCATGAGCTACCACTCCCAAATTAAGTAGGGTGCGACATTTAAATATATTAATACCTTTATGGAGAATGAATTATTAAGAGTTTATGAGTTTAGATACAGAGAGACAAGACTAGAGATTAAGAGTCTTATTTTGAATAAGTTAGGTTTGAGTAGACTTTAAATATTCAAACAGATGTTTTGTTGGCATTTGGACATACAAGTTTGGCCTCAGGGAAGAGTTTAGGGCTAGAGATAAAAATTTGGGGCCCATTAGTGTATATAAATCAGTGGTTCTCAACTGTGAGTGCACATTTGACTCACCTTTAAAAATGCTCATGCCCAAGCTCCATTCCTAGAGATTCAGATTCTGTGGGTCTGGGTTTGGGTCTAGCCATGGTTTGTTTTAAATCTATCTAGGTGGCTCTAATGTATGACGAGGGCTGAGAACCACTGGTGGAGGTGGTATTTAGAGCCAAGGATGGGCCTGGATCAGTGTGATCCTTTAAGGCAAACTTGTCCAACCTGTTGCCCACATGTGGCCCAGGACAGCTTTGAATGCAGCCTAACACAAATTCGTAAACTTTCTTAAAACATTATGAGATTTAAGTTCATCAACTATCATTAGTGTTAGTGTATTTTATGTGTGGCCCGAGACAATTCTTCTTCCAGTGTGGCCCAGGGAAGCCAAAAGATTGGACACCCCTGGCTTAAGGCAATGGTATAGCTAGGGAAGACAAGCAGCTCAGGGTACTGGGGCAGCCCAGCAGGTAGAAGTTGGATAGAAGAGGTAGAACAGCAAGGGAGACTCACAGCAGTAGCTGGAGAGGTTGGAGGAAAACCAGAAACTGATGTCTGAAAACTGGAAGAGGACAGTGACTCCTGAAAGTGGGAGCAGCTGTGCCAGATGCTGCTGAGAGCTGGTAAAGTGAATGCGCTCAGAAGGAATTGAAACTAGCTTCACTGAATGGGTCTCAGAGGTTCAAACCAGGGTTTTAGGAGCTGTAGATTCAAATCCTACCCCTGACATTAGTTTTCTATTTAAAATTAAACAGGATGCTCTTTTCTTAGCCTCTTTTTATCTTTGCTTATTAACCAAAATGTAACTGAACTGTCTCAATGCTTAAAGAAAGGAGATGATAAACAGACAGCCTTATTCCCCTCTCCCATTCCCAAACAAAAGCCAGTTCTTACCTGGAGTTTTGGCTCTAGCTTTCTCTCTGCCTGGAGTGCCTTTCTGGATATATGGCCACCTGGCCTAGTGCTCTCACCACCTGTTTGTCTGTGAGTCCTTCCTTAGCTGTCCCCTTCTCTGGGAGCTTTCCTTTGCTCTTCCTACTTAATGATGTGACTCACCTCCCCACCCCCTGGACTCCCAGTTCCCTACCCATAGCACTTGTCGCCTTCTAACAGACTGTGTGATTTACTTATTTATCATGTTTATTGCCTGGCTTCCCTGCAGGAATGTAAGAAATCTTTGTTTTGTTCATTGATGTCCCCTGAGAATGTGGATTGCTGAGCAATGCCTGGTCTATAGCAGCCTCACAGTTAGTGCTTGGTAGATATTTGGTGACTGAGTGCTGACTCCATGAAAATGATTGTCATCCTTTGACTCTGCTCCAGTTGCATTTGAAAAGTTGCATGGGATCTGCCACTTCTCTCCATGACCCAACTATAGAGACTTCTGGAGTGTGGCTTCTCCCCTCTACCTCAGTACTGTCATGCCTATTGAATTTTTTTGAGACAGAGCTTCACTCTGTCACCCAGGCTAGAGTGCAGTGGGATGGTCATGGCCCACTACAGCCTCTACTAGGCTCAAGTGATCCTCTCACCTCAGACTCCTAAGTAGCTGGGACTACAGGTGCATGCCACCACGCCCAGCTAATTTTTAATTTTTTTTTTTTTTTTTTTTGGTAGAGCTAGGGTTCTGCCATATTGCCCAGGCTAGTCTCAAACTCTGGGCTGAAGCAATCTGCCCACCTCTGCCTCCCAAGGTGCTGGGATTACAGTTGTGAGCCACTGTACAAGGCTTTACTTGGAATTTTTAGACTTCAGAAATTATTTGAATGTTAATATAGGAAAGTGGTAGTAATAATTAGAAGCAAATTATATATATGAGAAACAGTATTTAATGTATTTTGGAGACCAAGTGTTATGACAGGGATCAGAAATTTTCAGTTGTCACTGACAGTAAAAATCATTGCAAGAAGCAATTTGGTGCTGTGGAAAGTTCATAGGCTTGGAAGCCAGGATACTTGGTTCTTAGGTTTGTCCAGTAATCTTAGCCACCCTACAGTGAGTGTCTGCTGTCTGCCAAACACTCTAAATGCTTTCCAGACAGCATTTTTGATTTTACTGTATCACTCATGGTTGCCATTACTACACCTTGTTTTTTTTTGTTTTGTTTTGTTGTTTTGTTTTCTAAGAGATAGGGTCTCACTGTGTTGCCCAGGCTGGTCTCAAACTCCTGGGCTGAAGAGATCCTCCTGCCTCAGCCTCCCAAGTAGCTGTGAGTACAGTCATGAGCCACTGTGCCTGGCTACTATACCCTGTTTATAGATGGAAAAACTGAGTCCCAGAGAAAAGATAAGAAAGAAAAGATTCTATTCTGATATGAACAGAATCATTTTGGAGTGGAGACCATGTGGGGCACATTTAACCCCTATACACTGTCAACTAGAGAGTTTGGTTAACTTACTGTCTCTACCTTAGGGTAAGACACAATCTCCGAGGACCTACATTTTATGACCTGTGAGATCAGGATAAGGCTATCCTGCTAAAACACTTAAATAACAGAATTTATGGCCGGGCGTGGTGGCTCACGCCTTTAATCCTAGCACTTTGGGAGGCCGAGGTGGGCAGATTTCCTGAGTTCAGGAGTTCGAGAACAGCCTGGGCGATACGGTGAAACCCCATCTCTACTAAAATACAAAAAATTAGCTGGGCGTGGTGGCGTGTGCCCGTAGTCCCAGCTGTTCGGGAGGCTGAGGCAGGAGAATTGCTTGAACCCGGGAGGCGGAGGTTGCAGTGAGCCAAGATCGTGCGTGCCATTGCTCCACCCTGGGTGACAGAGCGAGACTCCGCCTCAAAAAACAAAACAAAACAAAACAAAAAACAGGATTTATATTGTAAAATATAAAACTTTAAACAAATGTTTTGTATCATTATGCTGCTGAAAATACAATGTTCCAACAGTGTCCTCTGTTCATTTTATACTCACAGTGATGCTTATTATTTTATTTATTAGAATGTATCTGAGATGCCAAGTTCAGGAGATTTTTGGAGTCCTGCTCTGTGTGCCCTTCTGCCAGGTGGCCCTATGCTTATAATCACTCTTAGGTGTTTACACTTCCTTCCTTTTTCTTGTCAGGGTCCCTGGCTCCCTCTGGAGTCTACTCTCCAGGAGGTGGGGGGCGCTGATGTCAGCAGGGAAGGGGGGCTTATTGCTCTCAGTGATGCTTATTATTTTATTCACGTTCTTAATGGTTTGAGTTTTTGGTTTTTTAAGAGATGGGGTCTTGCTTTGTTGCCTGGCTGGATTTGAACTCCTGGACCCCATTGTGCCTCACTTGTTTTATTTTTCAAATTTTATTATTTTGTAAATTTCCCTTTTATAAATTAATCTTTAAAAATGTGTGTGTGTATATCTATGAACAAATAAAGGATCTCCTGGTCATCTCTGTCCCCATCCACCCAGCTCCCTGTTCCTCCTTACAAGTAAATCACCATTGTAAGTTGTATATTCTTCCTGCATTTCTTTATGCAAATAGAAGGAAATGTGAATGTTTTTCTTATTCTCTTCCTTCTCCCCACAAAAGATGCCATACATACACTATTTTCTCTTGTTTTTTTTTTCCTGCCTGACAGTATTTCCTTGTTTTTGTGAAGACTAGACCATCTAAAATTTTGTGTACTCATAATTACTTGATAGCATAAAGACTTTCAAGTCTCCATCAGCTGACACAATTAATTTTCAATGAACATACCTTTGGCAAGTCTTCTTAGGCTTATTTTTGTGATTTTTAAATGCTTCCTGCCTAGCTCTAAAAAGGAAAACCTGGCACCATCCTCAGAAGTTTCAGAGTTAATGAAGTATCTCATGTCTCAGCCTTTGCGTGTACAGAATAAATACGTTTTTCTCAGTTCACTTACCCATTGTGGTGTTCTCAGTTTATGAGCCCTTGCTATAATTTTCAAAGCTTTCTTTTATCATTTGTCTTTCAGATAAAACAACTGCTTCACAACTAGGAACTTTTAGTTGTTGATTATTAAATTCTGTCAAAACTGCCTGTTTGTTTTTTGTGGTCAGTATTTTAATCTCCCTTATCTACAATCCTGCCAAACTTCCCTACCTTCCCCCTGCTCCAGAAAAATAAAATCCAACTCAAACCTTACTTAGCAAACCACCCTCACAGAGTGAAATTCAGAAAAAAAATTTTGTTTCAATAAAAAGATTTTGAAAGATTTCATCACTTCAACAAAACTATAGTTAAAAAATTAAAATATTATATTAATTGAAGGACAGTAACAGTATAATGAGGGAGCAAAAATAGAGAAAGTAGCTGACATTGCCAGAAGATAAGTCAAATTCTGCTTTTTCCCACATGTAATTGTTCAGGACATGTGGCTCAGAATATGTGAATTAGTATAGTAACTACAGCAGAGTCTCTCTGGGTTGTGTTATTTGCTCAATTGCGAGATAGCATACTTATAAAATTATTTCTAGATTCACTCCTGAAATCTTAACTGCAGTCTGCTTTGTGGAATTTCTTCTTGGAAGAACTTGTTTAAGAGTATGCTGATTGATATTTGTTCATGGGCCATCTGAAGATTCTGGATGTTATTTTATTTTATTTTTTGAGGCAGTCTCCCTCTGTTCCCCAGGCTGGAGTGCAGTAGCACAATCTCGGCTTACTGCACCCTTCGCCTTCCGGGTTCAAGCAATTCTCCTGCCTCAGCCTCTGGAATAGCTGGGACTACAGGCACGCACCATCACACCCAGCTAATTTTTTGTGTGTGTGTATTTTTAGTACAGACGGGGTTTCACCATGTTGGCCAGGCTGGTCTCAAAGTCCTGACCTCAGGTGATCTGTCCGCCTTGGCCTCCCAGAGTGCTGGGATTACAGGCGTCAGCCTCTGTGCCTGGCCTGGAGGTTATTTTAAATCGTTTTTTTTTTTTGGGATGAAAACAAATTTTGTTAAAATTAGTAATACAGAATGATTTTGTGTTCTTTTATCATTCATTCATTTACCAAATATTTATTGAGGCCTGTTCTGTGCTAAATGGTGGGGAGATGGTGCTGAACTACACAGAAGAGCCCCAGTATGCCTGCTAGCTCTTCCCGTGTTTACATTTTGATTTTCTGTGCTGCAATACAGTAGATGAGCTTGGCATTGAGAGTGAGTAGTCTTGGATTTAGGTTTTGAGCCGGCCATTTATTTATTGTGAGACCTCTGAAGCTTAAAACTCTGAGCCAGCACACCTGTAATCCCAATACTTTGGGAAGCCAAGGTGGGTGGATTGCTTGAGCCCAGGAGTTCAAGACCAGCCTGGGAAACTTGGTGAAACCCCATCTCTACAAAAAATATAATAATTATCTGGGCATGGTGGCACGCTCCTGTAGTCCCAAGCTACTTGGGAGGCTGAGATGGGAGGATCACTTGAGCCCGGGGGCAGAGGTTGCAGTGAGCCAACATCACGCCACTGCACTTCAGCCTGGATGACAGAGCAAGACCCAGTCTGAAAAAGAAAGAAAGAAGGAAAACCCACAAAAACACTGAGTCAGTCTTGATCTGCACATGGAGGAATCTTGCAGGGTGGTTGGAATTAACGAGTGTGTGTGAGAACATTGTTCTCTGCAGTGGTCTTTATAGGGTCTTTAGACAATTCGTGGTCACTTTTCTGGATCCCTTGCATTTTCTAGCTGCATTTTCCTCAACTGGGTTTGGGAAAAATTAGGTCTGGAGTTTGGGATGGGGAGCTGTTTTTACTTTACAGGTGAGGTAACTCCATACGTGTTGAAGTTTTATAGGAGTATGAGTGGAACCAACCTCTGATTTTTGGCTCAGTACTGACCCTTGGACTGGAGAGTCCTGTTGTCAGCAACAAGAACACAGTTTAATGAGAAGCAATTAAGAGTGCGGTCTCCAAACCATAGTCTTAATTTCAGATTCTTGCTTCTCCACTTACTGCCTACTAAACCTTAAGCAAGTAACTGGAATATCTCTCATAACATACCATAGGATTAATTAATGCTGTAGTTAAAAGAAAAACAACACCAGCTATGTAATTGTATAAAAGACTTAATAAAATGTGGATGATTTAGGCTGGGAAGCCGTTAACTAACCATTCATCATAAAAGGGAGGAAGCAAGAGGACCCACTTGAGTAGGCTGGGACAAATTGCTGTGGTTCAGTTTTACTTTTTGCTTTTGTTTCTAATTGGAGCTGTTTTGAGACATCCTGATTGTCAGAGAGAATGTGGATTAGAGGGAGGAGGAGGAGCTCTGGAGTCAGGCAGCCCGAGTTCAGACTCCAGCAACCCCATTACTGGCTGCTTAACTGTGTTGTGCCTTATCTGCAGAAAAAATGAGTTAAAACACACATAGTGAGCAGTGATAACTGTAGCTGTGATTATTTGAAAGGGGCCTTTTGAGCAGCTGCTTCTGCAAGAGGACATCCGGAGACACAGGAATAGAAATGATCCGATCAGAGTAATTAAAGGCTTTTAACTGAGCTCTGAGGTCCCAAACAGGGCACACTCCGTCAGCCTAAAGCTGTGAAGAAGAACCTTCAACATAAGGTGGGTGTTCTCTTTTAGGGTGGTGGAGAACTGTGTCATTAGGCTAGTACTGTAAGCAGTGGGGGGTTAGAGCTTAACTACGGTTGTGTTTGGGAGATAGCGCCAGATGTTGGGCTCCCTCCTGCCAGTAGATTACAGGGATTTCCTTTGCATTGGCTGGTGCTGCAGCCTTCCAGTATTGCAGGTTTCCAAGTGTTTGTAATGAATTTCTGGCCAGGGCGTCCATGTCTCTTGGTGCTGGCCAGGGTGTGTGCTGACGGCTGCACTGTTCCCAGCCCTCTGCCTGGATTTAGTCTTCAGTGTCGGAGCCCCCAAGTCTGTTTACAATCTTGTTACTCTTTCCAGCGAACTCTCCACCTTCTGTTTCACTGCGTATTTCCTGACGATGCAGTTTCATTTTGGATGCAGACCTCTTGGAGCCCTTTGTCCCAGGGAAGTTAGATGTCCCTTGTGGCAAATACCCTCCTTCGGGAATAAACAGTCTCATTTGAGCCCCTGCTATGTATGACACACTCCCCCAGGGCCCTTGTACAAACATGAGTTAGAAATGTATTGTCCCTGTATTTCACAGGCCCACAGACCAGTGATGGAGCAAGTATGTACCCAGATAATTTATCCGCATATGATTTGGTCCTGTTTGAAAGTGGCCATGGGAGAGGTGGGAATGGTGTATGTTGACACACAGGAGTCCAGGTGCCAGGCTTGGGGCGTGGGGAACCTTCATAGAGCGGGAAGCATTCGAGTTGGATATTGAGAATGAGTGGGGGCTGAAAGGTTTAGAATAGAGAGAATAGTTAAATTAGGTCATTAAAAATATGTGGAACACCTGCTGGGTGCCAGGTACTGCATGTGAAATCAGACGACGGTTGACTGCGCTCACTCTGCTGTGTTTTCTGTGCTACTCCCTAAAGCTCAGTAGATGTTTATTCACCAGGTGACTGCTGCCTTCCCCAAGCCACCTGGCAGTCACGTTTTACCTCTGAAATCATCTCAGTGAAGCTTTCCTGACAGCCCCTCTCTATGAGTTTCCTAGAGCTGCTGTAACAAAGTGCCACAGACCAGGGGCTTAAACAACAGTAATGTGTCATCTCACAGTTCTGGAGGCTAGAAGTCTAAGATCAGGGTGTGGGCAGGGCTGGTTCCTCCCGAGGCTGTGAGGGAGAATGGGCCCCATCCTAGCTCGGTAGTCGGCAGTCCTTGGCGTTTCTTGGCTTGAGGAAGCACTGCGTCCACCTCTGCCTTCATCTACACTTAGTTCTCCCTGTGCGTGTCTCTTTGTCCGCATTTTCCGTTTTATAAGGACATAAGTCATTTTGGATTAGGTCTGCCTTGTGGACCCCATCTTAACTAATTACATCTGTAGCGACCCTATTTCCAAATAAGGGCATATTCTGAGGAACTGGGGGTTAGGGCTTCAACATGTGAATTTTGGGGAGTGGACACAGTCCAACTCATAATATCCTCTCTCAGTTCTTTCTACCTCCCACTCATGGACACTTTCCCCCTGCTGATATACTGTAAGTGGAGTTCTGTCATGCACTGAGAGAATTTTGTTTGTTATCTCCTGCTCTTCGTATTTTTCAGTCTCTGGTGCCTTGCATGTAAGGTGGAAGGTGTCTCCAGTGCAAATTTATTATGCGCCAGGAGTTAGTAGAAATAAGGGAAGATACTGCAGAGATCACCTCTCTTCTTGGTCTCCTATTGACAATTCCAAAGGCTCTCTGGAGTCGGGTGCCAGGTGGCCAAGGACATTACCAGGGGATACCACTTTCATTATCTCCTTTTTCCCACGGAGCAGTAATTCATTATTAGCTGACAATCAAAGAGCATTAGAAATCTGACAAGATCCTTTGGGTCCTCTAGCAGGCATTTTACACGGAGGCTTTCTTTAATGGCTCTCTTCTTCCTAGTTTCAGCCGTAAGTTTTCATGTTCCAGCTTTAGGGATTCAAAAGTAAATCATGTGAATGCTGGGAATAGTTACCCTTAGCAAAGATGTCTGTGCCAGAAGGGAGATGCCAATAAATAATTGAATCTGTCCAAAAGTTTCAGAATTCCCTCATTATATATTTGAGAGAAGCAAAAATTTGTCTGGTATCTGACCTGAGGTTTAGTTACACATTAATAAAGATGGATCATCCCAGGGCTGCAGTACTTCTGCTAAGAAAGAATATTCCAGCATAACCTTTGTTATTTCCGAGTCAGTAAATAATGTACTAGGTAGAGTGGTGTTTTCTGGGACATTAGAAAAGAGACGTTATTTGGACTAAATAGTGCTGTTCAGTCAGGATTTTCTTCAATGCCATTTAGCAAACCAACTGTCCTTAGTCTGTCCAGCTAGCAAGAATTTGTATAATGCAACAGAGAGTGCTGTTCAGTCAGGATTTTCTTCAATGCCATTTAGCAAACCAACTGTCCTTAGTCTGTCCAGCTAGCAAGAATTTGTATAATGCAACAGAGTACTTTACAGTTTTCACACTTTAAATGTCACAGGAGGGGTTCTTCACTAGGCTTCTGGAACCTAGTCTAGCAAAATTAGAGGAAAGGCCCTAAGGAGATTTATCTCTGTTAAGAGAAAAAGTTAACATTTTCAGGCTAAATAGTTGAATCTACTGAAGATAACAAATAATGTCTACTATTTCAACCCTCCAAAGATTGAAGAGTGTTAGGATTGTCATTTGTGTTTTTTTGTGGGGTAGTTGAATAAAATTGGGCAGCTAAAATTTTCAGTTCCATGTGCCTCCTAAACAAAAAACAAAGTAAGTAGTTTGTGAATTGACTGTAGACAAAATAGAAACTATGCTGCATGCTGTTTTTTTTGTAAACAGATGACATTTTCTTTCTTTTTTTTTTTTTTTGAGCTGGAGTCTCGCTCTGTCACCCAGGTTGGAGTGCAGTGGCATGATCTTGGCTCACTGCAATCTGTGCCTGCCGGGTTCATGCCATTCTCCTGTCTCAGCCTCCCGAGTAGCTGGGACTACAGGTGCGCGCCACCACACCCGGCTAATTTTTTTTTGTATTTTTAGTAGAGATGGGGTTTCACCGTGTTAGCCAGGATGGTCTCGATCTCCTCACCTCGTGATCCACCCTCCTCGGCCTCCCAAAGTGCTGTGATTACAGGCGTGAGCCACCGTGCCTGGCCAACAGATGACATTTTCTAACCAGGCACATGCCATCCAATTTACCTGTCGATCATACCATTGTATAAAGCAGCAGAACTGAAGGGGAAATATGATTGTTAAACACACTGAATTGCTTTTATGTCATTTGAGATAGTTGGTGTAAGTGTCTTGACTTTTTATATTTGGAAACATTAAATAAAAACATAAATTTTTTAAAAAGGGATGTTAAGATAGCTGTTCATCCTGATCTTAGTAGTATCAGTCTGAAAAAGCATGCTGAAATATCTTCATCTGAAGGCCGGCAGAGACCAGCTCATGTAAGGTCTGGAGGTGCTTTCTTCTGAGAGCAAGAAGAATCACGGAGCGTTTCAAACACATACAAAATAGACAGCACGGTGTGATGAGTCCTGCTCTAACCTTCATCCAGTGTCAGTGGTTAGCTCATGGCTAGTCTTATGTAACTTCATTTCCCCTTGCCCCCATATAAGTTTTAGGCACATTTCAGATGTCATTTTATCCAGAAACATTTCTGTATCTAATATAATCCTAGTAATACTACACCTAAAATGTAAAACTAATTTCTTAATACCATCAAAATCTAGCTAGTGTTCAAATTTCTAGTTGTCTCAAATGTCACTTTTAGATTTTTATTTTACAGTTTGTTTCAATCAGGATCCTACTAAGGTCCACATATTAGTTCTCAGATTTTAAGCAGAGGAGTGAGTGACATGATCTGACTTACATTAAAACTCTCTATGGCCAAGTTTTAGAGAATGGATTGTTGTGGGGGTTGTTAAGAGACTGGAAGTAGAGAAACCAATTAGGAGGCCGTTGAGTGTCCAGGAAGTGAGTGATGACAACTTGGATTTGAGTGACATCTGGGGGATGGGAGATGTGGAGGAAGCAGATGTCACTTGGGCAGGCCATACTTATTTGTCACGGTTCATCCAGATTTTTGTTTTCTGTTGTCTGTGTTTATTTGAAAATATTGTTCCCAAAGATTTCATTAATTTAGCTATCAATATATTGTTGATGGTGAAATCTTAAAATGTATTACATAAGTAAAATCAAAGCAACATTATAGAATATTGAGATAGAGAAACATTCATCCATACTTTAATCAACTTACTCAAATTTATTCCAGCTTATTTGCCATTATATCATTTTGCCAGTGTATAATTATGGCATTACATAATAGAATAAGAAATATAGTTTGCCACTTAATATGTTTTATACTCTTTTATCTGTATTATGCTAAAGAGTCTCTGTAGTTACATGATATTGTATTGAGCAGATTTTAATGTTTATGTTACATTTATTTATTTGAGTCAGGGTCTTGCTCTGTCACCCATGCTGGAGTGTAGTGGTGCCATCATGGCTCTCTGCAGCCTTGACCTCCCAGGTCGAGTGATCCTCTCTCCTCGGACTCCTGAGTAGCTGAGACTACAGGCGTGTGCCATCACTCCTGGCTAATTTTTTTGATTTTTTTTGTTGAGATGCAGTCTTTACTATGTAAGCTAGACAGCTTGGAACTCCTGGGCTCAAGTGATCTTCCCACATCAGCTTCTCAAAGTGCTGGGATTACAGGCATGAGCCACCACGCCTGACCTGTTCCTACTTTTAAAATTATTTTATTTTAAATTAGTTTAAATTTATTCTAAGATACTATGAAAAATGTTCCAGAAGTTAGTTTTTTGCATGTTTTTCCCTTTCTCTCTCTTTTTTTAACTTTTTGATTAAATAATATTATTATTATTTTTTAAGACGGAGTCTTACTCTGTTGTTCAGGCTGGAGTGCAGCGGCATGACTCAGCTCACTGCAAACTTTGCCTCCCAGGTTGAAGTAATTCTTGTGCCTCAGCCTCCTGAGTAGCTGAGATTACAGGTGCGTGCCCCCACGCCCCGCTAATTTTTGCATTTTTATTAGAAACAGGGTGTCACCATGTTGCCCAGGCTGGTTTCAATCTCCTGAGCTCAGGCATCCACTTGCCTCGGCCTCCCAAAGTGCCAGGATTACAGACATGTGCCACTGTACCCAGCAAATAATAACTTCTCTGTAGAGATTTTACTTGAAAACTAAGTTGATGAAACCTGCAGTCATAATTGATAAAAATGAAGGACAGGTTTGTACTGCAAAGTAGAATTATGCTTAATCTTGATTACTGGGCTCAGAATGTGTATACTTTCATTTTGATTTACATTTATAGACTTCCTTATTGAAGGAATGGAGCATGTATATACCTGGCCTGCAGTGTTTATCTTATCCCATTCACACAGCAATTTGTAACTAGGGGAAAGTAATACCTGCCTTATCTTAAATATGATGGTTTTACAAAGATTCCTGTCTTTCACTGTCTTCTGGGAACCAGGAAATAGCTATAGTTACCTCTAAAATATACCCTCATATCCTTTTTTACCGATGAAAATGGCTTATAATTGGGACTCATAATGATTTTCTTTGGTCTTTTATTGTTTTTGAAACACGAAGCAGAACATTTTTATTATTGGCTCAGAATGTTCAGCTTTAATTACATCTAATGAGGAAATATTGCCAGATAACTCTTATTGTTTTGTTCTTTGGTCATTCTTTTGGAAGGTTTACAATAAATAGATTGGGTAACCAGAATAAATTAAACAATTTAAAGGATATAAATAGAGAAGAATAAGTTTCAGAGATTCCACTTAGGCTGGGCTCTTGCCTGTAATCCCAGCACTGTGGAAGTCTGAGGCAGGAGGATCACTTGAACCTAGGAGTTTGAGACCAGCCCGGGCAACATAGTGAGACCTCATCTCTACCAAAGAACTAAAAAAAAAATAGCCAGGTGTGGTGATGTGGGCCTGTAGTCTCAGCTATGCAGGAGGCTGAGGCAGTGGGATGGCTTGAGAGCCCACAAGTTCCAGGCTGTAGTGAGCTATGATTGCACCACTGCATTCCAGCCTGGGTGGCAGAATAAGGCTCTGTCTCAAAAACAAAGAGAAAAAAGATTCCACTGAGGTCATTAGTTCGTTTATTCTATGTTGATGTTTAGTCCCCCAATTGTTTTCATGTTTTGCCTTTAAGTTCTCGAAGTAGTGGCTGGGGGCGGTGGCTAACGCCTATAATCCCAGCACTTTGAGAGGCCTAGGCGGGCGGATCACCTGAGGTCAGGAGTTCGAGACCAGCCTGGCCAACATGGTGAAACGCCGTCTCTACTAAAAATACAAAAATTACCCGGGTGTGGTGGCACGTGCCTGTAATCAAAGCTACTCGGGAGGCTGAGGCAGGAGAATCACTTGAACCTGGGAGGCGGAGGTTTCAGTGAGCCGAGATCATGCCACTGCACTCCAGAATGAGCGACAGAGTGAGACTGTCTCAAAAAAAAAAAAAAAGAAAGAAATACTGCCACTTTAAGCATATTTTTATCTTATCTTTACATTTAGAACAGAAATATCAAATTGATCTTTTTCTTAAAAAAAAACACTAATTTCTTCAACTGATTCTTTGGTTATTGGTTCCACAATAAAAATATCTTTTTTGCATAATAAACTCTACTTTATAGGCTTGTTATCCAAAGTGCGGTTCAAGTTCAGCAGCATTGGTATCACTTGGGAATTGATGAGACATGCAGAATTTCAGGCCCCACTCCAGACCTAATGAATCTTAATTTGTGTATTAATTCAATTCCCAGGTGGTTCATATGCACATTTGAAAGCTAACAGGGCGTGGTGGCTCATGCCTGTGATCCCAGCACTTTGGAAGGCCAAGGTGAGAGGATTGCTTGAGGCCAGGAGTTTGAGACCAGCCTCTGCAACTCAGGGATACCCCCATCTCTACAAAATTTTTAAAAAATTCGCCGGGCATGGCGGTGCACGCTGATAGTCCCAGCTGCTTGGGAGGCTTAGGTGGAAGGATCACTTGAGCCTGGGAGGTTGAGGTTGCAGTGAGCTGTGACTGGGCCACTGCCCTCCAGCCTCGGTGGCAGAACAAGACCCTGTTCCCCTCCCCCCGAGAAAAGAATGTAATGTCAGTAGCCATATTCACAGAATTTTAAATTTGAGCCATCTTGGCATGTTAGGTTATTAACAAACTGAGCATCTTGACCTCAAATTGCTGGTACCTGCCATTGTTCTTTTAACCAGAAAGGAGCTGTTAGGGAGGAACATTTACCATTTTGTGAGTTATGTGTGAGTGGCTTCTCTTCTGTTGATCTGTTTGTGGGATCCTTTGCAAAACCACTGCTGGTACCTTATGGGAAAAAAAATCAGAAATCAAATTTCTTTTGGAATAAACTGTGCTGTTCTTAGCAGATCTTGTCTGTGTGGAACAAATCATGTCTGTAAAGAATCACGTGGTCAAAAGTTTAATATTTAGTTCTTTTTGGATTTGTCAGAGGACTTAATTGCTTTGTTAGATTGTTGTCTTGTTCTCCTCTTTGGAACAATGGCTAGGACAAAACACAGCATTGGTTAGTGGGAGGGTGGGAGGTGGTTGATCAGCCATGTGCCTCTGAGGCCACAAAGAAGCCTCACAGGTCATGGTTTCCACTGTCAGTTGGTCATTACATCCTCCTGTTGAAGATTGTGTTTACCAAGCTCATGTGCTCATCATGAAACACTGTTAGACATTGATTTGAAAACAATAATTTCTTTTATTTTGATTCTGTAGGAACCTAGAAAGATTGTACAATGAATGGTGATTCTCGTGCTGCGGTGGTGACCTCACCACCCCCGACCACAGCCCCTCACAAGGAGAGGTACTTCGACCGAGTAGATGAGAACAACCCAGAGTACTTGAGGGAGAGGAACATGGCACCAGACCTTCGCCAGGACTTCAACATGATGGAGCAAAAGAAGAGGGTGTCCATGATTCTGCAAAGCCCTGTGAGAAGAGAAGTCTTTTCTCTGACCAGATGTCATCTTTCCTTTTCTAATACTTCAGGTCTTATGCCCTGTTGTATGAGTGGCATAGTTCATTGATCTTATCACAGGAAATCAGTGCCTTGAGTATACGTATATGGTTGTTGAAAGAATTCAGTTCAGTTCATGTTATCAGACATCATAAATGAAAAATCTTCAGTGTCGTAAAGGATAGGAAGTGTTAATTTCTCCTTTTTACTCTTGTGACTTTTCTAGAGGGTCCTTATATATTGGGGCAATTTTTAAATTACAATTAAAAAAATACCTAGCTTAGGCTGGGTGCGTCGGCTCAAGCTTGTAATCCCAGCACTTTGGGAGGCCGAGGTGGGTGGATCACTTGAGGTCAGAAGTTCGAGACCAGGCTGGCCATCACGGTGAAACCCTGTCTCCATTAAAAATACAAAAATTGGCCAGGCGCGGTGGCTCACGCCTGTAATCCCAGCACTTTGGGAGGCCAACATGGGTGGATCACGAGGTCAGGAGATCGAGACCATCCTGGCTAACACGGTGAAAACCCATCTCTACTAAAAATACAAAAAAAAATTAGCCAGGCGTAGTGGCGGGCGCCTGTAGTCCCAGCAACTCGGGAGGCTGAGGCAGGAGAATGGCGTGAACCCGGGAGGCGGAGCTTGCAGTAAGCCGAGATCATGCCACTGCACTTCAGCCTGGGTGACATAGAGAGACTCCGTCCCAAAAAAAAAAAAAATTAGCCGGGCATAGTGGCGCATGCCTGTAATCCCAGCTACTCGGGCGGCTGAGGCAGGAGAATCACTTGAAACCGGGAGGCGGAGGTTGCAGTGAGCGGAGATTGTGCTACTGCACTCCAGCCTGGGCAACAGAGCGAGACTCTGTCTCAAAAAAAAAAAAAAAAAACCCTAGCTCAGTCTCCTGGGTGTATGGTCAGCCTTAACAGTACCTGCTAATTGATTGATACCTTTAGTTAGAGTCAGCATTTTGAGCCACAGTCATGGCCAACTGAGTGTTTTCCAGATTGCACCTTTAATCAGGTCGTTGTATCTGCGTAGTTTTCTCATGTTGCTGCTGCTGCCTTTGTGTGTGCATCATCCTTTTTTGTCCCTTCTTCTTCTGATTTGTTCTTACTGTGCCCCTTCATACCAGGGGAGTGTCATTTGGCAGAAGTTTATTGATTTTCTTAAAAAAAACAAAAGATGTTGATTGTCTCTTATGTGCTGTTTAAGGAACTGGGCATTTAGCAGTAAACTAGACATACAAGGCCTTTAGTAGATTTTGTTTAGTTGTTGTTACTGAGTTATAACTTACATAAAGTACACAAATCTTAAGTATATAGCTTGGTGAATTTTGACATAAATGTTGCTTCTGTAACTACCCAGATCAAGTCTTGGACTTTACATTCTAGTCGAAGGAAATAAACAATAAAGAACAAGCAGGAGGGCAATGCAGAAAGCAGTAGGATGATTAGATTAAGTGTGACTGTGGTCAGAAAGGCTGTTCTCAGGAGGGAAGGTTTAATCTGAACTCAATGACAGGAAGGAGCCAGTCTTTCAAGAATCAAGAGGGGGCCGGGTGTGGGTGCTTGGCTGGGCATGGTGGCCCATGCCTGTAATCCCAGCACTTTGGGAGGCCAAGGCAGTGGATCACTTGAGCCCAGGAGTTCGAGACCAGCCTGGGGAATCCGCATCTCTACCAAAAATATAAAAATTAGCTAGGTGTGGTGGCATGCCCCGGCAATCCCAGCTACTCAGGAGGCTGAGGTGGGAGGATCACTCAAGCTGAGGCTGCAGTGAGTTGTGATCGTGCCAGTGCACTCCAGCCTGGGTGACAGAGTGAGACCCTGTCTCCAAAAAAAAAGGAGACGTGTTCCCAGCTGAGGAACCAGCTAACATGAAATTCCTAGGATAGGGATGGGCTTGATGAGCCCACAGAGGCAGAAGGCAGCCAGTGTGGTTCGGCCTGGGAGTGGCAGAGTGAGGTTGGAGAGAGAGGAGGGAGCAGATCCTGGAAGGCTGTGTATGCTGAGATTGAGAGTTTCCATTGCATTCTGTGTGTGGCAGAATCATTGGAGGGCTGCAGACAGGGAAAGGACAAACGGTATTTTAAAGAAAATTATTCTGGGTTTGGTTTAGAGAGAAAATTGGCTGGGGCAAGAGAAAAAGCTGTTGTCCAAATGAGAGATCATGGCTGCTTGGGCCAAGGTGGCGTAGTAGAGGTAGGAAGAAGTAGATTTGTATGGCTTTCATTTTGAAGGTAGTGTGAATAGGACTTGCTGATGGATGGGGTGGAAGAAGTGAAAGGGAAAAAAAGAATCAGGATAGCACCGAGACTTTTGGCTTGAGCAGTTTACTTACGTAAAAACAACAAGAAGCTAAGTAAAAATGACTCGGGATAGTTGAGTCATTTTTGAGTTGAAACTGATAGCACCTAGTGTGTGCCAGGCATTGTTCTAGGCACTGGGGATGCAGAGATAAGAGAGTAAAGTTCCTGCCCACAGGTTGTTTAGAACACAGTAAGCATCAAGGCTGGGCGCGGTGGCTCATACCTGTAGTCCCAGTGCTTTGGGAGGCTGAGATAGGAGGATCACTTGAGTTTAGGAGTTTGAGGCTGCAGTGAGCTATGATTGCACCACTGCACTCCAGCCTGGGGCTTGAGGTTTTGCCAGATGGTTTGGTAGAGTTGGAGATGTTAGCAAGAAAGGGATTACAATGTAATCATTACAATGGATCTAAGCCAGTGAGGGAGTTCAGAACAGGGGAGGTGAGCCAAGGTGAGAAGGTGTTAGGGTGATGAATGGATGGAAGAAAGTGTGAGCTGGATGCTAGGAGGGGGTGGTTGCAGGGCACATACTTGGCTTTGGGATTGAAGAGAGACATGGTTACTAGGAATGAGCAGGTGTAGTGCTGACCATGGACGTGGGAGCCTGAGATGGGTTGGATGACAGGGTCTTTGGAGGAGAGGAGGTCCGAAAGCTGAGAGGTATGAGGGTCCCAAACTGAGGGTATGGATGTTGAACCAGCAAGAGTTATGATCAAAGTAGCACACACAAGGTCCTTAGGCTAGTGACAGCTGGCTGGAGCCAAACGTTAAGATCCAGATTGGTGGCTCCAGGCCCTCACTCAGGACTAAGCTCAGCTCTGTGCCACGTGTCCTTTCTGCACTTACAGGTCGTCTGAAATGCTCTTTATGCATAGGGCTCCTGTACTGTGGTTTTCTTCTTTTTGTGTCTTCCTTACCAAGCTTTAAGTTTCTGGATGGCAAGGACCATATTATTTATCAGTATGTATATCCTTAGTGTCTAAAACAGCGCCTGGTACTTAGTAGTGTGTGTCGAATTGAGCTTTCCCTAGATCTGTATGTGGATTTGAAAACCATTGAAATAGATCCTTTGAATTTTCAGACTGAGGGCTCCTGAAGGCAAGGAGCTTGTTTAATTTAGCTTTTGCTTTCCCTGTGACCAGCACTGTCTGTGATGTTCAGGAGATGCCATCTGTATCTCTTACTCTCTCTCTTTTTTTTTTGAGATGGAGTCTCACTCTGTCGCCCAGGCTGGAGTGCAGTGGCGTGATCTCGGCTCACTGTAGCCTCCACCTCCCGAGTTCAAATGATTCTCCTGCCTCAGCCTCCTGAGTAGCTGGGATTACAAGCGTGCACCACCATACCCAGCTCGCTGCAACCTCCTCCTACTGGCTTCAAGTGATTCTCCTGCCTCAGCCTCCCAAGTAGCTAGGATTACAGGCACAAGCTTCCATGCCCAGCTAACTTTTGTATTTTTAGTAGAGATGAGGTTTTACCATGTTGGCCAGGCTGGTCTCGAACTCCTGACCTCAAGTGATCCGCCTCCCTTGGCCTCCCAAAGTGCTGGAAGTTACAGGTGGAAGCCACTGCGCCTGCCCTATCTTTATTTGCACATATCTCCCTTTCTCTCTCATTGCATTGTGCTTTGATGACAAAGATGGCTAAATAATCACCATGTTTTGTTTTTTTCCTTTGTTTATTTCTTGCTTGCAGTCAGAGTACCTCTCAGCTTTTCCCTTCCTCACGGATGACTACAAAATATGATCTGCAACATTATTTGCCATGGTTTGGTAAATAGGGGGTCCTCAGAGGGCTCTTGACAGACATTCTATTCTACCCTTAATTAACAGCAATACATCTGTCTGTTGTGTGCTTCCCCCAAGTGATAGGTACTCTTAGACTGTCCCTTGGCAATCTCCTGCAATATGTTTTCAGCTCAAGCAGTGACAAACTAGAAGTAAATTTGATGTGGATTAACATCCAGTGAACTTAAATTTTCATACCGGATATCATTTATAATTGTTTGACAAGATATTTCTTTCTTTCTTTTTTTTTTTTTTTTTTTTTTTTTTTTTTGAGACGGAGTCTCGCTCTATCTCCCAAGCTGGAGTGCAGTGGCGGGATCTCAGCTCACTGCAAGCTCCGCCTCCCGGGTTCACACCATTGTCCTGCCTCAGCCTCCCGAGTAGCTGGGACTACAGGCGCCCACCACCACGCCTGGCTTATTTTTTGTATTTTTAGTAGAGACGGGGTTTCACCATGTTAGCCAGGATGGTCTCGATCTCCTGACCTCGTGATCCGCCCGCCTCGGCCTCCCAAAGTGCTGGGATTACAGGCGTGAGCCACCATGCCTGGCCGATATTTATTTCTTTGCAGGGTATGTGAAAAAATTATTTTAGTGCAGGTTGGGAATATAAATTATCTGTATTGTTATAATAGTGATTTTCTATTAAAATCACCATCAATCCAATTGCACTTTTTTTTGCCTGATTTAGTATTATTTGATAAAGGATGGATGGTTAGGGTTTTTTCCACATTTAAAAGTAATTTGAAAAGTATTTTGAAGAAAGTACTGCAAAGGATAAAGTAGAATATGAAAAATTACTAATAATCCTATCACTAAAAGGATTACAATGAACATTTTGATGTATTTACTTTTTTTTTTTTTTTTTTTTTTTGAGACAAAGTCTTGCTCTGTTGCCCAGGCTGGAGTGCAATGGCCCAATCTCGGCTCACTGCAACCTCTGCCTCCTGGGTTCAAGCAATTCTCCTTTCTCAGCCTCCCAAGTAGCTGGGATTACAGGCGCCCACCACCACGCCTGGCTAATTTTTTACATTTTTAGTAGAGATGGGGTTTCACCATGTTGGCCAGGCTGGTCTCGAACTCCTGACCTCAGGTGATCCACCTGCCTTCGCCTCCTAAAGTGCTGGGATTCCAGGCATGAGCCACTGTGCCCAGCCAATGTATTTACTTTTAATCTTTTTCTATGTTTAGGTATGTATTTGCTGTAATAAGGACTGGTTATACTGCTTGATAACATTGTCACTCAAACATATATCAAGAGCAATTTTATGCCATTTAAGTTTTTTTAGCTTTTCATGTTGAATGCATGCGTAGAATTCCCAGTGTATTTGATCAGTCCTCTGTTGATTGAAACGTAGGATGTTTTTCCCTTTTATCAATAATACTGGAATGAACATACAAATGAATCAGTCTTTGAGCACTTCCTTGAATGTTTCCTTAAAATAGATTCCTAAGAGTAGAATTCCTGTTCAGAGTTTTAAGCTTTTATTGTATTAAATTACTTTCTAGAAAAGAATGTACCAGTTTATATTCTCAGCAGTAATGTGTGAGAATATCCGTTTGCCTTTCCAGCACTGGATGAAAACAAAAATTGGTCTATGTGATAGCTACTTCTGACCCCCTGCCCAAGGAACAGAAAATAAATGGTATCTCAGTGTTTTAATATTTTTTATTAGGCTTTCTGTGAAGAATTGGAATCAATGATACAGGAGCAATTTAAGAAGGGGAAGAACCCCACAGGCCTATTGGCATTACAGCAGATTGCAGATTTTATGACCACGAATGTACCAAATGTCTACCCAGCAGCTCCGCAAGGAGGGATGGCTGCCTTAAACATGAGTGAGTAGTTCCTGATTTTTAATATATGTTCTGTAGTTTTCAGGTAAAATTTCCTGAAGATTGCTCATGTGAAATAAGTGGGCATTTAACTGTATAACATAACAGAGTTGAGTATTTTGAAAATTAATGTGTTTTCGTTAGTCATAGTAAAAGATAGGCTGGAATTCTGAAATCATCTTGAATGTTGCAGACTCCTCTTTTCTTAGCCAGTGAGACTTTATTTCCGAGGCAGATGACTTTTTATGTGTCTTCCCAGCCCCTATGTAGATTAAAATAAACTAATAGAAATAATGCTGTGGAGTAGCACATCAGTTTTGCCTGGCCAGCATTTCTTACCTAGCATTCTTCACTGCTGTGTCCCAACTAGTGAGAAAGAGAAATTCTAAAAGAAAAGCCAGAGGAAAAGTACTGGATGGGTGAATGTGAGCAAAGAATGGTCAGCTGTGCAAGAATGCAGCTTTGCCATGGCAATTGAGTTTGCAAATGTTAACATGACAAAGCATCAACTAATCTGAGCCACTGCATATTGTACCTTGGATTAGTCTCTGATGGGTCTGGTTGGATAGTCAAATCTGATTGCCCGAAATAAGGTACTGGTTTCTGTTAGATCTGCTGACATTTGCTATTTACCTGTCTGCTCTGTGGTATTCTTAGAAGTTGAATAGCATTCAACAGATCTGATATATATTGTAATTAATGTCTACAGAATATTAAGAGTCACATTTAATCCATAGCTCAAACCTCCATCCTGAAATCACATGGCCACCACTAGGAAAGTTTTCATGTGGATTCCGTTTTTTTTTGTTGTTGTTGTTTTTGAGACGGCGTCTTGCTCTGTCTCCCAGGCTGGAGTGCAGTGGCATGATCTCAGCTCCCTGCAAACTACCACCTCCCAGGTTCAAGCTGTTCTCCTGCCTCAGCCTCCTGAATAGCTGAGATTACAGGCACACACCACCACACCTGGCTAATTTTTGTTATTTTTAGTAGAGACGGATTTCGCCATGTTGGCCATGCTGGTCTCAAACTCCTGACCACAAGTGATCCACTCGCCTCAGCCTCCCTAAGTGCTGGGATTACGAACATGAGCCACCACACCTGGCCCATTTCGTCTGTATTAATTAGCAAGAATGTTCTGTCAGGAGAAACTTCCCTTCAGTTCTTTTGGTTACCTGGTGATACAGTTTGTGTAGGAAAGGCAGGATCCCTTTCCGAAATAATAAGTTGGTTTCCAATCATCCTTCAGTGATGAACAATTAGTTTTTTTTTTTTTTAGTATTATTTGAATTTATGATTTAAACATAGTCAGTGTGTTTCACATCATTGCAGTTATTATCCGGATTTGTTGAGAACTTTCCTTCTGAATGGATGTTGAACTTTGTGAAATGCTTCTTTTCTTTCTGTTAAAATGATCCCTTAGTCTTTCTTCTTTAGTTTGTTATGGTGAATTATGTTTTTTTGTTTGTTTGTTTGTTTTGTGTATTTATTTATTTAGAGATAAGTTCTTGCTCTTTCACCCATGCTGGAGTACAGTGGCACGATCACAGCTCACTACAACCTTGAACTCCTAGGCTTAAGGGATCCTCCATGCCTTCCATGCCTGGCTAATTTTTCTCTTTTCTTTTTTTTTTTGAGATGGAGTCTTGCTCTGTCGCCTGGGCTGCAGTGCAGTGGCGTGATCTTGGCTCACTGTAAGCTCCGCCTCCTGGGTTCACGCCATTCTCCTGCCTCAGCCTCCCAAGTAGCTGGGAGTATAGGCGCCCACCACCACGTCTGGCTAATTTTTTGTATTTTTGGTATAGACAGGGTTTCACCTTGTTAGCCAGGATGGTCTCGATCTCCTGACCTTGTGATCCTCCCGCCTCGGCCTCCCAAAGTGCTGGGATTACAGGCGTGAGCCACCGCGCCCAGCCCATATTGGTTGTTTCTATCTCCTTTCTTTTGTTAAGTCTGGCTAGAGGTTTATCTTATTTTATTATTTGTATTTTATTTTTAAACTTCTCAGAGATTCAACTTTTGCTTTAATCAGAAAGCCTTAAAAACACTTTTCTTCTCTAATGTATACGTTTAATGCTGTAAATTTCCTTTTAAGCTTGCTTTACTGCACGCCACAAATTTGGCTATCTTTTTGTTATTGATTTCTAACTTAATTGTGTAAGTATTGGAAAACAGTCATTATGAAATTGTCTTTGAAGTTTTCAAGACTTTATTGTCTAATGTGGAAGATAAATATCTCAGAACCATTAGTATTTGATTTACATTTGATAAGAAATGTTAATATTTGAGGCTTTTTGGTAAGTCTCGCTTTGTTGCCTTGGCTATTCACAGCTGCTATCATAAGCACTACAGCCTCAAACTCATGGCTTCAAGTGATCCTCCTGCCTTAGCCTTCTGAGTAACTAGGACTACAGGCGTATACCACTGCACCTGGCTGAGTTTTGTTTTTCTTTATTTCAGGTCTTGGTATGGTGACTCCTGTGAACGATCTTAGAGGATCTGATTCTATTGCGTATGACAAAGGAGAGAAGTTATTACGGTGTAAATTGGCAGCGTTTTATAGACTAGCAGATCTCTTTGGGTGGTCTCAGCTTATCTACAATCATATCACAGTGAGTATTAAATGGGCTAGTAACTGAACGATAAATGAAATATTTTGTGTCTGGCACCACCTCTTTCCATTTAGGAGAAGAGGGAAGCAGGCTGAGCTTCAGTAAGTCTTGGAATACCTCTTCTGATTCCTGACTACAGAGTGTAATAACCTGAGAATCAGCCAGTTTGGGTTAAAAGTTACAGGAACAGCAGTTCTTGAAAATTTCTTTCTTGCGTGCTAACCTAATAAAACAACTAAGTGTTTACCAGATTATATGCAGTTTCTAAAATTATTTTTATGCTTAAAAACCTAAGAATGATGATGTTTTCTTTCTTAGTCTGACCAAAGCCTTCCGTCTCTCAAACTTATTTCTTCAGCTACTCTAGTTTTAACTATTTTTCAACATTATTAGGATCTCTTTTCCTTCATTCTGGGTATCTGCTTTCTCTGGACCAAGCGCTGTTCTAACTGTGGTTGTGTCAGTGGACAACATGAGTCCTTCCCTTGTGGACAGTCACTTCTTCATCCCAATCCATTAGCCTATTCTTCACTCCCTATTTTGTCCATCTTGTATTTCATAGTCCCTCATTTCAGCAATACTCTGCCAATCCTGTACTCTCCCTCCCAGCTTCTGAGTAGCGAAATCCTGCTGTGGAAGTCCTCCCACCAGAGCCCATTACCTTTCTCCATAGATTCAGAACCCAAATCTCAAATGGGCCAATGACTTAGCCTGGCAACCATAACTCATCTCTCTTACAACCTTACTAATATTTAAGCCTTCTCTACTATCTTTGAGACTCCTGACCTCCTTCTTCCACCAAATGACCTCATCATGTCACAGAAAAAATGGGTACCCTTACTGACATTTGTAGCCATTCTGTACTCTTGACCACCTGTTATAATGTCTTGCCTTCTGCCTGTGGCCAGACTTTGCTCACCTGGCTTGGAATTCCACCCTTCCTGCCTTCTTTTTTTTTTTTGAGACAGAGACTTGCTCTGTTGCCCAGGCTGGAGTGCAGTGGTGCAATCTCGGCTCACTGCAAGCTCCGCCTCCCGGGTTCACGCCATTCTCCTGCCTCAGCCTCCCGAGTAGCTGGGACTACAGGCGCCCGCCACCACGCCTGGCTAATTTTTTTGTATTTTTAGTAGAGACGGGGTTTCACCGTGTTAGCCAGGATGGTCTCGATCTCCTGACCTTGTGATCCGCCCGCCTTGGCCTCCCAAAGTGCTGGGATTACAGGCGTGAGCCACCCTGCCCGGCCCCTTCCTGCCTTGTTAGATTCACAGTGCATTGCCAGGGTTCTTCTGTTCCTTCACTCTTTTGTAGAGATAGCTTCTTCCTTTGAACTGCTTCCTTCCTTTGGTTTTGAAACTTGTTCCAGTCTTCTGTTTTTTTCATGTAATTTCTTTTAAAGGATATTTTAAATTGTTAATACAGTGCCTGCTTTTTGTATCAAGTGTACCTTATGCAGATGTCTAAAGAAAAAGTAATTCCACCAATACTTCCATCTCTCTTGAGGCAAGCAGTGTGTGCGCTGTTCACGTTGCTGAAATGTTTCCTCCATACTCACACACACATGGGTTTTTCTGCACATGGACTCATAACCAGCGGTGCTTCGTTAAGCTCCATTCTGGACTCAGAGGAATGCTAAGCCTCTTGAGGTGACGGTCTGGAGCTCACCTTGTGATTAGTGTGTTGTGCCTCTGGGACTTGATATTGGTCTCTGCCAGAGAGACTGAGTTGCCTTCTATCCATCTGTTCTTGTTTCCGCTTAAATGAACTTTTCAAAATGTAAGCCTTACCATGTCATGCTCCTGTGTGCGGCACGGTCACTCTGTGTAGAATGTCATCGCTGCTTTATTCCCCTGTAGCAGTTACCCCCATTCATTCTGTATGTTTAGCTGTTGCTGTCCCTCTCTGCCCACAGGAATATAAATTCCACAGGGAGAGCGTCTGTTGTGGTCCCTGCTGTGGCCCCAGGACCCGTGGCAAAGAGTAGGCATGCAGTAAACTTAGGTGAAAAACTGAATGAAACCCCCGGCTGAACTGAAATTACCTCAGTGAAATTGTGAACAAGAGCTCGCTGGGACCTTTTGACATTTGATTGGTGGGTCCAGTTAGCCTAGCACAAATGCCAGCTCCCTTCCTGGTGCCTGCAGGGAAATTGCTGGCCTCTGTCATCTAATTATACTTGACAGAATGCTGTGGTGGAGATTAGTGCTAAGTGGTTGCCTGAAGATCAGTGCGGTGAAAATGTTACAGCTGTGATTGGAAACGTAACCCTAACTGTGATAACAGCTTCACCTTCTTCGCAGGTTTTAAAGTGCTGTTTGCCTAGTCCTATTTTGAATGCTGATTAAATAAGTTTGAATTGGTTAAATTGCTTGTTTTCTCCTCCTTTAATTGTTTAAGAATTGGCAAAATTAAAAAAGTGTTTTCTGTAAATTATCTCCTTGGGGCTTAATACCGAGTAAAAAGAAATGCAAGTTACCTAAAATGTTTCCTATGTCTTATAAACTAGAACTAGAGAATCTTTAAGGAAGAAAGGTTTTGGTTTATTTTGTTTTACTATTATGGCATCCATTTCTTATTTACTATCTAGGTATGGTATAGACGCTTAACAGAAAAGCAAATACAGTGTCAACAAAAAGTGACAGCAGGTCATTCTGCCCTTTCTTTGAAAGGGGGTCATAGGGATTTTCTGCTAAAGGGATTTAAAATTGCTAACAGGTGTTAGAAGATTGGAGATGATTGTCTGAAATAGATCTTTAAGATTGCATTGGATTTGGAGAAGTGTTTGTGGGGGCTGGGGGGAGGGGGACAAGACGGGGTGGCCCAGTTAGCACAGTGGACTGGGCTTCCTCTCTCGGTGGCACTTAGCTGATGGCTTGGCCTGCCCATTCTGATGTCAGTGGAATGCTGTCAAGGCTTTGCACCTGCAGAACCTGGCAGGTGCTTGTTCAACTCCATTCTGGATTCCAGAGAATGCTAAGCCTCTGAGGTGATGGTCTGGACCCACCTTTGTGACCAGTGCCCTGTGCTTCAGGGACGTGATAGTGGTCTCCTCTGGAGGTACTGAATTGGGTACTGCATTGGTCTGCAACAGGAGAGTCTCATTCTTCATACACAGAGAAGGGGCAGTACATGTGTGGGAAGAGACACAGGGAGAGCAGGGCTGGTCTGACGGGGAGGGACAACTGCAGAGGAAACTGACTTCAAAATATCCTTCTCTATTTTTACTTGATGTTTGTAATTTTGCACTTTCTCCTTTTTGCTTTAGATTCAGAGAATTGAATGTTTTAAGCCTCTAAAATTAAAGTATGTATTAATAGATCTGTTAGTTAAGCTTACAGTTGGAAATAAATCTTAAAATAAGTAAAAGAAGGAAACATTATTAATTACAGCGTTATTATTATTATTATTATTTTTGAGACAGGGTCTCACTCTGTTACCCAGGCTGGAGTGCAGTGGTGGAATCTCGGCTCACTGCAACCTCTGCCGCCTCGGTTCAAGTGATCCTCCTGCCTCAGCCTCCCAAGTAGCAGGAACAGGCATGTGCCACCATGCGCAGGTGTGCACCACCATGCCACTAGCTGATTTTAGTATTTTTAGTAGAGATGGGGTTTCACCATGCTGGCCAGCCTGGGCTCAAACTCCTGGCCTCAAGCGATCCGCCTGCCTCGGCCTCCCAAAGTGCTGGGATTACAGGTGTGAGCCACTGTGCCCGGCCCAGCATTATTTGTAATAATGAAATTATTATTATTATTATTATTATTATTATTATTTTAGGCAGAGTCTCACTCTGTGGCCCAGGCTGGAGTGCAGTGGCATGATCTCGGCTCACTCAACCTCTACCTTCCGAGTTCAGGCAATTCTGCTGCCTCAGCCTCCCAAGTAGCAGGGATTACAGGCACCTGCCACCACACACAGCTAATTTTTTTGTATTTTTACTAGAGATGGGGTTTCACCATGTTGGCCAGGCTGGTTTTGAACTCCTGACCTCAAGTGATCCGCCCACCTCAGCCTCCCAAAGTGCTAGGGTTATAGGTGTGAGCCACTGCACCCAGCCAATAATGAAAAATTTTAAGAGTCCTTAAGTATTCAGCAGTAGATAGGAAATGGCTCAGTTATTCAATATCAATTTGAGCAAATGTTGTATACTATGAAAAACAATTACAAAGATCATGTAGAACAAGTGAAATATGAAAAATGAAAGGTATCAGAAATGAGAAAATATGAAATATATACTGTTTACAGCTATATGAAATATGTACATATATATATGGAGAGAGAGAGAGAGACAAAAGAGAAATGACTAACAAAAATGGTTGTGTAATACTTTTTAAATGTGGAACCTGACAGCATGCTTCTAAAATTTAGATGGAAGAGCGGAAGGCCAAGAATAGCTAAGACACTCCTGAAGAACAGCTAGGCAAGGAGATTTTTCCTACCAGATGTCAAACTTAATATAAAGTGGTAATTAATATAGTGTCCTTTGGGCAAAGGAAGATGCAGAGGGATCAGTAGGGCCAAATTGCATGCATTGAAACAGACATGCTGTAGTCGGCATTGCAGCTCAGCGGGGTGGGGGATGGACTTGGCAATGATGGCTGCTGGGATGCTTGGGTAGAAAAGTCACAAGTGGAAATAATTATATGAGACTTCTATACTATACATAATCACAAAGCAATCCCAGTGAATTAAAGATTAAATGTGAAATGCAATACTTTAACAATTTTAGGACTAATATAGGTGAAAATCACTGGCCTTGAACCTCTGGCCTAAGGAGAGATGTCTTATGACACAAAAATCACTTATCGTAAAAGAAAAGATGGATAAATTTGTCTACATTTAAAGTAGACAAACTTTTTCCTTATTAAAAGATACCATAGGCCAGGCGTGGTGGCTTATGCCTGTAATCCCAGCATTTTGGGAGGCTGAGGTGGGTGGATCACCTGACGTCAGGAGTTCGAGACCAGCCTGACCAACATGATGAAACCCATCTCTACCAAAAAATACAAAAAATTTGGCCAGGCATGGTGGTGTGCCTGTAGTCCCAGTTGCTGGGGAGGCTGAGACAGGAGAATTGCTTGAACCCTAGAGGCAGAGGTTGCAGTGAGCTGAGATTGTGCCACTGCACTCCAGCCTGGGTGGCAGAGTGAGACCCTGTCTCAGAAAAAAGGTAAAAGATACCATAAAGACAGTAATAATAAAAGCCGCAACCTGGAAGGTTTGTCCCACATGTAGCCAATAGAAATTAATATCTGGAGCTGGGTGCAGTGGCTCACGCCTGTAATCTCTGCACTTTGGGAGACCAAGGTGGGCACATCCCTTGAGGCCAGGAGTTTGAGACCAGTGTGGCCAACATGTGAAACTCCGTCTCTGCTAAAAATGCAAAATTAGCCAGGCGTGGTGGCGCGCACCTGTAATCCCAGCTACTGGGAGGCTGAGACAGGAATCACTTGAACTTGGGAGGTGAAGGTTGCAGTGAGCTGAAATTGTGCCACTGCACTCCAGCCTGGGCGACAGAGTGAGACTCCGTCTCAAAAAAAAAAAAAAAGAAATAATATCTGGAATAGATAACTGTCAGTAAGAAAAAGACAAACCAGTATAAAATGGACAAAAGGCAAGAAAGGAATTTCACAGAAGGGGAAATAAGAATGCCTTATAAAAATATGAAAAGTTACTGAAATCATTTGGTCACCAGGAAATTATAAATTCATATCACAATGAAATGTCATTTTATAGACATCAGATTTCTTTTGTTGTTGTTGTTTGAGACAGAGTCTCACCCTGTCACCCAGGCTAGAGTCAGTGGCACGATCTCTGCTCACTGCAAGCTCTGCCTCCCAGGTTCACGCCATTCTCCTGCCTCAACCTCCCGAGTAGCTGGGAGTACAGTCGCCCGCCACCACACCCGGCTAATTTTTTTTGTATTTTTAGTAGAGACAGGGTTTCACCATTTTAGCCAGGATGGTCTCCATCTCCTGACCTTGTGATCCGCCCTTCTCGCCCTCCCAAAGTGCTGGGATTACAGGCATGAGCCACCATGCCTGGCCACTAGAATTATTGTATTTCTTAAGCTAATTGATAGATACATGGATGTTTGATTTATTATTATACTTACATTGTCTTATATCTTGTAAATACCCTTGTATGTGTGTTTTTAAAATAAAGGCTTTTAAAGGAAGCAAAACAAAAATCTGAAACTTAATCTTTTCTAATTTTCATCCTTAATTTTCTTCATTCCAACCAGTATATACACAGATCCCTTGTTTTATGTTTTGTTTTGACTGAGCTTAGCAATTAGACAACTGCTTACTTTTGTGTTAAATAGTTTAACAAGTCAGGATGGGCTGGATGCAGTGACTCCCACCTGTAATCCCAACACTTTTGGAGGCCAAGGCAGGAGGATCACTTGAGCTCAAAAGTTTGGGACCAGCTTGGGCAACATAGTGAAACCCTGTCTCTATTTTAAAAAAAAAAAAAAAGGTCAGCATGCTTTTTAAGATAAAGGAGGCTGGGCACGGTGGCTCATGCCTCTAATCCCAGCATTTTTGGAGGCCAGAAAAAGTGGGTGCATCACTTGAGGCCAGGAGTTTGAGACCAGCCTGGCTGACGTGGTGAAACCCCGTCTCTACTAAAAATACAGAAATTAGCTGGGCATGGTGTGCCTGTAATCCCAGCTACTCAGAGGCTGAGGCAGGAGAATCGCTTGAACCCGGGAGGCAAAGGTTGTAGTGAGCTGAGATCGTGCCCCTGCACTCCAGCCTGGGTGACAGAGTGAGCTTTGTCTCAAAAAAAGAAAAAAAAAAGATAAAGGAGCTGACTTAAGGAAATAGAAAGCAAGGCTGACTCAGCATTGCAAAGAAGTGGGTCATAGGGATTTATAGAGACTGGGTGTTGTAGTTCACTATCCATGTAAATGACCCCTAGCAATGATTTAGTGTTGCTGCTCCCACTACCACTAATGATGGTAATAATGGGTAGATGCCGTTTATTGCGAGCTTTATTGTAGACACAGGCTCTTCCATCCCCACTTAGTCATGAGGAAAACAGGAGCTCAGGGTGCCCAGAACACCATAGCCAGTTCTTGGCAGAGCTAGGATTTGAACTTAAGTGTTATCTGACTTTGGATTTTGTGCTCTTAACCCTGTTATGCTCTACAGAGACAATCAGGTGAGTTTAGCCTACAGATCATATAAGGGGAGACAGGATAGATTTAGATGTCTGAAAATTAAATTGTAGAAGGGGGTTAGAATTTGTTCTGTGTTATATACTAGAGGCAGTGGTGACAAACACAGGAAAACAGATTTCTTCTCAGTGCTAGAAAGAACGTTTTAATCCTTAAGTCTCTCCAGCATCTGTTTATGACAGTGCTTCAGCGCCCATGACACGGTGGGCTCTCAGCGAGTAGGTGGTCATTTCTTTCCTGAATGAATAAATGAGGGAGGCTGGGGTAAGCATCCTCATCACTGAAACTAAAACAAGCAGACCCTGGGTATGCTTCTGTTTGGGCCACTACAGAAGAAATCACTATGTGGCTTAGGAAGCTGGACTAAACACCTTAAGTCCTTTTCAACAAACACTCAGCTCCAACTGTCCGACCCTAGTTAGGATTCTGGGTTCCTTAACCCATTAGTAAATGTATTTGAACTTAATCTTTAGGAAGCCTTTTGAGCCTATACTAAAATCATTATAAAAACTAGAATGAATATTTTTGAGGGCAGGTCTCTTCTTTTTTACTGCTGTATTCCTAGTGTCTAGCATATGCTTGATGCATAGTGTAAACCAAATCTGCATTGAATTAATTACTGTGGGAGAAAAACATACTGTGGAAGAGGCAAACCAATGAAGGCAATGAGGATGTGGTGTTGTAGAGACTTAAGAAATGGATTATGGTGGGCACAGTGGCTCACACCTGTAAGCCTAGCATTTTGAGAGGCTGAGGCGGGAGGATTGCTTGAGTTCAGGAGTTCAAGACCAGCCTGGGCAACTTAGTGAGACCCCATCTCTACCAAAATAAAAAATAAAAAAATAGCCAGGCTTAATGACTTGTGCCTGTAGTCCCAGCTACTCAGGAGGCTGAGATGTGTGGATCACTTGAGTCAGGAGGTTGAGGCTGCAGTGAGCATGATTGCGCCACTGCATTACAGCCTGGGTAACAGAGTGAGACCCCATCTCAAAAACAAAAATAAAAAACAAAAAAAAAAACAGATCAAGTAGTAAGGGTACAAGTTGGTTTTAATTATTTTTTTATTTTTTATTTATTTTATTTATTTTTTTGAGACAGGGTCTTGTCTGTCACCCAGGCTAGAGTGCAGTGGCACGATCATGACTGACTGCAACCTCTGCCTCCTGGGTTCCAAGTGATTCTCGTGCCTCAGCCACCTGAGTGTCTGGGACTACAGGTGCCTGCCACCACAGGTGGCCAAGTTGTCTATTTTATTTTATTTTTTTAGTAGAGACGGGGTTTTGCCATGTTGACCAGGCTGGTCCCAAACTCCTGACCTCAAGTGATCCACCCATCTTCGCCTCCCAAAGTGCTGGGATTACAGGCTTGAGCCACAGTGCCCAGCCTAGGTGTTAAGTATTTTTAAAAATTCATTTTGTCAGTGCCTACTGCAGCAAGGAAAAAAAAAAAAGGACATTCTGTTTGACTTTTTAAAAGTAAGTTTTGGCCAGGCACAGTGGCTCATGCCTGTAATCCCAGCACTTTGAGAGGCCAAGGAAGGCAGATCCAGTTGAGCCCAGGAGTTTTTGAGACCAGCCTGGCCAGCATGGCGAAACCCTGTCTCTATACAAAATACAATAATTAGCTGGTCACAGTATTGTGCGCTTGTAGTCCCAGCTACTTGGGAGGCTGAGGTGGGAGGATCATTTGAGCCTGGGAGGCAGAAGTTGCAGTGAGCCATGATCACGCCACTGCACTCCAGCCTGGGCAACAGAGTGAGACCCTGTCTCAAAAAAAAAAAAAGAATAATGTAAGTTTTGGTTTTCATTATTATATCCCTGAGGAGTGACACCTTTTTGCCTTTGACACTAGTAGCCACCAGAAAGTGTGACAGAGTAACCCAGCAGTAATTTATTGACCTGTCAGAAGGCTAGTGTGGAACTGTTTTTTCCCTCTATAAAGTCAGTTATCATGAACGTGAGCAAGAAGCACTTCATATATGTGATAAATTAGTACAGTAGAATAATGGAAAGCTTCCAGTACCCCTTGGCTTCGTGACAGGCATTGTGCATGGACGCTTCCCTGCATAGCTCACTCAGTGTTCTGAACAAACCCGTGAATTTGTAGCCTGAAAGAGATGCAAATAATTTCACTTGGATCTTTGAGCTAATTCAGTCATTTTCCCCACAGACCAGAGTGAACTCCGAGCAGGAACACTTCCTCATTGTCCCTTTTGGGCTTCTTTACAGTGAAGTGACTGCATCCAGTTTGGTAAGAATGTCCTTCTCTTTGGCAGCTTGTATGTGCAGGTCATGTTAGGTCATTCAACATCTTCAGATCAGCTAAATATGTAAAACCCAAGAAACAAGAAAGAGCCTATGTTTTATGTGGTGTGTTCAGTTAGAGAAAAACCTTTGAGAGAAGTTACAAATATTGTAATCTTGAGTTTGAATAGTTTCTAGTTAGGGTAATTTGAAGTCCTCTTGGGCTGGGGTGCAGTGGCTCATGCCTGTAATTCCAGTACTTAAGTTCGAGACCAGCCTGGCCAACATGGCGGTACCCCAACTCTACAAAAAAATACCAAAATTAGCTGGGCATGGTGGTGGGAGGATTGTTTGAACCTGGGAGGTGGAGGCCGAGGTCGCACCACTGCACTCCAGCCTGGGCGACAGAGCCAGACCCTATCAAAAAAAAAAAAAAAAAGAAAAGAAAAAATGAAGTCCTCTTGGTATTTTACATTTTTATTTTTTTATTTTCAGGTTAAGATCAATCTACAAGGAGATATAGTAGATCGTGGAAGCACTAATCTGGGAGTGAATCAGGCCGGCTTCACCTTACACTCTGCAATTTATGCTGCACGCCCGGACGTGAAGTGCGTCGTGCACATTCACACCCCAGCAGGGGCTGCGGTGAGTGGCTGCCCTGGTAGCATCTCAAGGTCTAAAGCTGCTGAGTGAAAGGCACTGCACGTTTCCTCTGAATTGCCCTTGTTGTTTATAGTCAGTAAAACTAATTTTGTTGAATATAAAAAAAAAGGTGTACCACTAAGTTTGACTTTCTTAAAATAATTTTTTTTCCTTTTAAGGGGTCCATATATCCCATTTAATTTGGAAAAACATGTAATAAGTCTGAAAATGCCTATTAGATTTAACAATTGGCCGGGCATGGTGGCTCATGCCTGTAATCACACTACTTCGGGATGCTGAGGCGGGAGGATTGCTGAGCCCAGGAGTTGGAGACCAGCCTGGGCAACATAGTGAGACCCCGTCTGTACAAAAAAAATTAAAAAATTAACCAGTGTGGTGCGTGCCTGTACTTCCAGCTACTTGGGAGGCTGAGGTGGGAAGATTTTGAGCCAAGGATGTTGAGGTTTCAGTGAGCTATGGTTGTGCCTCTGAACTCTAGCCTGGGTGACAGAGTAAGACCTTGTCTCAAAAAAATAAAATAACAGTAAACAAAACAAAGTCATAGAGAATTGAGGGAGAGGTAAGATTTCAGGGTGTTGAAGACTGTGGGGACGTGCAAAATGACATCAGTAAGCAGGCATCTCGTTCGAGAAGAATGGGAAAAGAAGGAGAGGGCAAGCTGGGGTGGTGGGTGGAGGGTGCTGTGGGCTCGGGGAAGGGTGTTTGGGGTGTGGGAGACTTGAACGTGAGGACAGTCTGTGGGGACGAGCTGGGGAAAGGGAGAGGTTGAGGCCTAGAAACCAACCTGTCCAGCTCCCCGCAGCCAACCAGCAGGACCCAGGCTGGATTGTGACGGGGAAGAAGAAAAGGAGCGGCTGGGAGAGGAGACACAGGCAGTGCAGGCTGTTACGAGGCTTAGCTTCCAAGCTGCTCAGGAACCCTCCTCCTCAGCTGTGCACCAAGCCTTACCCCTTCTGGTGTGAATGGGCCACCCTGACAAAGCCCCAGACCCCTCCGTATGAAAGTGCACGTGCAGGCTATCTGCTCAATGTCATGTGAAAGCACAGTACTTGAGAAGTATGCTTTTTATCACCAATTTTATATAAGGACTTTTGGGGTTTATTGTACAACAGATGACCTTATTGATTCAGTAATGCTGTATTTTTTTTTTTTTTTTGAGACGGAGTCTCGCTCTGTCATCCAGGCTGGAGTGCAATGGCGCGATCGCGGCTCACTGCAAGCTCTGCCTCCCGGGTTCACGCCATTCTCCTGCCTCAGCCTCCCAAGTAGCTGGGACTACAGGTGCCCGCCACCTCGCATGGCTAATTTTTTGTATTTTTAGTAGAGGCTGGGTTTCACCGTGTTAGCCAGAATGGTCTTGATCGCCTGACCTCGTGATCCGCCCGCTTCGGCCTCCCAAAGTGCTGGGATTACAGGTGTGAGCCACTGCACCCGGCCCAGTAATGCTGTATTTTAATTGATCTTGGTTTTTTTTTTGGAGATGGAGTCTTGCTGTGTCACGCAGGCTGAAGTGCAGTGGCGCACTCTCAACTCACTGCAACCTCTGCCCCTCGGGTTCAAGCAGTTCTCTTGACTCAGCCTCCCAAGTAGCTGGGACTACAGGTGCACACCACCATTCCCGGCTAATTTTTGTATTTTTAGTCAAGATGGGGTTTCATCATGTTGGCCTGGCTGGTCTCGAACTCCTGACCTCAAGTGATCTGCCCACCTTGGCCTCCCAAAGTGCTGGGATTACAGGCATGAGCCACCACGTCCGACCTGATATTGATGTTTTAATGTCATGTGTGTTGGATTATTTGGATGAACATTACCTCTGGTTTGTTTCACTCTGAACATATGGTTCTTATGTCAACATCGTGGTTTTATTAGATACATCATTGTGTGAATGATGTGATTTTTTTTTTCCTGAAAGAATGCATGTCACTCCAGCCACTAAAATGTTTATGGATTTTAAAGAACTATTAAAGGTACCTTTGACAGTATGGTTATGAACAGCTATCACGTAACGTGTTTTTGTTTGTTTTTCTGAGACAGGATCTCACCCTGTCTCCCAGGCTGGAGTGCAGTGGCACGATCTTGGCTCACTGCAACTTGCATCTCCTGGGTTCAAACGATTCTCCCACCTCAGCCTCCTGAGTAGGTGGGACTACAGGTGCACGCCACTGCACCTGGCTAATGTTTTTATTTTTTGGTAGAGACGGGGTTTCACCATGTTGACCAGGCTGGTCTCGAACTCCTGGCTTCAAGTGATCTGCCCACCTTGGCTCCCAAATGACTGGGTTTATGGGCATGAGCCACTGTGCCCAGCCTCTTTTTAAAATTATCAAAATAATTTTGCTTGGTAAGGAAATTTCTTCTTGTATGAGAGCTGATACTTTGGAAGGAGTTAAATGTGGTATTGTCTTTTTAGGTTAACTTTTCTCTATGGAATTGATAAAGATAGTTTTTGAATCTTTGAAGCCTGTTACTTTAGGGTCATAATGTTGCTGTCTATAGGTCTTGTCTTTAGAAGACCTTCAAAAATGGCATATTCTGAGGCCACTCTGGGGAATTTTAGGAAACTTAAGGACTCTATGAACACTTAGATTTTTCTCTTTGAGAGTCAATTTTACTTAAATACATGTAGAGAAATTATATAAGAAATTATATATAAATTGTATATATATAATTACATTATATATATACAAACTTGTATAAATTTGCTTTCACCTAATTTTTAGGTGTTTCAATGTTATCTACAACCTAAGATAAAAAGTACAGAAAAACTTTAGAGCACTTGGAAAACCTCCTCCTTTTTTTTTTTTTTTTTTTTTTTTAGGAGATGAGGGTCTCATATGTTGCCCAGGCTGGCTTTGAATTCCTGGGTTCAGGATTCCTCCTGCCTCAGCCTCTAGAGTAGCCTCTTGACTACAGGTGCATGCCATCACATCTGGCTAATTTAAAAATATTATTTGTAGAGGCGGGGGTCTCACTTTGTTGCCCAGGCTGACGTCGAACTTCCAGGCTCAAGTGATCCACCTGCCTTAGCCTCTTGAGTGTTGGGATTACAGGTGTGAGCCACCATACCTGATGGGAAGCCTTCTTTTGAAATGCACTGAGTCCTCAGAGGAGTCTGTGGTCTGCTCCTTGCACTAGATGCAGTGCTCATTGTATAATTAAATCCAGGTTTACATAGCACTTATATCAGTGGGAAAAAGTCTAGAAAGATGTGGATTTTCTTTTGAGGCTCTCCCAGTTTAGGGGTAGTTTTGTTTTTAAGTGTGAATTGTTAGCACTGGAAACCAAGTTTGTCTTAAGTTCATAGATTGATTTTCAAGAAGAGGACAAAAACATTTCCCTTCCCATTTTATTTCTGTGAGGAAAGCATTTACCATATCATCAGTCATTGTGTAACCCCAGGTTTTCCTTCTTCATGGCGACCATTTGGTCTCTAGGTCTCTGCAATGAAATGTGGCCTCTTGCCAATCTCCCCGGAGGCGCTTTCCCTTGGAGAAGTGGCTTATCATGACTACCATGGCATTCTGGTTGATGAAGAGGAAAAAGTTTTGATTCAGAAAAATCTGGGGCCTAAAAGCAAGGTCAGTAGGCATCTAATCTGGTATTTAAATTACAGCAGAAAGAAGAATAAAGCAAAGGACCAGTCTTCCTGCCCAGCTCCACAGAGCATTCATGCTTCCCCTCAGGTTCTTATTCTCCGGAACCATGGGCTCGTGTCAGTTGGAGAGAGCGTTGAGGAGGCCTTCTATTACATCCATAACCTTGTGGTTGCCTGTGAGATCCAGGTAGGGGACAGCCATTCCAGTCACTCTGCAGTTTATTTAGATGTGTCTGGGGTTCACATAGATTTTTTTTTGATACTTATCGAGTAGGAGAGGAGTCTTTGAGCAATCTCTTTGCCAAAGATAAGCTCATGGATTTGGGACTTGATCAGGACAAATGCTGTTTCACTGATTGAAGTTGGCAAAGGATTACTGGGCTTTTCATTTCTAATTTTTAAATTTTCAAATATGTCAGTCACTACCATTTATGGAGTACTGGTGTGTATAGGCCTGGCATCAGGTGCTTAGTGTGTGTCATCGCATATGTGATGTCACGTGACCCCCACAGTACTCTTTGAAAAAGCAGGTATACAGAAGTAGAGACTCAGAGACTTGCCTGCAGCTTACAGCTGTGAGTTCCCCTCCGCTCCGTCAGCCGTTAGTTCACGTTCTCCCCTCTGCTTCTTGACTTATGTCTGTGGCGTAGTGAAGTCCCAAGTCCTTTGTAGGATCCTGAAAGGTGCTGTGTTTTCTCATTTCTCTGCCAACTTTGGTGCCCAATATTTTTGTCATGCTAAAGAAATACTTCTGAAAGTAACTTTGTGATCAGTCTGTCACTATCCATTCTACATTTTTTATTCTTACACTCTAGAGATTTGGTTTCTTTTGAAACCTACATTTTTATTCAAGTCATCTGACCCTCTTGATCTCAGTAAGGAACTCAAGCCATGCTGTGTGTGTTTTGGAAAAGGTTCGAACTCTGGCCAGTGCAGGAGGACCAGACAACTTAGTCCTGCTGAATCCTGAGAAGTACAAAGCCAAGTCCCGTTCCCCAGGGTCTCCGGTAGGGGAAGGCACTGGATCGCCTCCCAAGTGGCAGATTGGTGAGCAGGAATTTGAAGCCCTCATGCGGATGCTCGATAATCTGGTAAGAATGGTGCCACCACTTGATGATAAACCTTTTGTTCTAAAAGCATCAGTGTTGGTGTTCTTACAGCAAGTGCGATTGCTGTCTTTTATGCAGTATCTGAATACCTTCACCTTCAAAGTCATGAAGAAGCACTAGGGTTGTTTAACTTCTGAGGTAAATTACAATAAAATGTAGAGGTGAAGGATTCCTGGTATTGTTTTATTTTTTAAAGATAACCTTGTGTTTGGACTCAGTGGGGACAAGAGCACAGAGAATGCGTAGGCAGCTGGATGACCAGCTGTGTCAGCTCAGTCCCCACCATCCCACAAGCAAGCGAGAGAGGTGGCACTTTTGAAATCGGTCAGTCAGGTATTTAGGCTTTTGTCTTAACAGCAAATCCTGGCTGTCTGGGGCCTGATGACTGTGTTCCATGGGTATCCACTCCCTGTCCACAGCGTGGGAGCCCCTCAGCTGCTTATTGCAGGGACACAGAGCCCGGCATGGTCCAGAAGGCGGGCTTATGGGGCCTGCAGCACACAGGGAAAGTGAGCCCACACTGTGATAGGAGGGCAGACACACAGGATGTGTTCTGTGTTACAGGGTTGCCGTGAAGAATTTCATTCTTTTGCAAGGACTGGAGAGAAAATTTTATGTGGAAGGTAGCCCTTGGAAATGACCTCAAAGAATAGGTAGGATCTTAGCCTGCGTTTGAAAGCCTGGAAAAAAACAGGATGACAGGATGAAGAGGCCACAGCACAGCTGCAGACAATGGGAGTGGGGAGATGGGAACATGCAACGTACGGTGCACCTTTCAGGTTCATCTTGACTTTACCAGGATCATTAAATACTCAGTTCTTAGAGCTGTATTAGAACACTGCCCTTGGGGTCTCAGTCCCGCAGCCACATCATCAGACACAGGGCTCTGGAACAGATCCCTTCCATGCTGCACATCAGACCTCTTAGATGGGGGTCACGATGGTCCGTCCTAACGCCACATGACCTCAAGTGGTGTAGATGTGAGGACATGTCAGTGTGGGGAAAGAAGGCCTCAGAGGGGCCAGTATCCTTGTATGCTGCCAGCCAGTACTGGACAAGTGGGCACGTTCCAGCCTAAGACAGGCGTGGCCCTTGGACCAGATCACAGATGAGATGGGTGGCTTCAGGAAGCAGGGTGGCTTCAGGAGGCAGGAAGTTTAACTTTCCTGAAGGTTTGGAATAAAAAGTATTCATAGGTCTGATTCAGGCTATGTTAAATGTTCTTACTGAAATTCTTTGCACTTGGGATGAATATTGTCCGCTAGAAAGGAGGAACTGAGGGTTTTCTGCCTGGGCGCGATAGTCAGTCAGTGGAGTAGACTCAATCAGTGACACAGGGACGAACAGAGAAGGCAGAGTCTAGCGTAACTTTTTGAGTTCATATAATCAGTGAGGTTGATTGCATTAATTGACTGTCTACTGTTGAGTCATGAACAGGACACAGTTCTTGCCCTCAGGAGTTTATGACCTAATAAGAGAGATGGACAAACGATTCCCAAATGAGCCCTGCCCCTGTGATCTGTGCAGTCATAGGCATGATGAGAGCTTGCAGGCAGAGGTGGGTGCCGATTGGTCAAGGAGGTAGGAAGAGGAGCAAAAGCTCATGAAGAAGGCTGAAGAAGCAGTTAGAGTTGGGTGGCCAGCCAGGGTAGTGAAGCTGCAGGGACTCATAGATGGAGAAAGCTTGAGAGTGGGGCAGCCATGGCCCAGGTGTGCGTCAGGAGCCAGGTCATCCAGCATGGCTGTGCAAGGTAAGGAGGGCTGAGGTTGGCCCAGTCACACAGCCCCTGCCTCCTGGTAAATACGGCGACATTTTGCTGCTCTTCTACTTACAGTCAGTGTGAGGGAGGAGAGAGGGGGGTCAGAATGCACAGCAGCCACCAAAGACTGTGCTGAAAGCACATCCTAGAAGGCGGAGAGGGGGAAGTCAAAATCAGGTAGAAACTCTGATTTGGTAGGGAAGGAAGATAAGGATGAATGATTAATAAGTAAAACATTCATTACAAAAAGCATGATGAATGTTTACTCAGTGTCCTTAATGTGTACAGATTGTTTTAATATTAGAAGGCCATATAGTTTATAAGAAATAAACTAGACAGCAATCACTAATCATAGTCCATGTTTTAATTTAGCATCGGGGTTGGCATATATGTTGTTTGCTAATAACTGAGTAGAGAATAGTTGCCAATTTCCACACTATAATATATGTTGCAGCCGAGCACAGTGGCTCACTCCTGTGATCCCAGCACTTCAGGAGGCTGAGGTGGGAGACCAGGAGCTTAAGACCAGCCTGGGCAACATAGCGAGATTCCTCTCCACAAAAAATAAAAAAATTTCAAAAAGAGAGATAATATTTCATTTGAACTTCTACAGTTAGAAAAAAAATGCTAAATTGTCCCCCCCCCAAAAAAAATCAAGATATAATTTCAGTTTCTCAAAGAAGGAACAAATCCATATATATTTTCTCTTTCTTTTTTTTTTTGGAGAGACAGGATGTCATCATGTTGCCTAGGCTGGTGTTGAACTCCTGGGCTGAAGCAGTCCTCCCACCTCAGCCTCCCAAAGTGCTAGGATTATGGGTGTAAACTACCACGCCTGACCCAAATCCATGTTTTTAACTACAAGCCAGATAGTAGTTCTGAGGTCTGAGTATTACTTCTGGTTTTGGTTTAACAGCATTTAAAGGGGAAGAATAAAGAAAAATCCATATGGTTTCAGGATAAAATGATGTTGATGAGTCCTGGGTGGTTTATTCTGAAGTTGTGGAGATTACTGAGTTCTGGCTCTTTAAGCAAAAGGAAACTTGAATTAATAAGAACTGTGTTTTTCTGCAGATAGTCTTTATGGCAGAGTCATTCTCTTTTATTATTCCTCAACAAAGCATGCTCAGAAATGGGAAAACTGCCAGTACACACATTTACCTTATCTTTCTGAGGACAATTATGAAAATAAAACCCAAAACAACTCCATTCATGATTGTTATTACCTTTTTAAAAAAATGTAGGCCGGTCACGATGGCTGATGCCTGTCATCCCAGCACTTTGGGAGGCCAAGGCAGGTGGATCACCTGAAGTCAGGAGTTCAAGACCAGCCTGGCCAACATGGTGAAACCCCTTCTCTACAAAAATTAGCCAGGTGTGGTGGAGGGTGCCTGTAATCCCAGCTACTCGGGAGGCTGAGGTAGAAGAAGCACTTGAACCCGGGAGGCAGAGGTTGCAGTGAGCCAAGGTCGAGCCACAGCACTTCAGCCTGGGTGACAGAGCAAGACTCCATCTCAAAAAAATAAAAGGAGGCCGGGCGTGGTGGCTCATATCTATAATCCCAGCACTTTGGGAGGCTGAGGCAGGTGGGTCATGAGGTCAGGAGATTGAGACCGTCCTGGCTAATACAGTGAAACTCCGTCTCTACTAAAAATGCAAAAAATTAGCCGGGTGTGGTGGCACGTGCCTGTGGTCCCAGCTATTCAGGAGGCTGAGGCAGGAGAATAGTGTGAACCTGGGAGGCGGAGGTTGCAGTGAGCCAAGATGGCGCCACTGCACTCCAGCCTGGGCAATGGAGTGAGACTCTGTCTCAAAAAAAAAAAATTAAATTAAAAAAATAAAAAAAATATTGAAAGAGTGATTAGTAATGAAGATGGCCCCCAAAAAAGAGCAGTACCCAGAGGGGAGAGAGAATTCTGAATTGAGAGGACTGTTTCTAGAGTACCACAGCCAGCAGGGCACAGGCCACTGAAGTGTCTTGTATGTCTGACCCTGTGCAGTCCCTCCAAGTCCTGATTCTCTTGTGATGTATTGTGAAGGTGCTGTGAGTGACTTGGTTCAGGTGCGAATCTGTTAGGTTGTTGAGCAGACAGCTCTTCAGCATCCCCCGTATTACCTCTCTGTGCTGGGCAACAAATCACTACAGGCCTGGTGGCTTCGAACAGCAGCCATTTATTTCCTAGCTTCTGTGGGGCAGGAGTCCAGGCACAGCGAACTCAACCTAGGGTCTCATAAAGGCTGCATTCAGGGTGTTGGCTAGGGCTGGGTTCTCATCAGGAGACTTGACTCAGAGGATCCACATCCAGGCTCTTCTAGACTGGGGACAGAATTCCTTTTCTTAGGGCTGAAGCATTCTTGGCAGCTTTACTTCTTCAGAGCCAGCAGTAGAGACAGAGACTCTTATAAGATAGGTGCTAAACTCTTCTGTGATACAGCCCATCATCACCTTTTGTGAATTCCGCTACTTAGAAGCAAGTCAGAGATCTCACCTGTGCTCAAGGTGGGAGGGGATTACAGGAGCTGGGGGCCTGGGGCCACTGTGAAGTCTGTCTGTCACACTTACCAAGTGTGGCCAGGAGAGATGCAGAGGACACCGTCCATGCCCTTAGAGATGCTGTCTGTGGGAGGACTCTGCAGATGAGTTGGTCCAGTAGAGGCATGAAGTAAGTGGGGCTGTCTTTTACCACAGAGCACATGGTCATGAGGCAGAGCTGGAGGTGAATTTGAATGTTGTTGTATTCAGACGTAAAGTAATTTTGCTGAGAACCAGTTGTCATGAGGTATACTTACTTACCTTACTTACCTAAAGATTATCACAGTATTTAAACTGTAACTTAAGAGGTAAAAGTCTATTAAGTATGTTGATGAATATAACCTGCACAGTGGCTGGCAGCAAGTAAACCCTGTTTGGGTGTTCAACTTTAATTTTTTGTTGAAATATGTAAGCAGGAGAGTGCACCTACCGCAAGTGTTCAGTTTGTTCATTTTTAAAAACTGAACCCCCTGTATAACCAGCAGTCAATAAGAGCAACGGTAGCAGCACCTCAGAACACCCCCAGCACCTCCTTCAGTTCACTTGTCCCATCCCAGGGGTGACAACTGTCCTGTCTCCCAGGACAACCAAAACAAAGGTTGTTTTGCATCTTCTGCACTTTTAATGAATGGTATTACATGGTGTATGTTCTTTGCAGGTTGGTCTCTTTCACTCAGCGTTGCCTTCAGGAGAGTCATCCACGTGGTTGGTTTAGAGCACATTGTGTCACTATAAGCCTTCTTATGAAGACACTAGACTATCCATCTCCTATATGGATGGACTTTTGGGTTGTTTCCAATTGTGGTTTACGAGGAGTAGGGTTGCTGTCCACATTTTAGTACCTGGTTTTTGGTGAACACATTTGCTTCTGTGGGGTGTAAAATTAGGAGTGGAATTACTGAGTCATAGGGTATGCATGTGTTCAACTTTTGTGGATGTTTCCACATGATTTTCCAAAGTGAAACCCTGTTTTGAGATCTGGAATATTGACTGTCTTTCACTCTCCTTGGACCCTAGGGCTACAGAACTGGCTACCCTTATCGATACCCTGCTCTGAGAGAGAAGTCTAAAAAATACAGCGATGTGGAGGTTCCTGCTAGTGTCACAGGTTACTCCTTTGCTAGTGACGGTGATTCGGGCACTTGCTCCCCACTCAGACACAGTTTTCAGAAGCAGCAGCGGGAGAAGACAAGATGGCTGAACTCTGGCCGGGGCGACGAAGCTTCCGAGGAAGGGCAGAATGGAAGCAGTCCCAAGTCGAAGACTAAGGTGTGGACGAACATTACACACGATCACGTGAAACCCTTGCTGCAGTCTCTCTCGTCCGGTGTCTGCGTGCCAAGCTGTATTACCAACTGCTTGGTCTGTGCCTACCTTACTGTTCATAGTTAGATGACGTAGAGCAAGTTGGGTAGCTGGGGCTTCGGAGGCTTTGGGAATCCAGCCTTTCTGACCCAGGTGTAAAGCGAACCTTCCTTATTCACTTTCTTGTAGTCTGAACCTAAGTCCACTGAATGCATTACTAAAATTCGGATAATACTATCTGCTTGAAACTGCTTAAGATGTAATGTAACTCCGCAGTAGTTCCAGTATATCTCCGTATATAGCAAAAATATACAATAATTTACATGTATTAACCTACAAATAGGAGCTCTTCTTATTTAATTCAAATTATATTCAGGGACTCTTAATACTTCATGCACAAAAAGACACTTCAGTCCTAAACCTGTATTTTAGTGTTGTGAACTCCAGTGGTTTCAAGTCACTAAAGTTTCTTAAGTCTTCAGTGTTTTCTTAAGCAGTTTTCCCTTGTGGCTCCCTGGCGTGTTCTCTGCTGACTCTTGTCCCCTGCCCTTAGTGTTATTCCCCTGCTTTCTATCCCAAAGCCTCCGAATGCACACCCCCAGCTGCCCTCTGCATGGACTGTTGCATGTGAGTAGACGGCCATAGTGGCGAGTCACCTTCTGACTCCTGTTGGGTGCGGCATGACCCAAGTGCAGCGCAGGCCATCTGCAGGCACCAGCGACAGACGCTGCAAGGGGTGCTTCGTTTCAGCGTTAATGCCGCTCAAGTTATCGTTTGTCCTGAGAGGTGCTCCCATGTCGTGGTGCTGAGACCTCCTCTGAAGATGGGTCTTTATTCCTCCTGTAACCTACCTCTAACAGTCCACCCAGCTCTGCTTTAAACTGTATGTAGAAGAGGCCCATTTCCAGAAGCCCCTGGAATGGAGGAGACAGGGGCTGAAGCAGACTCATCTGTGCATGACTAGTTCATTAGGAGTTCAGTTGAAATTAGATTAGATGCTCCTAAAACCATGGGCAACCAAATACATAAAGTGGGGCTTTCTTTTCCCCTTGTAACAGTGTTTTACTTTATAGATTTATTTAAAGAAAAAAAGTTTTATCTTCCCCAGGTGGTCCTGGTGTTTTCCTGACGCAGTTGGTGAGAAGCCTCCGTGCTCCTGAGCGGCCGCGTCACCTGGGCAGGGACCCTGTGTGGCCATGGGGCTCTGAGCATGGGAGTGCGTCTCTCCTCTTCTTTCCTGCCCTCCTTGTCTTCTTTCCCCCCTTCTTCCTGTCTCCCCTTTTCTTTCATTTGTTTATTTTTTACTTGTTTCACTTGTTAAAGGAAGTGGGCGTTATAAAACAAAAAAAAAAAACCCCAAAACACCTTTCTGCGGCTGATGTGAAGCACAGTGCTGAATTGCCATGAGGAAGTTTTCCAAAGCGTTTAGGCAGCAGCGCGAGCTTTATTTACCATTAGCTTGCAAAACAACTAAGTCACTTTAGGCCTAGTAGTCAATGTGTACATCCAAGGGGAGGCCTTGCTCCGCATTTATATTTGTTTCTTACTGTTCTGGAGTGACAGAGTCCATGCAGTGCTCCCAGGTTGGTATCTTTTCATTTATAATGATTGCTGTTACTTTTTCAAATGTGTTCAAGTTTCTGAGGTTGCTGTTTGAAATGCTTTGACTAAAAATTATTTTTAATAAAACGCTGGAGTTGTTTTTATCTGAGAAGATAACCATCAGTGAGTACCCAGAGCTCCATGCCCATTCCACACTCTCCTCGCAGTGGCTCAGCATTTGCTGGTTTTGTTGCTTTTTTTAAAGTCGTATGGTTTATGGCTATCTTATTGCCTCTCGAAAGTATTCTGAAAGGCATAACATTTGCTCTCGAAGATGGGCTTGTTTTAATGTTCAGTGCCTACTCATGCCTTAGAATTTGATTAAAAATCTCAGATTTGATTGGAGATCCAAAAAAAAATTATGGGTGGAAGGCTCAGCATGCTGACGAGATGCACTGATACTAAAACAGCCTTTAAATATTAAGGACTCATGAAGCGCTTCAAGTTTGTTTGGGATATTTTTGTAGCACTCAAAAATATTAAGTTATATAAAATATTCGACATCACCAAACTCTTCTTCCAGGTAGCTACCGTGTAAGTGTCCATACAGTAATGTTCTTGGGTTGAAAGTTACGCAGACAGTGCATTCTGATGCTGTCATTTACTTTAATGCAAAACTTTGGTGATGCCCACTCTTGCCTCACGGTGCAGGCTCCTCCCTAACCCTGGGTAGCAGCATCACATTGCTTTTCATGACCCTGTCATCTCATGCTTCCAGTTGGCTTTGGTGTTGGATGATTTTCAGAGCAGTGAACCAATGGTCTCTGAGGGGCCTCCCCTGCTGGTCCCAGGGTTATGGGGCTCAGCTCTGTCGTCAGCCTACCTTATGACCCAGATTCAGCTGGGCTTTCCAGATGGTGGTTTTCCATCAGTCATGACTTTGACTTCCAGCATTAACTGGTCTTTATGTGGCTGCATCCTGCTCCCATGGCGACTCTGCTGAGTGACCCAGATTAGATGTGGTCATTGGTTCAGTCCTCTCTGTGATGTTCAGTGCATGACCAGATGTGAGATAAACTGAATAGATTGGATGCTATGTCACTTATTGTTGTCATAATTCTGACTTTTCAACTGTTCTTGATATTACAGTGGACTAAAGAGGATGGACATAGAACTTCCACCTCTGCTGTCCCTAACCTGTTTGTTCCATTGAACACTAACCCAAAAGAGGTCCAGGAGATGAGGAACAAGGTGCGTCCTGCGTCGGCACTCAGCGGGGGCTTGGGTGTGGGATTGGAAGGGATGCCAGCTGCTTTGGGGGGAGCGGGTGCTTGCTTCTAGCAGAGGGCATCTGCTGTTGTTGCCACTGTTGCAGTGAAGCCATCTCTTCACACCGCTGCTGTTCTACCACCAGTGTGAAGTATGAGCAGCAGACATTTTTTGGGCCCTATTGATTCTTGAACTGATGTTTGCTCACGATGTTTGCTCACCGGTCAGAATTGGAAGCTGCAAAACCTGTTCTTAGCAAGAGCAGACTGCTGTCCCTTTCAGGGTTCGTTCAAAGACTTGTGAGTGGCATTTGGTGTATCAGAGCAGGAGCCCTGCCAGTGCTCACATCACTAGACGATGGACATGCAGCGAGTGTTTCCCCCAAGTTAATGACAGTGAGAGATAGGTGTCCTGCCCAAGCATCTGGAAGATGTGGGGAGCTGGGAATAGTCTCCATCCCTGCAGACCCACGCCCCACTAAGCAGGCATGGCGGTCACTCAGAACACATGGGGCCATCCTGCCTGCGTGGGGCAGTGGGAGAGCTGAAATGTAGCTTCCATGTGGCTGGGGCCCAAGTGCACAAGCAGCAGGGCTCCCAGGCAGCATGGCTGCTCAGGACTGTTGATGTGTGCCTCTCCTTCCCACCCTCAGATCCGAGAGCAGAATTTACAGGACATTAAGACGGCTGGCCCTCAGTCCCAGGTTTTGTGTGGTGTAGTGATGGACAGGAGCCTCGTCCAGGTGAGAGCCCAGAGTGTCTCTGACTTTAGTGGGTGGTGGCTGTGTGACCGCCTGCTCCAAAGTTATTCTGAAATTGAGAGAGTGACTTTATGAGGTAAGTATTCTAGGCAACCAGTTACCTTTGTTAAAACCTTCATGATGAGAAACGGTTCAGGCACTTTTCGTTGAGTTCTAGAAGGAGCGAGCATGCTGAGGGCTGTGTCCACCCCTCTGGTCATGCCCCTTGTAATGCATGCATATGTGAGGGTGGCACATACACCACCAGCTTTGGGGCTCAGATTCGGCCCGGGTTCAGCAGCGTTCTGTGTAAGGCGCTAGGAGAGGGTGGGTTTAGGGACTCTTGTTCTGGTACATATTGCTGTCTGCAACAAAGTGCTGCTTGGGTTGCAGAGGGGTGGGTGCCTGTAAGTGTGGTGCACATTTACACACATTTCTACAAAATGACTCTACCTTGTGGCACATTGAAGATAATTGTGTAAGTAGTTATCTCTGAAAACTAATATGCCACCTAATGCTTTAACACCTGACTCTGCAGGGGTAGACGATTGTTGGATTTGTCCAGCCGTGGTCCTGGTTTCGTGTTCAGTGTCTGCACGTCCTGCCATCATCACTGCCACACTTACTGTTGACAGCTGTCCCTGCTGCATGCTCTTAGCCAGCTCCATCCTGTGCTCTCAGCTGATATTTCACAGGCTGGGCCTGGTGTGCTCTGGTGACTCAGTTTACTGTTTCAGGATGCACCTCTCTCTGACTGTACGGAAACTATCGAAGGGCTCGAGCTTACAGAGCAGACCTTTAGTCCCGCTAAATCTCTCTCTTTTAGAAAGGTACTCACTGCCCTGTCCTCACTACCTGTCTATGCGCCTTGCTCCCCTCCCCTCCCCCCTCCCCGTCTCCTCTCTTCAGGCATTGTCTTAGTTACTGAAGTAGCTTCAAATGGATCTTTAACCTGTTTGTGAGATTGTACAGAAGGTTCTGTTCTACCTACTTGATTCTTTAATTAAAACATTTGCTATGAGGTGTGATAACAATTTCCAGCATTCGAAGTTGTTACTGAGAAATGGCCAGTCTGAGCAACGTGGTGCATTTCTGCAGTTCCGCACGGGACTTTGGTCAGTGCGTGTTTTGGGTTTCAGAATTTGCCTTTTCCATGACTCTGACTGCAGACAGCCTCTTCTGGGCAGTCTGTTGCTGTTGGCAGCGGCCACTCCCGAGTGCCCTTCCACCCTCGCTGGTTCAACTTTGACTGTAAATGTCATGAATGTAGCCACTAGAGGTCATATCATTGAAAGATGTCATTTCAGAGGAATGGGAATTCAGACAGTCTTTGTCAGCCCTTGATAAAATGTATTTATTTGTACCTCAAAAAAAAAAAAAAAAACCCTAAATAACATTTTTAAATGCCACAGAGGAGAAAGACTTAGGAGAGTCTGAAACCCCTCACTGTGATTCCCTCTGTGTGCGGGCATCTAGTATGTGGAGTAGGTGGAAGATCTGTCTGAACCCACCCACGTAGAAGGAAATCCTCCCTAAGAATCTAGGCTGCTAGTGTGCAGGAGTTGGTGCCACGCAGAAAGGGGCTGACCGCATGGTTGAAGAGTCTTAGCTGAGAGGTATGTTTATATTCTTGTCAAAGGAAATTTCCAGAACTGTCTCTTTCACTTGTCACACCTTCATTGAGATGCATGTGTCACTTTAGTGGTGTTCCAGTTCCCACATAGAAGCAGGTTTATAGCAAAGATTCTGTATTCCTGTCTGTAATCCCTGCTAATAACATTATTTTGCATATTTACTTATTAATTCCACAGGTCCTGTTTTTCCCTGTGCTTAGAGCATCCTTCCAGCTGCCATTCTTGGAAGAGCTTCTCAGAGCAGGGGAGAAAGATGACTCTGCCTGTTGCTTGTTTTTCATCTTTTGGCACTTTGTTGCGGTCTTGTCAGTTATTCTTTCTCTCAGGTGTGTGAGGGCTGTGCAGGCCATGAGCCCAGCTGGCCTCCTGTGTAGAGCCCACGTGAGGGCAGCACTGAGGACCTTGTTAGGGCTCTCCAGAAAGCAGCCTGGGTCGCCGTGTTCAACCACCAGTTACAGCTTTGTGTGCTCTGTCCCAGTGATATTCAGATGTGGGTGTGTGTCACTGTCACCTGGGGGCTTCCTGAACGATAGAGGTAGGGTCCGTACCTTCTGAACACCATGCTCACTGCGAGTGCTGCATCCAGGTGTCATTAGCAGAGAATACCACTGTACGCTGACCCCAGAGGAAGAGAGCTTGACCACCTGGACAGAAATCCTTGTTCCACCTTTGTGTTTTCTCTACCTCCTTATATCTGAAGTTTACTTTTGCACCCTTGATCTTTATCCCACTCTGGCTAAAATATCCCTCTTTTTGGTGAGAATGTGCTTTGGCTCCATGGGAGTCCTTTACTGGGCAATTGTTCCACTTCCTTTCATGTGAACCTCAAAGCACAGACAGTCTTGCTCCTTTTGGAACATGGAGCTGCATGTTGAGAAGTTGAGTTTTTCCTTGACCAAGCAAGGACGACTGTGTCCCACACACTCCCCTCCCCAGTGAGGCGAGTGCGTGGATGCCTGCTTCCCATCTGAGAACCTGAAGAATGGGTATTTGGGACTTAGGGAGCTGGGGCTTTTCTGGAAAGGACTTTCCTTTGCCTTCCATTTCTCCCTCACTGGTGATGGCCATTCCCACAGTGCAAGTGTTGCCTTCTGATAGAAGAAGGAACAGTAATCACAGTTCAAACAGGAGTTCGCAGCCCAGCCGAAGGCTGTGTTGACTTTGTTTTGGGCAGCATAACATGTAACCTGAAATACATATATATATATATATATTTTTTTTTTTTTTTTGAGACAGGGTCTCACTCTGTTGTCCAGGCTGGAGTGTGGTCGGGCTGTCTTGGCCCACTGCAACCTCCGCCTCCCGGGCTCAAGCAGTCCTCCCTCCTCCCATCTCAGCCTCCTGAGTAGCTGGGACTACAGGTGCACATCACCACACCTGGCTAAATTTTTGTATTTTTTTGTAGAGACTGGGTTCCGCCACGTTGCCCAGGCTGGTCTCAAACTCCTGAGCTCAAGCAGTCCACCTGACTCAGCCTCCCAAAATGCTGGGATTATAGGGTGTGAGCCACCGCGCCTGGCATAACCTGAAATAATTTTGGCTGCCCTCTGGATTCAATTGCAAGTGAAATGAAGGATTAGAGATGAAGATGTGAGTCTACACTGCAAGCTATTCAGCCCAGGGAAGGACTCTTGTGTTCCCATGTGCACCTCACCAGGGGCTGTGTTCTCCAACACCCTTCATGCTGTGTGGTAGAAATGCAGAGGGGCAGTAAGCTCACCCCTTGGACTCTCTCAGTGACCTGTGTTGAGCACCTAACCTGTGCATGGTCCAGCACTGGGAATGCCAGTCCAGATCCAAGTTGGCCCTGCTCGTAGATGAAAATCTGATGGTCAGAGAGGTCAGCCGCTAGTGCAGGTTGCACAGCCTCGGGTGGAGCTCTTGTTCCACCCAGGTTGCCTCAGTCAAGTATGGAAAGTTACTGGGCCTGTGTTTTGCTTTAGAGGCTTGTCAAGTGACAGGGAGGTGAGGGGAGTGGCAGGAGGGGAAGCTAGGCACATCTTGGTTTCTTGTCTGGGTTGTCCATGAGTGGCGTATGTTTCTCTGCATCTCAGTCATTGCTCTGTGTCCTTTCTTGCAGAGGAATGTGATTCTCTGTTCCCATAACTGGTCTTGACAGCAGCTTAACCCTTAGCTGTGGTCTGTGGAGGAGGGAGCTCTCCACCACTGGGGACCTGCTGCGCTGTGCCTCGGGCTTCAGCTGTCTCAGTATGAGAGAGCCCCGCTTGTCCTTTGGGGCATCAAAATTGGGAACAAGGGTTTTGATGTCTCTGTGCCAATGGATTTTTATTTGTATTTTTATTTTTATTTTGAGACAGCATCTTACTCTGGCCCATGCTGGAGTGCAGTAGTGCAATCACAGCTCACTGCAGCCTCGACCTCTCAGGCCAAAAGAATCCTCCCACCTCAGCCTCCTCAGCAGCTGGGACTACAGGTGCATGCCACCATGCTTGGCTAATTTTTAAATTTTTTGTAGAGACAAGGTCTCACTATGTTGCCCAGGCTGGTCTCGAACTCCTGGGCTCAAGCAATCCTTCTGCCTTGGCCTCCCAAAGTGCTGGGATTATAAGCATGAGCTGTGGTGCCTGGCTGATAGTTTATTCTTTGTTTGTTTGTTTGTTTTGTTTGAGACGGAGTCTTGCTCTGTTGCCCAGGTTGGAGTGCAGTGGCGCAATCTCGGCTCACCTCAACCTCCGCCTCCCACGTTCAGGTGATTCCTTTGCCTCAGCTTCCCGAGTACCTGGGATTACAGATGCCCACTACCACGCCTGGTTAATTTTTTTTGTATTTTTAGTAGAGACAGGTTTTCGCTGTGTTGGCCAGGGTGGTCTTGAACTCCTGACCTCAGGTGATCCACCCGCCTCAGCTTCCCAAAGTGCTGGGATTACAGGTGTGAGCCACCATGCCTGGCCTGATAGTTGATTCTTGATATTTGATTCCTTTACTAATTTTAACCACTTGATTTAAATGAACTTAAGCATTTCTCTTGTATCACCTTCTCATTTCATTGGCAGTGATATCAGGATGCAGGTGCAGCCAGCCAAACTGCTGTTGCTGGGATACCATCTCTAGAGTGCCATCATGTGAGGGCTCTTAGCAGTGGCCAGCCCAGCAGCTCCTCCTTCAGATAGTGAGGCAGGCCTCTGGTCAGGGAAAGACTTGGCTCGGGCCACAGCGCTAAGACATGGCAGACAGGACTCAGCTTCCTGTCTTGGTGAGGCAGGGCAACTTCTTAACGAAAAGCCAATGGGCCTCGAGTCAGACCTGGTTCAGAAGAGGGTTCCCTTTGACTTGTTGACTGTCGAGAGTCTCCAGGCTCCCGGGCAAAGGTTGCCTGTTCCAGCAGCCCATCTGTCCCTCTCGGAGCTCTGTGTCACTGGTCAGCACTGGGTACGCAGCATGCTAGGTGGTAACCCCTCAGCCCATCCCAGTCAGTCCAAGTTCCCCTGTCTCTGCTTGAGGAGCGGTCGGCCTGTGTGAGTTGAATTTCCCGAGTCAGCCCAGCTAGGACGCTCTCCATCTCTGGTGTTCACTCCGCACTGAGAGCAGCACTGAAGGACCAGGCCTGGCATCCAAAGAATTGTGGTTTCTCCTGTTTCTATTTGGTTTTGGAAGCTGTCAGTCATGTGCATGTGTGTAAGTGCTGGATAACTGTCTTAGAAGTGAGCTCCAGGGTAGCCGGGCGTGGTGGCGGGCGCCTGTAGTCCCAGCTACTCGGGAGGCTGAGGCAGGAGAATGGAGTGAACCTGGGAGGTGGAGCTTGCAGCGAGCCGAGATTGCGCCACTACACTCCAGCCTGGGTGACAGTGCGAGACTCCGTCTCAAAAAAAAAAAAAAAGAAGTGAGCTCCAGGGAATTAGGGGACATTTTCCTGCCCCTGACCCAATCAGGCTGCACTGTGGGCACAGCGCTGTGCTGGGGCAGGTGGCTGTGAGTGGACCGCACCCCCTGATGCCCACCCAGCCCACTGTGCTGGCCTGCAGGCTCCACCTCCTGCTTTAAGATTGGTGTGGTCTGTGAGCCGCCTTGGTGCTTCGCTTTCTTCTTTTTTTCTTTGGTACAAATTTTCAGAGTTTTCCAAATTCCTCAGCTAAACACTGGTGTCTTGGGGCATGTTGTCATCTCGGAATGTTTTGGGATAAGCTCCAGGAACTAGTTACAAACTAACCACAGTCAAAAGAACAGAACTTACCTGTGCTCTTAGAATATGAGCAAAGCTCTGAGCATGCCTTACGCTGAGTGCTGTACCTCGTGACAGTTTCTGATGTCATGAGGAAAACTTACTGACTTTTAAACAGTAACAGGAAAGGGCCTCTTCCCCTTCTGCTCCACAGTGAGGAGTGGGCACCCTCCCTGAGGTGCTCTGTGCTCTTGGGTCTGCATTGGGCTTTTGCTTCTGAAACCTGGAAGGCTCTGTAGGATTTCTTTTGTGGTTAATATCTGTTCATCGTGGCACTGACCTGTGTTTCCATTATATACCACTGAAGGCTGCAGCTCAGCCTAGGCCTCGGGCCCATGGCAGTGCAGTCTCAGGGGTCTCTGCTCCTGGAAAGCCTCCTGCCCCCGCCCTGCCTGCAGCCTGCCTGGGAGGAGGGAGAGTCCCCATCGGGCCGGGCTCCTGCAGACCAGATGTGCCTTTCATCCACAGGGAGAGCTGGTGACGGCCTCCAAGGCCATCATTGAAAAGGAGTACCAGCCCCACGTCATTGTGAGCACCACGGGCCCCAACCCCTTCACCACACTCACAGACCGTGAGCTGGAGGAGTACCGCAGGGAGGTGGAGAGGAAGCAGAAGGGCTCTGAAGGTGAGTGCTTGTGGTCCTGGGCACGGCCACTCCAGAAGGTGAAAGTGCTCTGGGAGCTTCTTTGTGGTCCAGGTGCTGGCTGTGGGTGGTGATAAGAATAGTCACATGCATCAAAGACAAACCAGAACTTTATCCAGTACTCATTTCCAACCTAGTCACTCAGGCCAGAATGGAAGAAATTGCTGGCCGGGCACAGTGGTTCATGCCTTTAATCCAGCACTTTGGGAGGCCAAGGAGGGCGGATGACCTGAGGTCGGGAGTTCGAGACCAACCTGACCAACATGGAGAAACCCCATCTCTACCAAAAATACAAAATTAGGCTGGGCATGGTGGCTCACGCCTATAATCCCAGCACTTTGGGAGGCCGAGGCGGGCGGATCACGAGGTCAGGAGATCGAGACCATCCTGGCTAATACGATGAAACGCCGTCTCTAGGAAAATAGAAAAAAAATTAGCCGGATGTGGTGGCAGGCACCTGTAGTCCCAGCTACTTGGGAGGCTGAGGCAGGAGAATGGCGTGAACGTGGAAGGCAGGGCTTTCAGTGAGCCGAGATTGCACCACGGCACTCCAGCCTGGGCGACAGAGTGAGACTCTGTCTCAAAATAAATACATAAATACATACAAATACAAAATTAGCCAGGTGTAGTGGCGCATGCCTGTAATCCCAGCTACTCGGGAAGGCTGAGTCAGGAGAATCGCTTGAACCCGGGGGGCGGAGGTTGCGGTGAGCCGAGATCGTGCCATTGCACTCTAGCCTGGGCATCTCAAAAAAAAAGAAATTGCAAAGTTAGGCACACTTGTGAGTGGCCCTGGCTAGGAGGGAGACGTGTGTAAATGACGATGTGGAGGACTAGTGGTGGCCACTCACAAGAGTCTGCGCGCCATACTAAGACACACCGGGGCCCCTCTGCCAAAACGAGGCTGACCCCGAAGATGTCCTGCCGTGGTCCCATCCAGCAGCTGTGATGAGAGGAGACAGCAGGACCGAGGGGCAACCCACAGAACTCTGGGCTGGAGGGCATTGGTCCTTCTCCCAGGGAGGTTTCTGTCCACATGGAGTGACCAGACATTCACAAAAGAATTCACTAATTTGGATCAGTTAGTGGGAAAGCCAGCATGCATATTATTATTATTATTATTATTATTATTATTATTATTATTATTATTATTTTTGAGATGAAGTCTTGCTCTGTCGCCAGGCTGGAGTGCAGTGGCACGATCTCAGCTCACTGCAATCTCCGCCTCCTGGGTTCAAGCAATTCTCCTGCCTCAGCCTCCCGAGTAGCTGGGACTACAGGCATGCACCACCATGCCCAGCTAATTTTTGTATTTTTAGTAGAGATGGGGTTTCACCATGTTGGCCAGGACGGTCTCAATGTCTTGAACTCGTGATCCGCCCGCCTTGGCCTCCCAAAGTGCTGTCATTACAGGTGTGAGCCACTGCGCCCGGCCCTGAATATTATTTTTAAGAGACTTTTGTCTCTCTCTCTCTTTTTTTTAAATTAATTATACTTTAAGTTTTGGGATACATGTACAGAACGTGCAGGTTTGTTACATAGGTATACACGTGCCGTGGTGGTGGCACATGTATGGGTGGCACCCATCATCTACATTAGGTATTTCTCCTGATGCTATCCTTCCCCTAGCCCCACACCCCTGACAGGCCCTGGTGTGTGATGTCCCCTTCCCTGTGTCCATGTGTTCTAATTGTTCAATCCCCACTTATGAGTGAGAACATGCAGTGTTTGGTTTTCTGTTCCTGTGTTAGTTTGCTGAGAATGATGGTTTCCAGCTTCATCCATATCCCTGCAAAGGACATGAACTCATCCTTTTTTATGATTGCATAGTATTCCATGGTGTATATGTGCCACATTTTCTTTGTCCAGTCTATCATTGCTGGGCATTTGAGTTGTTTCCAACTCTTTCGTATTGTGCATAGTGGTGCAGTACACATATGTGTGCATGTGTCTTTATCATAGAATGTTTATAATCCTTTGGTTATATACCCAGTAACGGGATTGCTGGGTCAAATGGTATTTCTGGTTTTAGATTCTTGAGGAATCGCCACACTGCCTTCCACAATGGTTGAACTAATTTACACTCCCACCAACAGTGTAAAAGTGTTCCTATTTCTCCACATCCTCTCCAGCTTCTGTTGTTTCCTCGCTTTTTAATGATCGCCACTGTAACTGGTGTGAGATGGTATCTCATTGTGGTTTTGATTTGCATTTCTCTAATGACCAGTGATGATGAGCTTTTTTTTCATGTTTGTTGGCTACATAAATGTCTTCTTTTGAGAAGTGTCTGTTTATATCCTTCGTCTGCTTTTTGATGGCATTGTTTTTTTCTTGTAAACTTGTTTAAGTTCCTTGTAGATCGTGGATATGAGCCCTTTGTCAGATGGATAGATTGCAAAAATTTTCTCCCATTCTGTAGATTCCCTTTTCATTCTGATGATAGTTTCTTCTGGTGTGCAGAAGCTCTTTAGTTTAATTAGATCCCATTTGTCAGTTTTGGCTTTTGTTGCCATTGCTTTTGGTGTTTTAGTCATGAAGTCTTTGCCCATGCCTATGTCCTGAATGGTATTGCCTAGGTTTTCTTCTAGGATTTTTATGGTTTTAGGTCTTATGTTTAACCCCTCTTGAGTTAATTTTTGTATGAGGTGTAAGGAAGGGGTCCAGTTTCAGTTTTATGCATATGGCTATCCAGTTTTCCTAACACCATTTATTAAATAGGGAATCCTTTTCCCATTCCTTGTTTTTGTCCAGTTTGTCAAAGATCAGATGGTTGTAGATGTCTGGCATTATTTCTGAGGCCTCTGTTCTGTTCCGTTGGTCTCTATATCTGTTTTGGTACCAGTACCGTGCTGTTTTGGTTACTGTAGCCTTGTAGTATAGTTTGAAGTCAGGTAGTGTGATGCCTACAGCTTTGTTCTTTTTGCTTAGGATTGTCTTGGCCATACGGGCTCTTTTTTGGTTCCATATGAAATTTGAAGTAGTTTTTTCTAATTCTGTGAAGAAAGTCAGTGGTAGCTTGATGGGCATAGCATTGAATCTATAAATTACTTTGGGCAGTATGGCCGTTTTCACAATACTGATTCTTTGTATCCATGAGCATGGAATGTTTTTCTATTTGTTTGTGTCCTATTTCGCTGAGCAGTGGTTTGTAGTTCTCCTCGAAGAGGTCTTTCACATCCCTTGTAAGTTGTATTCCCAGGTATTTTATTCTCTTTGTAGCAATTGTGAATGGGAGTTCACTCATGATTTGACTCTTTGTCAATTATTGGTGTGTAGGAATGCTTGTGATTTTTGCAGTTGATTTTGTATCTTGAGACTTTGCTGAAGTTGCTTATCAGCTTAAGGAGATTTTGGGCTGAGATGATGGGGTTTTCCAAATATACAATCATGTCATCTGAAAACAGAGACAATTTGACTTCCTCTCTTCCTATTTGAATACACTATATTTTTTTCTCTTGCCTGATTGCCGTGGCCAGAACTTCTAATAGTATGTTGAATACGAGTGGTGAGAGAGGGCATCCTTGTCTTGTGCCAGTTTTCAAAGGGAATGCTTCCAGCCTTTGCCCATTCAGTATGATATTGGCTGTGGGTTTGTCATAAATAGCTCTTATTATTTTGAGATACATTCCATCAATACCTAGTTTATTGAGAGTTTTTAGCATGAAGGGGTGTTGAATTTTATTGAAGGCTTTTTCTGCGTCTATTGAGATAATCATGTGGTTTTTGTCATTGGTTCTATTTATACGATGGATTACGTTTATTGATTTGCATATGGTTTTTTTGTTATTTGGTTTTTTTTTTTTTCTTTCCTGAGACGGAGTCTCCCTCTGTCACCCAAGCTAGAGTGCAGTGGTGCAATCTTGGTTCACTGCAACCTCCACCTCCTGTGTTCAAGCCTCAGCCTCCTGAGTACTTGAGACTACAGACACACGCCACCACACCCGGTTAATTTTTGTATTTTTATTAGAGGCGGGGTTTCACCATGTTGGCCAGGATGGTCTCGATCTCCTGACCTTGTGATCCACCTGCCTCAGCCTCCCAAACTACTGGGATTACAGGTGTGAGCCACCGCACCTGGTTGATTTGCATATGTTGAACCAGCCTTGCATCCCAGGGATGAAGCCAACTTGATCGTGGTGGATAAGCTTTTTGATGTGCTGCTGGATTCGGTTTGCCAGTATTTCATTGAGGATTTTTGCATTGATGTTCATCAGGGATATTGGCCTGAAATTTTCTTTTTTTGTTGTGTCTCTGCCAGGTTTTGGTATCAGGATGATGCTGGCCTCATACAATGAGTTAGGGAGGAGTCCCTCTTTTTCTATTGTTTGTAATAGTTTCAGATGGAATGGTACCTACCAGCTCCTTTCTGTACCTCTGGTAGAATCTGGCTGTGAATCCGTCTGGTCCTGGGCTTTTTTTGGTTGGTAGGCTATTTATTACTACCTCAATATCAGAGCTTGTTACTGGTCTATTCAGGGGTTTGACTTCCTCCTGGTTTAGTCTTGGGAGGGTGTATGTATCCAGGAATTTATCCATTTCTTCTAGATTTTCTAGTTTATTTGCGTAGAAGTGTTCATAGTATTCTCTGATGGTAGTTCGTATTTCTGTGGGATCAGTGGTGATCTCCCCTTTATCATTTTTTATTGTGTCTATTTGATTCTTCTCTCTTTTCTTTTTTATTAGTCTGGCTAAATGGTCTATCTATTTTATCAATCTTTAAAAAAAACCAGCTCCTGGATTCATTGATTTTTTTTTGAAGGCTTTTTTGTGTCTCTCTCCTTCAGTTCTGCACTCGTCTTAGTTATTTCTTGTCTTCTGCTAGCTTTTGAATTTGTTTGCTCTTTCTTCTCTAATTCTTTTAATTATGATGTTAGGATGTCTATTTTAGATCTTTCCCTCTTTCTCCTGTGGGCATTTAGTGCTATAAATTTCCCTCTAAACACTGCTTTAGCTGTGTCCCAGAGATTCTGGTACGCTTTGTCTTTGTTCTCATTGTTTTCAAAGAACTTATTTATTTCTGCGTGAATTTTGTTATTTACCCAGTAGTCATTTAGGAGTAGGCTATTCAGTTTCCATGTAGTTACGCAGTTTTGAGTGAGTTTCTTAATCCTGAGTTCTAATTTAATTGCACTGTGGTCTGAGAGACTGTTTGTTATGATTTCCATTCTCTTGCTGAGGAGTGTTTTACTTCCAATTAGGTGGTCAATTTTAGAATAAGTGCGATGTGGTGCTGAGAAGAATGTATATTCTGTTGATTTGGGGTGGAGAGTTCTGTAGATGTCTGTTAGGTCCGCATGGTCCAGAGCTGAGTTCAAGTCCTGAATATCTTTGTTAATTTTCTGTCTCGTTGATCTAATATTGAAAGTGGGATGTTAAAATTTCTCACTATTATTGTGTGGGAGTCTGAGTCTGTTTGTAGGTCTCTAAGAACTTGCTTTATGAATCTGGGTGCTCCTGTATTGGGTGCTTGTATATTTAAGATAGTTAGTTCTTGTTGTTGCATTGATCCCTTTACCATTATGTAATGCCCTGCTTTGTCTTTTTAAATTTTTGTTGGCTTAAAGTCTGTTTTATTAGAGACTAGGATTGCAACTCCTGCTTTTTTTTTTTTTTGCTTTTCTTTTGCTTGGTAAATATTCTTCTATCCCTTTATTTTGAGCCAGTGCATATCTTCGCATGTGAGACAGGTCTCCTGAATACAGCACAGTGACAGGTCTTGACTCTTTATCCAGTTTGCCAGTCTGTGTCTTTTAATTGGGGCATTTTGCCCATTTACATTTAAGGTTAATATTGCTATGTGTGAATTTGATCCTGTCATTATGATGCTGGCTGGTTATTTTGCCTGTTAACTGATGCAGTTTCTTCATAGTGTCGATGGTCTTTACAATTTGGTATGTTTTTGCAGTGGGTGGAACTGGTTTTTGCTCTCCATATTTAGTGCTTGCTTCAGGTGCTATTGTAAGGCAGGCCTGGTGGTGAGAAAATCTCTCAGCATTTGCTTGTCTGTAAAGGAGTTTATTTCTCCTTCACTTACGAAGCTTAGTTTGGCTGGATATGAAATTCTGGGCTGAAAATTCTTTTTTTTTTGAGACGGAGTCTTGCTCTGTCACCCAGGCTGGAGTGCAGTGGCGTGATCTCGGCTCACTGCAAGCTCCGCCTCCAGGGTTCACACCATTCTCCTGCCTCAGCCTCCCCAGCAGCTGGGACTACAGGTGCACGCCAGCATGCCCAGCTAATTTTTTTGTATTTTTAGTAGAGATGGGGTTTCACCATGTTAGCCAGGATGGTCTCGATCTCTTGTCCTCATGATCTGCCCGCCTCAGCCTCCCAAAGTGCTGGGATTACAGGCGTGAGCCACTGCACCCGGCCGAAAATTCTTTTCTTTAAGAATGTTGAATATTGGCCCCCACTCTCTTCTGGCTTGTAGGGTTTCTGCAGAGAGATCTGCTGTTAGTCTGATGGGCTTCCCTTTGTGGGTAACCCAACCTTTCTCTCTGGCTGCCCTTAACATTTTTTCCTTCATTTCAACCTTGGTGAATCTGATGATTATGTGTCTTGGGGTTGCTCTTCTTGAGGAGTATCTCTGTGGTGTTTCTGTATTTCGTGAATTTGAATGTTGGCCTGTCTTGCTAGGTTGGGGAAGTTCTCCTGGATAATATCCTGAAGAGTGTTTTCCACCTTGGTTTCATTCTGCCTGTCACTTTCAGGCACACCAATCAAATGTAGCTTTGGTCTTTTCACATAGTCCCATATTTCTTGGAGGCTTTGTTCATTCCTTTTCATTCTTTTTTCTTTTAATCTTTACACTTTATTTCATTAAGTTGATCTTCAATCTCTGATATATCCTTTCTTCTGCTTGATTGATTTGGCTATTGATGCTTGTGTATGCCTCACGAAGTTCTCATGCTGTGTTTTTCAGCTCCATCAGATCATTTATGTTCTTCTCTACACTGGTTATTCTAGTTGGCAATTCCTCTAATCTTTTTTCAAGGTTCTTAGCCTCCTTGCATTGGGTTAGAACATGCTCCTTTAGCTCAGAGGAGTTTGTTATTACCCACCTTCTGAAGTCTACTTCTGTCAGTTCATCAAACTCATTCTCTGTCCAGTTTTGTTCCCTTGCTGGTGAGGAGTTGTGATCCTTTGGAGGAGAAGAGGCATTCTGGTTTTTGGAAATTTCAGCCTTTTTGCACTGGTTTTTCCTCGTCTTTGTGGATTTATCTACGTTTGGTCCTTGATGTTGGTGACCTTCAGATGGCGTTTTCATGTGGATGTCCTTTTTGTTGATGTTGATGCTATCCCTTTCTGTTTGTTAGTTTTCCTTCTAACAGACAGGCTCCTCTGCTGCAGGTCTGTTGGAGTTTGCTGGAGGTCGACTCCAGGCCCTGTTTGCCTGGGTATCACCAGCAGAGGCTGCAGAACAGCAAAGATCGCTGCCTGTTCCTTCCTCTGGAAGTTTCGTCCCAGAGGGGCACCTGCCAGATGCCAGCTGGAGCTCTCCTATATGAGGTGTCTGTTGACCCCTGCCGGGAGGTGTCTCCCAGTCAGGAGGCACAGGGGTCAGGGACCCACTTGAGTTGGCTGTCTGTCCCTCAGCAGAGCTTGAGTGCTGTGCTGGGAGATCCACCGCTCTCTTCAGAGCCAGCAGGTAGTAACTTCAGTCTGCTGAAGTTGTGCCCACAGCCAACCCTTCCCCCAGGTGCTCTGTCCCAGGGAGATGGGACTTTTATCTATAAGCCCCTGACTGGGGCTGCTGCCTTTCTTTCAGAGATGCCCCGCCCAGGGAGGAGGAATCTAGAGAGGCAGTCTGGCTACAGTGGCTTTGCATAGCTGCGGTGGGCTCTGCCCAGTGTGAACTTCCTGGCAGCTTTGTTTACACTGTGAGGGGAAAATGGCCTACTCAAGCCTCAGTAATGGTGGATGCCCCTCCCCCCACCAAGCTCCAGCATCCCAGGTCGACTTCAGACTGCTGTGCTGGCAGCAAGAATTTCAAGCCAGTGGATCTTAGCTTGCTGGGCTCCATGGGGGTGGGATCTGCTGAGCAAGACCACTTGGCTCCCTGGCTTCAGCCCCCTTTCCAGGGGTGTGAAGGGTTCTGTCTTGCTGGCATTCCAGGCGCCACTGGGGTATCAGAAAAAACTCCTGCAGCTAGCTCAGTGTCTGCCGAAACGGCTGCCCAGTTTTGTGCTTGAAACCCAGGGTCCTGGTGTCATGGGCAGCCAAGGGAATTTCCTGGTCTGTGGATTGCGAAGACCGTGGGAAAAGCGTAGTATTTGAGCTGGAATGCACTGTTTCTCAAGCCACAGTCCCTCATGGCTTCCCTTGGCTAGATGAGGGAGTTCCCCGACTCCTTGCACTTCCTGGGTGAGGCAACACCCCACCCTGCTTTGGCTCGCCCTCCGTGGGCTGCACCCACTGTCTAACCAGTCCCAGGGAGATGAGCCAGGTACCTCAGTTGGAAATGCAGAAATCATCCACCTTCTGCGTTGATCTCACTGGGAGCTGCAGATCGGAGCTGTTCCTATTCGGCCATGTTGCCTGTCACCCTGACATTTGTCTCTTTACGAACACAGTATTTCTGTCTGTTGAAGCTTCACCGGGGAGAGACCTCCTTTACTCAGTTTGATTCATTAACACTCAGCATTGCTGAGCAGTCATTGTGCCGGGCACATGCCCAGTGCTATTGTGCGTACATCTCATCTCATTCTCAAAGTAACCCTGAGAGATAGGTCATTTTCCCCCGGCTGGAGCAGAGGAATAGGGAGCTCAGACAGGGCGGCTCGCGAGAACGAGGTTGTGCGTGGCCGAGCCCTGATTTGGACAGAAGCGCACTGCCTTCCTCACTGAGTCTTTGGTCACAGCAGTCAGCCCCGGCCTCTGTGCAGGGGGACGCTCTGAACGTCCTTACTGTGCTTGTGTGTAGGGCTTGGGGTTTCTGACAGAAATTCTCTTTCTCCATAAACCTTGAGGGTTTCCTGTGCAGGTGTGGTCACAGGCCGGAGGGTGAAAATGCTGACTGCCCTGGCATGTGCCCAGGTCCCATCAGGAATGGCTGGTGCAGCCTGTACTTCTCTTGGTAGCCCGCTGACAAAGGCGGTCTTGTTTTTGTCAAAGATGGGGCAGTCTTAAAATGAATACAAATAAGCGGCTCAAGTTTGAGACCCTCACGGAGCAGGTGGTTTCAAATGTCAGGCTTTGAAAAGGAAATGTTGAGAACTAATGAGAGAAGCAGGTCTCCAAAGCCTATTCCTTGAGGGCTTTTGGGCATCAGCTGCTTTTCCCCCAAGCTCCCTGCTGCCAGCTCTCTTGTCCACTAGGCTCTGAGCAGCCTTGGTGCTGGCACCAAGAAGAACCAGGGGCACAGGGACCCCTGCCAGGAGGCTCCCGCCAGCATCCTCAGGGCCGTAAGCTCCAACTCAGGTTTTTACTGAAACCTCAGTGTGCTTCTCAGTCCTCCGGGGTCAGCCTTGCTGGAGCCACCTTGTTGTGTGGGACTGACTGTTGCTCTCCTGGGCCGTCGTCATCCTGGGAGCTAGGCACTCCTCCTAAGAGGACCTCTTCACCGGTTTTTGTCTCGTTCTAGACCAGCCACTGCATTACGTAGTTGTGACTGAAATTTGAGTTGCTGAATTGTTTTTCAGTGTCACACCGCTATTTACTATTCAGGCCGCCACACACACCAGGCCCTGCTGCTGGTTGTCTCCCTCCAGTGAAGCTTTGTCTGAGCCATTGCTGTAATTACCTGCCTTAGAGCGAGAACTGGAGGTAGTCAGCTTGAGCTGTGGGTCATGTGGCCTCCTCCTAGTTTCTGTGCACATGTACACAGACATGTGTCTGCCCTTTGGAGTCTCCTGGGATCTGAGTAACCTGGATTGTTTTTAAAAACAAGTCAAACAAGATATGTGGAGTTTCCCCCCGATGTGTGAGGCTCCTTCAGCAGGGCTGTGATGGCAGCTGAGTGGATGGGGACAGGCTCTGGCCGTGCTCTGTGATCACAGAGCTGTCAGCAGGAGAACCCACAGGAGGTCTGATCTGGCCCTTGGCATGGGCTGAGGGGAGAATGTGCCACAGGTAAAATGCAGGCTGGCTGCCAGAGGTCAGCACCTTTTCCCGGTTGAGGCTGTATGCTCACTCAGCTAGGTGGTATGGCGGCCTTTTTATGGACACCTGGCTTCTGGAAGGTAGCTGCCAACGTGGTACTTGGGGAGGCGAGCCAGCTGTTAGGGTGGGAGCAGAGGCCCTGGGAGCTCAGAAGGATGATGATAGCTGCTGGTTCAAAATACGGACCTGCTGATCCTAAGCTATTAATCTTAAACTTCTGAAATAAAGACAGAGATGGAAGGAGTTAGAATAGTGCTGGTCCATATTTTCCCCGAAATGAGAAGTAGACTTGGAATCCTTTTCTATATCCAGGATCCTAGTTCCTGCATTTTTTCCTCTGGTTCTTATTAGCATTTTTCACTTTAAAAAGTAAAAATACGTATTACAGTTGCCAAGTTTAAATTATTGGGATAAAATGCCCTACCACAGAATTAAAACCAAAATAATGCTCATGTGATGTCCCTTAAGGTGGTGAGTGGGTTCAGGACCCTCAGCCACCTGCTCAGCAGGGAGAAGGCAGGGAGGGAGGGGTCCCTACTCGCACAGGACAGCGGGGGACAGGCCAGGGCATACCATTCGAGTCCATCACAGAAGTGGCTCTGGCAGACTCTCTTTGGAATAAGAATAGAAATAAGTTTTGTATCTGAAGTTGGTTAAGTTTCTCTGAAATTCGCATCAGTCAACACCCAGGTCACAGCTTCCTTTATCCTCTCTTGGAGAGGATCAGGGAAAGGGTTGAGAGAGCCCTGCCTTCTCAGAGGGCGGCCGAGCGGGCTGCCCCATCTGCCATGGAGGCAGGTACAGGCTCATGGCGTGGCGTCCACAGCTCCTACCATATCCTTCTTGCTTCTCTGCAGAGAATCTGGACGAGGCTAGAGAACAGAAAGAAAAGAGTCCTCCAGACCAGCCTGCGGTCCCCCACCCGCCTCCCAGCACTCCCATCAAGCTGGAGGAAGGTGAGCTCTGGGTGGCAGCGGCCGCCACTGTGGGAGGGTGCACGGCTCGTGCGCGCTGTGGCGGAATGTGGCGGGAGTCGTGTTAACAGCAACACGGAAGTGTGTGCTTGCATCAGCGCCAGGACGTGACACCTTTCTCCTCCTATATTGCTTCTGTCCTGGGTAACTCCAGGCAAAACAGATTTGTATGTGAGCTGTGACCAGGTAGGAAGGCCGGCCTCGGGGGTCGGAACCCACCATGGTTGCTGGTGTCCACGTTGCCCATTGCTCGCACACTCCTCGTGCCGTGTTGTCATGCAGATGCCACCTTCGGAGGTGCCCTCCGCTGTGTGAGCCACACGCCGGCTGCCTCTCAGCCACCGTGTGTCTGTGGTGTGTGATCCCGGGTGTCTGTCCCTCGGTCTCGTACATCCATGTCTCTCGTGAAGCCCGTGGCCCTGCCTTTCTTCTTCTGTAACCTGATGGCTGTGACTGAATGCATAGATTCTCTCCTTGTGCTTTTTTCTCCCTGTGGCTGCGTCACAAGCAGGAGACGGATGCGCTAGAGAGTACCTGTTACCCTAGTAAGTACCGTGCTGCCTCCGCTCTCCACCGGTGCCCTGCGCTTTGCCTCATTCTCCTGCTTCTTTGTTGTTTATTAAGTTTTGTTTTCTGTTTATTTAAAATAAAAACAGAAGCCCCCCTTTTTTGTACCCAGTCCCTTGGAGGCCTTCCTGGAAGTGGTTCAGTCACCTGAGTGCTGTGCTGCCTTCAGCGGCAGCGGGTACCTCCACGCACCTAGGTGCCATGGAGCACTCTGGGCCTCAGGAGTTCCTACCTCCAGCCTTTGAGGGTCTCTTTGGATTGCTTGGTGGGAGGGTTTTGCCACACTGGATCAGATGTAAGTGCAGCCTCGGTTCAGACAGGGTGGGGTTCTGCCACCTGCCGTGTGGGGTCAGATTGCCTTGGACCTTTGCTGAAGCTGGTCCAAAGGAGGTGGGCAGAGGAGCGGATATTGGACCCTCGTAAAGCAGTGTGATGTTCACTCAGATGATGGCAGCTCTCCAGAGCGAGTGCCCTGGGGCAGCCTCCGTCCTAGCATCAGCCACACCATGCCCAGCAGAGCGGGCCCCATCTCCTCAGGGGGAGCGGCGCCTGTGTGCCCATAGCCCTTTCCCGGTTCTCATGAAGCGTGGCCTGGAATTAGCCTGGGGCAGCTGGCAGGGTGGGGGTGCTTCCAGCTTCCCAAAGGTAAAGCACTGAGAGTTTGGGGCCTGGGCCTCCTGTGCTGCTCCTAACCACTCAGCTGACTCCCCTGGCCCTGATGTGTGGCTTGATTTTTAAACACTAAACAGCTTGTGGTGCCTAACCTGTCAGTTGCTGGTAACTTTGTAGGCCGTTTACGAATGGACAGAGCGGGTGCCCGGGTAAGTGCAAGGAAGGCGCCCCCAGGCTGTGTCCTCAGGGCCGCTGTGCTCCTTCACAGATGGCCACTCCTGATGCTGGGTGGAGTTTTTGCCCCCACTCCTTGCCTTACAGGCCATCTCTTTCCTTTTAATTAACTTCCAGCCTAAACGGCTTTGTTCTTTTGGATGTTGACGTCACACAACGTGCTGTGGGAGTTATGCACGATTTTCTACTGGCTGTTTTGGGGGAGACCAGGTGTTGTAGACCCAAATTTAGACTTAATTTCAGTACTACTAGTACATGCCCTTAGGGTGACAGGGCAGACTTCTCGTCACATAATGAAAGCGGGACGTCGCTCCTTTAGTCGTCCTCAGCTTGTGCTGCAGTCTGTCTTTCCGGCGGGGGGACCCAGGCCTGGGACGGAGTCTGGTGTTGTCAGCACACTGCCCACCAGAAGGAGCTAAAAACTACCCCGAGACTGAGTCTGTATTTTATGATATTAGCTCCATCCAGCCGTACAGTAGAGTAGACCATATTTTAAGTTTCTTGTCTTGGTAAAAATCTGTAGAGTAAAATAAAATGGCAGTTTCGTGTGTGGGGCTCCCCCATCTCAAGCTGCCCTTTGAGATCTGGGCAGGAACCCTTAATCCCATCTCTCACCTCACCCACTAGACCTTGTGCCGGAGCCGACTACTGGAGATGACAGTGATGCTGCCACCTTTAAGCCAACTCTCCCCGATCTGTCCCCTGATGAACCTTCAGAAGCACTCGGCTTCCCAATGTTAGAGAAGGAGGAGGAAGCCCATAGACCCCCAAGCCCCACTGAGGCCCCTACTGAGGCCAGCCCCGAGCCAGCCCCAGACCCAGCCCCGGTGGCTGAAGAGGCTGCCCCCTCAGCTGTCGAGGAGGGGGCCGCCGCGGACCCTGGCAGCGATGGGTCTCCAGGCAAGTCCCCGTCCAAAAAGAAGAAGAAGTTCCGTACCCCGTCCTTTCTGAAGAAGAGCAAGAAGAAGAGTGACTCCTGAAAGCCCTGCGCTAACACTGTCCTGTCCGGAGCGACCCTGGCTCTGCCAGCGTCCCCGGCCACGTCTGTGCTCTGTCCTTGTGTAATGGAATGCAAAAAAGCCAAGCCCTCCGCCTAGAGGTCCCCTCACGTGACCAGCCCCGTGTAGCCCCGGGCTGACCCAGTGTGTGCTCAGCAGCCCCACCCCACCCTGCCCCTTGTCCTCTCAGAGCCTCAGCTTCTGGGGGAGACATGCTCTCCCCACAGGGGGGAGGCACTAAGTCATGGTCCTGGCTGGAAGGTACTGAAGGCTTCTGCAGCTTTGGCTGCACGTCACCCTCCTGAGCCTCACCTTTCCTGCCGTCCCTCCTGTTGTGAAATCACCACATTCTGTCTCTGCTTGGCTTCCCCTCCACCCTAAAGTCTCAGGTGACGGACTCAGACTCCTGGCTTCATGTGGCATTCTCTCTGCTCAGTGATCTCACTTAAATCTATATACAAAGCCTTGGTCCCGTGAAAACACTCGTGTGCCCACCAGCGGCCTTGAAGAGGCAGGTCTGGGCCAGATGCTGGGCAGGAAACCCCAGCGGCAGATGGGCCTGTGTGCACCCAACGTGATGCTATGCATGTCTGACCGACGATCCCTCGACCAGAATCAGATTCAGGAGCTCAGTTTCTTTTTCACTTGGGTCTCTGGATTCCTGTCATAGGGAAGGTATATCAGGAGGGGAAGAGGCCTTTCTAGAATTTTCTTTGAGCAGGTTTACAATTTAGCTTACATTTTTCGACTGTGAACGTGAATAGGCTGCTTTTTGCTTTCTTCTTTCCAGACCCCACAGTAGAGCACTTTTCACTTATTTGGGGGAGGCTTCAGGGGACTGTTCTCACCTTAACTCAGCCAGAAAGATGCCCTAGTTGTGATCAAAGGTAACTCGAGGTGGAGGGTAGCCCTGGGGCCCCTCGACATCACCGTCATTGATGGAGCCTGAACCGTGTGCTCCTCGGCAGATGCTGTTGTTGTTACTTCCCTCCAAGAGGCTGGAAAAGGGCTCAGAGCTGCTGAGCAGGAACCGGAGGGTGACCCATTTCAGGAGGTGCCGGTACCAGCCTGACTAGGTACAGGCAAGCTTGTGTGGGCCCAACAGGCCCTTGGTAGAGCTGGTGCCAGATGTGGGCTCAGATCCTGGGCATGATGGGCCGAGCCACCTCGGATCCCACTGATTGGCCAGCCGAGCGAGAACCAGGCTGCTGCATGGCACTGACCGCCGCTTCCAGCTTCCTCTGAGCCGCAGGGCCTGCTACGCGGGCAAGCGTGCTGCCTCTCTTCTGTGTCGTTTTGTTGCCAAGGCAGAATGAAAAGTCCTTAACCGTGGACTCTTCCTTTATCCCCTCCTTTACCCCACATATGCAATGACTTTTAATTTTCACTTTTGTAGTTTAATCCTTTGTATTACAACATGAAATATAGTTGCATATATGGACACCGACTTGGGAGGACAGGTCCTGAATGTCCTTTCTCCAGTGTAACATGTTTTACTCACAAATAAAATTCTTTCAGCAAGTTCCTTGTCTAAATCTGGGAAGCAGTTTTATATTTTAATTTCTTTGTTCCCATGTTTGTCTCGTGCTGAAAAGAGACCTCCTAATGTTCATGTCTTGATAAAATGTCACCTGCAGCCACGCGTGCGGCAGGACGTGCCACCCAGCACTCCTGGTGTCCCTCTCCACGGGAACTCAGGGTGTCCAGGGAACTGCTGGCCTGTCCTTGTCCCCATGGTCCCAGTCTCACTGTCACTGTGTGCTCATGTTTGATGGGGAGGGCTCTGTGCTGGGGACATCCTGCCAGGGTGCGGGGCACACTGCCAGATACCACCTGGCCAGGGCTGACCCCAGCCTTGGAGGAGCCTGCCTGAGTGAGTCCCCAGGCTGCCACTGTGCAGAGGGGGAAACTGAGGGTCTCAAAGAGCCTTGGACCCTTCCGGTCAGTGGAGCCATTCATTCAGCTCCAGCTGCCTTTCCTGGTGTGGGTAGAAGCACGGCTATATATGGCGAAAGGCACTTGGTATAAAACAAACAGGTGCTTTATTTCATCATCAGAAACCTGGTGCATAGTTTAAAAAACAAACAGAAGCCCTGACAGCCTTGGAGTGCTGCAGCTCGGAGTCACTGAAGGAGTAAGTAAGTCTGGAGGAGCTGCCTGAGCTTCCTGCTTAGGGGCCGGCCCCCACCCACAGGGTCTCCCTGGACTGGCGGGGGGTGGGGGTCAGGCAGTGGGCAGGGGCCTGACCTAGGCTCCCACTCTGCCTGGTGCCCACAGCCTGGGCACAGTGGCTCAGCTACTCAGCCTTGAGCGTCTGTGCCGGGTAACTCAGCTTCTGCAGGAGGAAGAAGGGGAGCAAAAAGAGCCCGGACCACGTGGTGAAGCAGGCCTGGGCCCCGGCCAGCCAGTACACTGCGGAGAGACGGTGGCGTCACCCAGTCCCCGAGGGGGCTGGCACTTGGGAGGCGAGGGCAGGTGCTTGGCCCCCAGCCTGCCCCAGCACCATCCCGCGCCCTCACCTGAAGCGGCCACCAGGGGCCCCGCGGCCCTGGCCAGAGCACCTAGGCTGCGCAGTGTACCCATGACCGTGCCCTTCTGCCCTGGTGAGCCTGTGGGAAGAGGCACAGTCAGGCACCACTGCCCTTCTCCCGCTCAGGTGGCTTCGGCCGAGGGAAGGGGGCTCACCATAGCCAGCGACCACGGAGGACAGGCAGGGCACCACAACGGCGGCGGCTGGTGGGAGACATCGAGGAGGTGCCCGTCAGCCCAGGGGAGGGTGCATCACCCAGCCCCTGCTGCCCATCGGATCCCCTGCCAGGGCAGGGCCACTCACCAAAGGAGTAGAGCAGCAGCCCCAGGCCCAGCACGGGCAGAGAACGTCCCCAGCCGATGAGGAGGAAGGCGGGCACCAGCAGCAGGAGGGCCTGCAGGTGGGCACGGCAGCCTCAGCACAGCCCGTGCCCTGCAGGACTCAGGGGACTGCCTGCCACCCGCTTTGGAGGGAGCCCCCTACCCGCTTCACGGCAGCAACTTCCCCGCCAGGGTGGATCCGCCGGGCATAGGCACCCTGGATGGTGGCCATGGTGAGGCCGATGAGGAAAAACATCTTCCCCTGCTGTAGGCTGGGAGCGGGTGTGTTAGTGCAGGGCACCCGGGGCAGGGCCACCCAGGGCAGGGCCAGGGCGAGAGTGGCTGCCAAGGCTTCCTGGGGATGGGGGTTGCTTCCCTGAAGCAGGGGCGTTATTTCAGGGAGACAGCAGGCCGTCGCCAGATGGGGACCCACCTACTGAACTGGAAGCGCTGGTGTGTGAGGAAGCTCAGCGTGTACTCCAGGCCCGAGAACAGGAAGAGGTAGAGGAAGTAGACTAGGCCCAGGCGGCGCAGGCTGCTGAGCCCTGGGGAGAGGTGGCGCGTGCTGAGAAGGCGACCACAGCAGGGAAGGGCGCCGCCCGGGGAAGCCCAGGGGAGAGCAGGCTCCACGCTTGGGTTGGTCGAGTCCTTACTGTCTCCAGAGGGTGGGTCCTGGCCACGAGCGACAGCCGAGAAGCGCAGCAGGGCCAGGGGGCTGAGCAGATCAGCCGCATCACGGAACCCCAGGGCGATAGAGGGCGCCTGTGGGGATGGCATTGGAGAGCCTGCAGGAGCGGCTGCTGGCCTGGCAACCCACGGACTGTGGCCTCAAGGGTCCCAACACCAAGAGAGCGGCCCAGCCTCCCTGGCATCTGGGGCTGGCACACAGGGGCACTTTACATCGCTATGGAATCAAGCCTCCAGCCCCTAGGCCTGTGGGTCCCAGACCACAGCCCTACCCGTTTCTCCAGGGGCAGCGTCTCTGGCAGGAAGCAGAAGATGAACAGCAGGTCGGAGGCTGCGAAGAGCAGGGCAAACCAGGGTGCCATTTCCAGGGGCAGGGAGGCTCCGAGCATAGGGCCCAGGGTGAAGCCCAGTGAGAAGGCCACCCCAATGACCGCCTAGGGAAAAGACCACCCGAGCTGCACAGGGAGACCCAGGCCCAGAAGTCACCACCAGGACCCCAAAGGCCCAGCCTGTGCACTTACCATGCCTTGACTGCGGGCCAGAGGCGAGCCCAGGTCAGCAACGATGGCCGTGGAGAGGCTGACGTTCCCTTTGCTGATGCCCCCAATCAGCCTGGAGGCCAGGAAGGCCGCAAAGCTCCGAGAGGTGGCCCAGACTGCATATGAGGTGGCCACACCCATCTGCCCAGGGGCAGGGGCCAAGAGGCAGGGGCGGTCGCTTAAGGCCAGGAGTGGCTCAGAGTAGGGCTTGGCAACCCAGACAACACCCCTCAACCCTGCCCTATTTCGAAGCATCTGAGGGCCACTTGCGTTCTCAGTGCCTTCCTAGGGGCCAGGAGCAGCTCCTTGAAAGCCTGGCTCTGGAACAGGAGCCACTGGTCCCCCGAGAACCCCCTCCAGGATGCGATGAGGGCCAACCAGTGGCCATGAGGGGCCCACAGCCACCTCCCTCTCCCCACCTAACCCCATGGGGCTACTGGCTGGGTGGGAGGAGGCTTCCCCATGGGCACCCAGGCCCAGGAACATACCAGGCACAGCAGCATCACCGGGCGCCTCCCCAAGCAGTCAGAGGTGGCCCCAGTGAGTGGCGCACACAGAAACTGCAGGACAGAGAATGCCGAGCCAATGAGACCTGAGAGACAGATGTCACCATCATGGGGCTGCCTGGCACCATGAGCTGTGGTCTTGGGGCCCTCAAGGCCAATGTCCAGCCCCGTCCTGAGGGTCCAGTCATGCTGGGCCCTACACTCACAGGCCATGGCCCTTGAGCCGAGGGGGCCCCAATGGAGAGATGAGGAAGGATCTGAACGTGACACGCGGAGGCAAGGGATCATGCCCAGAAGCCAGGACATGTGGGCAAGGGCACCAGACATGCCAGCCCAGGGAGTGGGAAGGCAAGGACCGAGAATTGGGGAGGGGCCTGGGCTGGACCACGTCCACCAAACATAGGACCGTAGAGAGCCCGCCAAGGGCACAGAGCCAGCCATACCTCCGAACAGGACACTGTTGTACCTCTTCTCCACTGGCATCCCGATGGCGGTGGCAAACCAGTCCACCCCGCCCTGCCAGGAGCCATAGAGGGGGTCCTAGGGGATGAGGAATCACGATAAGGGCTGGGGAGGTCTGATGGGCCTGGGGGGCAGGGGGCACTGTGGGCCGCAGGGCAAGGACTCACGTGGGCACGGCCGTGGCTCTCCAACAGCCCGGGCAGCAGGGGCAGCAGCAGCGTGAAGGCCAGGAGGTCCAGCAGGAGGCCGAGAAAGACAACGGTGACCACGCGGCGCTCCGGCGGCTGCTGGTGGATGGGTGGGCGCGGGGTGCAGCCTCCACCCCCTCCCCATCCCATGGTGGGCTGCTCTGACCTGGCCTGGGTGGGGTGCGGCGGGTCGGGTTAGCGGGGAAGCCGAGTCCTCCGGGGCCTGGCATACCCCCACACCCGACAGCCGGCGAGCACCCTAAAGGGGCTGATGGCAGGGGCTCTGGCCTACGGACGCAGGGGCCGTTCTGGCCTGCGCGATGCCCCCGCCCCGAACCCAGGCAGCAGGAAACGCAGGCTTCGGGGATTGCACAAAAAATAGCCGCAAAGGCAACGGTCCTGAGAGACCAGGGTGAGCACATCGCGGACCTGGCCCCACCCCACCCCACGGCCGCGCCTCCCACGCCCTCGTAACAGCGAGAGAAAACTTGAAGCCGCGGGGAACCCGGATCCCGATCCCGATCCCGATCCCGATCCCAACCCCAACCCCAGCCCCGGCCCGCGCCCCGCGATTCCGGCCCCTGGCCCGGACTCGGTCTCCCTGGCGGGGGCCATGGGGTGCACACCGGACGCAGGAGCACCCCCAACCCCGCGCGCCTCCCACTCCGCCATCCCGCGTGCGTCCCGGTCCCGCCCCCACCCCGCGCGCCCCCGGTCCCGCCCCCCACCCTGCGCGTCCCCGGTCCCGTCCCCCACCCTGCGCGCCCTCTAACCCCCACGCCGCGCGCCTCCCACCGCCCCCACCCCGCGCGCCCCTGGTCCAGCCCCACACCCCGCGCGCCCCCTACTCCCCTACCCTGCGCACCTCTCACCCGCCCCACCCCCGCGTACCCCGGGTCCCGTCTCCTCCCCCACCCCGCGCGTCCCCTGTCCCACCCCCAACCCGAGCGCCCCCTACGCCCCCCACCCCGGGCGCCCCCGGTCCCGCCCCGCACCTGCCGCGGCTGCGCGCTCGGGACGGACGGTCGCACAGACGCGGAACAGGGCACCAGGCACGCCGCCAGGGGCGGGACGGCCACGCCCGGCCACGCCACGCCCCGGAAGTGACGTACATCTCTGCACGTTCTCTTCCGGCCGGAGTCAGTGGCGGGGTTCTCGCCGGTCCTGCGGGTCGCTGCTTGGCTGTGGGTTAGCAGCACCCTGAGCGGAGCGGAAGAGCTGCCCGCCGCCGCGTAACCCCGAGGCCGAGACTCCTGGCCTGGCCTCCTTGGGCCCACGACGCCTGCCCCGCGGAGCGGACCCATGGGCCTGAGGTTTGTGTGCGGGGCCTCAGGCGAGCGCTGGCGCAGCCTGTCCCCCATCGTCTGCGCCCTGCGGGCCTGGCCCTCCCCGTGGAAGGACCGCGGGCTTCGGGGCCCCACGCTGGGGGGCTGACTCCTGCCACACACACAGCGGTGGCCGCGGGCCTGGGGCGGCAGCACAGCCATTCTGCTCGGGCTGCGTGAGCTGACCCCGCTCTCTGTGCACCTACTTTTGCTGCGTTTGGTGCTGAGCCTGAAGTCCCAGGACAGGCGGCTGAGGGGGAAAGATGGTGTGAATTGGGTGGGCAGAGACAACTGAAAGCCACAGGACCCGGTTGGCACCTTTTTGGCCGCCTGCGCCTTTGCCTGCAGCCCCGCTCCCTGGGTCACCCGAAGGAGGAGCTGGCGCTCTTTCCGGGCGCAGAAGCACCCGACCCACGCTGGAGGAAACGGTCCCTCTGGGCAGGAGAAGCTTTGGGCCTGGCTGGAGCACACTCACGGAACCACGCCAACGCCTGGCCTGTAGCCAGCTCCCACCTCCCCTCCCACCTTCTAAAATGCTTGCGGATCTCACGTGGCCGACCCTAACCAGATACACATGGGGAAAGGAATCAGGTGGCACACATACCGCCTTTACTCCATAGAGAACTTCCAATTGTGGGTAAGAACAAAGCCCCACCTCTTCCTAATAGATGCAGTTTTCCACCTGCAGCCAAAAAGACAACCTGTTATTAGCTTTTTTCCCAGAGGACAGGCATCTCTATGAAACTGCCATTGCAAAATTTGCCGACAGTGAGATAACCAGCTCCATTTTGCTTCTAACCTCCATGCCCTCCTTGTTTACTGCTGCACGCAGGTTGAACTGTGGGAGGAACTTAGTTTAAAACAAAGATGATAACAGCCCTTTCCCAAAGGAAACCTTTCCTGGGGATTAGCCTGCTTTTGTGGGACCAACAGATTAGCCACAAGATTAGAAACTACGGTTGAAGAGTCACGCAGCGGGAGGCTACAGGATTCTGACCCTCCCCAAACTGCTCCTGGCGATAACATCACCATCGTAAAGCCTAAGATCAGCACTTGGTGGGTCACCTGGCACCACCCAGGCTCATCTGATGTTGTGGCACCCAGGAACTGACTCAGTGCGAAAACAGCTTCGACTCCCTGTGATTTCATCTCTGACCTGACCAATGGGTACTTCTGACTCACTGGCTGCCCCCCACCCACCAGCTTATCTTTAAAAACTCCAAACCCCAGATGCTCAGGGAGACCGAGTAATAATAAAACTCCAGTCTCCCACACAGCTAGCTCTGCGTGAATTACCTTTTCTCTGTTGCAAATGCCCTTTCTTGATAAATTGGCTGTCTAGGTAACAGGGAAGGTGAACCCACTGGGCAGTTACACTTTTATCCACCCTTCCAGCTGGATCACGCGCCCTCTTCAATGACATGACACGCAGCTAGAGTGTATGAGCTTGCTGCCGGCACCTTCCGTCCTGGATCGCATAGCAAGGCCTCAATGGACAGCCAGGTGCCTGGTCCGGTCCCACTTTTTTTTCTGTCCTGTTCTCGTTTCCTCTTTGCTTGGCCAAAGAGGGTTGGGCCAGGGTCCTGAGTGCAAAGGCTTGGCTTGGTGAATTAAAGTGGCAGTAGCCGTGTGGCAGAGAAAATTTGTAGATGGGTGAAATCCTGGGCCTACACAGTGACAAAGTGTATATAGACAGCCAGCCTAGTTGGTGGATGTGACAACCCCAGACTCTTCTAGATTTGTGGATCCGTGCACCTGCCAGACCTGTCTCTGAGCCATCTGGGGAGGCTGGGTAAGATTTCCCCCGTCAGGGCCTGAGCCTCATCTCCAAGCTGCTGGCTTCAGCCCAGCTGCCACCAGCGCTGTCTCTGTCTTGCGCTTTCCAGAGAGAGACTGACTCATTTTGAGCTCCAGGCCTACCAGGCAGCCCAACCGCGGCAGTAACTGCCTCTCACACTGAGGATGGCTCATGCTCTGGTCCAGCCATGGCTTGAACACCTCCCAACAAGAACAAAGCCAGACTCATTCTCCCTAGCATCTTCTTCCTTGCTCAAAGATCCCACACCCCGTTAGAAGCTGGAACTGGGTCCTTGTCACCTTCCTCACCTCCCCAGTCGTAGTCTGGTTAATCCTTACATCTCACCACGGTCACCGTGGCTAGATGTGACCTCCGCGATGCTTCAGGCACGTACCAGGGCAGCCTGGGCAGGGCTGGTCACTGTGATCTCATGAGGTGTGAACTTGACCCCGGCCTTCTTTCCTGGGATGCCGGCTAAGGACACAAGTTCAGTGTTTGCCCTGGCTTGTAGCCCAGCGGGGGCTCCGTCATCCCCTGGGGAATGCCTCGGCCTGCAAGACCGCATACCGCATTGGAACAGGGAAACCACCTACTTCAGCACCTCCCTCAGCAAGGTGGCAGGTCCCAACAAGCCTTGCACCACGAGGAAGTGGCAGTGGCATTCGGGATATGGCTCCCTGGCCAGCTTGTGAAGTTCAAGGGGCTCGTTACTTCTTACAGCTCACAGTCCCTCCCGGGTCCAGCACACCTGAGGGCTGACCTCCCTCTTGATTAGTGCAGGGGAAAAGCACTTTAAAAAGCTGTGTCATGCGTAACTTGCACATCTTCTGATTCTGACCTGAAACTGCATCCCAGGTCGGCACAGACGCAACCCAGTCTCCTCCCACCTCCGAGAGTGCAGTGTCCTGAATGGAGAACCCCAGCACCCAGAAGCATCCACTGAAGGACGTAAGTAGGACAAGGCCAACTGTGGCTGTTCCAGCAGAGGGACTGTGGGTGATGTTTCCCTTCTCTGATTTCTAAAATATCTGCAAACTTGTTTCATTTATAATTGAAAATATAATTTGCATAACAACAGTAAATTCTACACATGAAGGCAAACGTCCGTGGTTGACAGAAATTACACTGGCCAGAATCCCCAGTCCCCATGAGGCTTGTCCAGACGCAGTGAACCAGTCGCAGCTGATAACACACAGACCATTCCCGATCCCAGAGGTGCATTTCAGGATTCATTCTATTTCATCAGGTGACGTTTTAACAGAAACAAAACCGCAGGCAGCGGGTGGGGGGAGCTGGAGGTTGGAATCACACCAACATTATAGCATTATTACTCTAAAAAAAATTACTTTTTTGGCTGGGTGCTGTGGCTCACACCTATAATTGGGGGGCCAAGGCAGGTGGATTACCTGAGGTCGGGAATTCGAGACCAGCCTGACCAACATGGAGAAACCCCGTCTCTACTAAAAATACAAAATTAGCTGGGCGTGGTGGCACATGTCTGTAATCCCAGCTACTCGGGAGGCTGAGGCAGGAGAATCGCTTGAACCCAGGAGGTGGAGGTTGTGCCATTGCACTCCAGCCTGGGCAACAAGAGCAAAACTCCGTCTCAAAAAAAAAAATTTTTTTTTAAGCGACACAGTCTTGCACTGTGGCCGAGGCTGGAGTGCAGTGGCTCAATCACGGCTCACTGTAACCTTGGACTCAGCTCAAGCAGTCCTCCTGCTTCAGCCTCCCGAGTAGTTGGGACTACAGGTGCGTGCCACCACACTTGGCTAATTTTTATGTTTTTTTGGTAGAGACGGGGTCTTCCTGTGTTGCCCAGGCTGGTCTCGAACTCCTGGGCTGAAGCAATCTTCCTGCCTTGGCCTCCCAGAGGGTTGGAATTGCAGATGTGAGGTAATGTCCAGTTCCTTGCCTTATTTATAAAATGTAATTTATTTTTTGAACTTTTTCCTCTTCAGAGCCTTCCATTCGCCTTCCTGTGTAGCCAGGCTGTTAAAAAGCTGCTTTACTTTCCGCTTTCTTTCCGCATCCCTAAAAGAAACAAAAGGCAAATGCCCATTTTTGGATTAGTTCTTGGAGAGCATCTTGCCCTCTCTCTCCCACATCAGAACCACATTAGCCACCGTGGCCACGTTCAGTTCAAACAGGGGGAAGTGAACCTGCCTGGCTCCAACCCCCAGCCAGAGCCAAGGCTGTGGGATGCCAGGTGCCCGGTGCTCTGCCCAGGGCCACACAGCACCAAAGCTGAGTGACACCACAATCGTGTCGCACACACACGTCCCCCTCACCGTTCCATGATTTCTGAGAGTTGCATCCTCGCCAGGAACTGATTGTCCTTGCGGATTTCTCGAACGGCCCCTTTAAATTCACGCTTGTGTTTGTGGATCAGCCTCTTCCTTTCCTGTTCCTCCTTACTACTGCCTTGTTTTCTTCCAAACTCGAGGCTACAACCAGAAAGCCACTGTTAAGGAAGCAAGAGTCTGTCCCCACCTCTCAGCCAGAGCCTGCTTGGGAGTGTGGCTTCACTCCGTAGTCATCTGCTCAACTGCAGAACTGGCAGACGCCCCCCGTCAGCTCCCACTGAGCCCACAGCCCTGGCCTCCCAGGGAGATGCTGCCAGCACCCACACTTTGACCAGCCGGGGTGTGAAAAGCTTCAGTGGGACAGGCTTGCTCTTCTCACAGGTCAGCGGCCGGCAGAGCTGCTTCTGGCTTTCCATTTCGGTCAGTGTGCTCTGACACAGCTCCTGAAAAACACGAAATCCCCGACTCTGCGATGACTCACCTGCTGCGTGCCCTGAGCTCCACGCACGGGTTCTGTGGTGTCAAGGCAGCGTGAGGACAGTGCTGCGAGCTCCCTGCAGCAGGATGGTGCCCTTGCTGTGCGCCTACCGGTGGGCGGGGGGGTAAGCCAAGGCTGTGGCTGCTCAAGTCCTGGCACAGCCGGAACGAAGTAAAGCCACTGTCTTCTTGAAGAGGGAGGGCCGTGGGCTGGCCCCTGAGAGCACTCTCTGAAAGGAGGGGACTTGGGGAGTTGGAGGTCACCATAGCCTGTGCTCCTCACAGCCAGAAACGTCAACAGAACCCCTCTTTCCCAGACAAACTTGGCACGAAAGGCCGTGAGCCACTTGCTTCGTGAGAAGGCTCACAGGAGAACCCCTTTCTGCCGCGGGGGGCCGTGTGCATGCTAGAGCCCAGTGTGCAAACTGACGCTGGGTGCTAGGCGGGGCAGGGTTTCCACCAGTCTTGGCAGTTTGACCTTATTTTCAAGCCAACAGAACCAGATGGTTAAGACCCATTTTCACCAAGACCTTGGCTTCCAGAAGAGTTGGCTGGTGGCTTCTGAGGAATCTCCCGAAAGGTAGTTCACTGAGGTTGGTCCTACCCGCTTTCTCCTGCACAGGTGTGTCCTGGAACCCTGGCTGCACCCACAGATACAGCCACTCCTGGGCCCATGTGGATGTAACCTTCGAGTGCCGGAATGCCTCGTCTCCATGGAGACCAAACTCAAGGGCCTGACTGGCCCAGTCTACCGAGACCATGAGACCTGCTGTGCCCCTCGGCCAGGCCAACCCAAATTCTTTTAAATAAAAGGCACAAGCCACAGCCACACCAGCAGGAAGTGGATACAGGATAAGGGGCAGGGCTCACATCTCATCCTCATCAGCCTTTGACCAGGCGACGGAGTCTGTGATAGCTAGCTTATCTGCTCTATGCTCCAGGGACCTGGCCGGAACGAGCCGAGTTGCTGTCCTCATGGAACTCTCATCCTAGTGGGGCAGAGACAAGGACGGTGTAACGTGCCCGGGGGTCAGCACCACAGACAAAACGCAGGGAGCACGGCACAGTGTGGGCCAGGGAAGGCCTGGCTTCCCAAGGGTGTGGGCGCGAGCAGCATGGCTGTGGGGAGTTCTAGGTGCAGAGAACTACTCCAGAGACGAAGCCAGGCCTGCGAGGAGGCCGGAGCGCATGAGGGGAAGGCACGAGGCAAGGCTGCCAGGGCTGTGCTGGTGGTGCGGGACGGTCCTGTGGGGGTAGCTGCGGAGATGGCACTGATGCCTTCGGCTCCAGCAGCATCCTGGGCTGGTGCGGGCCAATAAGGGGCAGGGTTGGGGCAGGATGAAAGGCACAAGCCACAGCCATGTCAAGCAGGAAGTGGATGCAGGGTACAGCCTGTCAGGGTCAGGGTGAAAGGCAGGGAGGCGGGTAGGCCATAGGTGAATTTGGAGCAGCCTGTAGAGGACAGGATGTGCCATCAAAGACTTGTTCTTGGGTCCAGCTGAGACTGTCCCTTGGGGCTTCCTGTCACCTTGTGCAGGATAGTGAGACCATCCTTGGAAAACCCATCGGGACTGCAGAGCGCGGCTCAGAGCTGACTGTCCAGGCCTGGCAGGGGCTGACCCCTGGGCGCTGGTGCACCCTCCGTGCGGCCTCTTGGAGGAAGCACACAAGGCGACAGTTCCCAGCTGCCGCCTGAGATGCAGCATCTGCTTTACTCCAGCCCAGCACTGCTCACCGTCACTGCCCACTCTTATGATTTTACTTCCCTTCATATTTGTGATTTTGCAAAGATGGTGTTGACTTACAGCTGCAGCATCAAATGACTGACTGCCACCAGCTTGGCCCCAGCTCAGGGACATGTCTGAGCCCAGGCAGAGCACCCTAGTGGCCGGGAAGCCTCACCTGGAGCTCCTGCGGGTGGCTGCAGTCCGCCAGGTGATCCGTGAGGAGGGCTTGGAGAGGCCCCATGATGGCGTGGAAGGATGGCAGGGACCCGTACATGAGCACGCAGCGCTTCAGCAGGGCCAGGCCCACAGCCAGGCAGGACAGTCTGTGAGGGCAGGAGGCAAGAGGAGGTCCAACTTGTTCTGTTTGTCACTGACAAAACCAATAACGTGGCAAAAATGAACTTCCCCACTTCCACTAGGCTGAAAACTCCAGTGTGGCCACCTTGGCCGGCCAGGGTTGGGCCCATGCAACCACGGGCAAGGCAGGCTCAGGGTCAGGCCTAACGCAGGAGGGGAGGCTGTGGGAACCGCAGCGCCAGCTGGGATGGGGCGGCTCCATTTTTGGTTCCAAATTATGATTTGTGAAATCAAGCAAATGTATTTTGAAAATGAAAAGAAAAAGGGACAGCAAGCCAACATGCCTCAGAAAGGCTTTCGGCCTCCATCAAACCAAACGGCCGGGCGGCAAGTTCACTAAGAACAGCACATCAGAAAGCACGAGTGGCTTCTCCTGCCTCTGGGGACGCTGTAGGGCACAGGCCCCAAAGCGGGGTCCCCTCACATACCGGATGTGATTGGCCTCTGTCGAAGTTGGGGCCCTCAGTCTACTCGCCCAGCGGAGGGAGAGGCTGCTCTGCTGCCACGTGGCCACATCCTCTCTAGCAGACACCACGAGCAGTTCCGAGTTCTTCCCAAGCGCTCTGAAAGGGTGCACCAGAGTGGAACCTGAATTCCAAGTGCGACAGGACAGAGATGGCCTGAACATTACTGGGCTCCCAGCAGGCTCTGCGGCACCGAGCCTGTGGAAGTTCACCCTCTAACAGACGCACACCGATTTTTATGTTTCTGGGTTGTGCCAGACACTGAGGGTTTCAGCGTGGGCAGGGACACCTCAGGGGAGGGGAAAAGCTTTGGCAGGGGGCGCGGTGAGAGCCAAGTGCCTGATCCTGCCTGAGAGGCCTGCTGGCCACAGACTTCCTGGGGCCTACTAGGCACACATGGGGCTGATGAGGCGCTCAGGCCACATCCGGGAACAGACTGAAGTCCCTGCCCCTGTCGGGGAGACAGGCAGTGCACAGCACCCAGAGGAGCAAATGGACCAGACAGAACACGAGAAAGGAAAGTGGAGGGGCAGGAGGGAGACAGGAGAGTCAGTCGGGGGTGACGGTGGAGGGCGGGAGAGGCCTGAGGGGCAGACGTCAGCAAAGGCCTGTAGGACGCAGGAGTCAATTCACTCGCCACGGAGAAGGGCAATCCAGGCCGAGGGTGTGGCTACACGGGGAGGGGTGGAGAGTGGGTACAGTGGGGCAGAGGTGCCGGGCCAAGCGAGAGGGGAAGGCGTGGGTCAGGCCCCGCCCCACACTTCCCCAAAGCCGAGATGCCCACCCCTTCCTTGACTCCACCTGTGCCCAGCCTGTTCCGTCACAGCCCTTCACACGTGGGACTGCAGCTATCTACAGGTGGCTCTCCCGGAGGCAGGGAGCATGTGGGCGGCCGCGCCCCTCTGGCGCCCAGCACCGAGCCTGACAGACAGGAGCCTTGGGAGGCAGGTGGTGGCAGAATGGGAGCACTGAACCGGAAGAGTGGGCCAGACCCCTCTTGGAAGGGACTCTGCTGGTGGTGTGAATGATGCCACAGCACCTGCTCCTCAGGTCAGTCCCCTGGACATGCAGGCGCTTAGCACTGCACGGTGAGCTGGAAATAGAGGACAGGGGTCTGAGCCTTGAGGTCCAACCTCTGGTCAGGCTGGGAGAGGCGTCCACAGACATGGAAGAGCTCAGGAAGAGGCTGTGCAGCTCCTCACCCCCCAGAGGGAAGCAGCAAGTGCTGAGGAAGCATCCAGGAGCAGGGCTGGCATCAGGGGAAGGGGGAGGAGCACAGGGGCTGGGGTGAGGGCCCAGGAGGGCAGCCAGTGTGCAGACTGCTCCTCATCCCAACACTGCTCTTGCCGCCCTCGCTCCTGAATTCAGAGCGTTAAGAGAAGCGACACAGCAGCGCGGCCTGTGTGAGCTGCACGAGAACTTTCACACTGCCTTGTCGTCACGTGAGAAAAAGTAAAAAGTTAAGATTGATTTTAACAATAGACCTTATCTAACCCCAAATACCAAAATATTATGATTTTAACACATAATACAAAAAATTAAGATATTTTAAGTATTTCTGACACTAAGTCTTCGCCACTTGGGCATATGTCACAGGTAGGGTACGTCTCAGTTCAGACTCTGGCCCCTGGCAACCACGCTGGACAGCACAGGTCACCGGTAGCACTGCTTTTCCCCATGTGGCGCGTGCACACGCTCACACAGAGGGACAGACAGTGCGGCGGGTGGCAGGTTGTGTGTTTCCTCTACTTTCGCATATTCTAAACTTTCTACAATGAGTATGAACTACTTAAAAAAATTCTAAAGTATAACATATTTGTAGGAACCTCCCTCAAATCAACTCACCTTGGCTTGCTTTGTTTGGAGTTGCTATGTAAAGAATCCCAAGAAGAAAATTAATAAGCTCAGGTATAAACCTCTGGGACAAAGCCACATACTCCAGGAACAGGCAGCACACGAACAGGCCCTTCACCACGTCCTGGAGGGACAGGATGGGGCACTGGAAAGGAACATATGGGGGGTTACTGTCCTGGGACGATGTCATGCCATGCTAGGCCGACCACCGGGCTTCCCTGATGAACCACGCACCCCACTGAGCTTCACAAGTACAGAGGGAACCCCCGCACCTTATAGCAGTGTCGAGAGCATCAAATGAGATGAAAACAAGATAAAGAGCTTTAGTGATTTTTTTTTCCCGAGACGGAGTTTCACTCTTACCACCCAGGCTGGAGTGCAATGGCACAATCTCGGCTCACTGCAACCTCCACCTCCCGGGTTCAAGTGATTTTCCTGCCTCAGTCTCCCGAGTAGCTGGGATTACAGGCATGTGGCACCACACCCAGCTAATTTTTGTATTTTTAGTAGAGACGGGGTTTCGCCATGTTGGCCACACTGGTCTTGAACTCCCGACCTCAGGTGATCCGCCCGCCTCAGCCTCCGAAAGTGCTGGGATTACAGGCGTGAGCCACCGCGCCTGGCCAGAGCTATACTGATTATAAAGTTCCTTCCACCCATACAGAGCGTACGATTACTGCACTAAGCATGTACCAATCACATGCCTAATAAAGAAAAAGGAACAGCTTGAACTTTTTAAGCCAAAAAGGGAACAAAAGCCCTTATCATCACACTGGATAACTTCACCACTAACTTGAAAGGTTGTTTTCTGGGGTAGCACCATCTGTAACCTTGAGGTGCCAAACCAGGCCCTCCCACTCCCACCCACATCTGGGGCTGCTCGAGCCGGGGCTCTTTTAGATGGGCCCTCTTTGGCCTAACCGCAGTGCTCGGTCTCTGCAGCCCTTAAACAGCCACACTCATGTTCCACAAGGCCCCGAGGGGCTGTGGCTCCGGCCACCCGTGGTGCAGCAGGCCGACCCCTGCCGCATGTGGAGAGAACGCACCTTGGTGAGCAGCTGACTGAGGCACACGAGGGCAGGGGTCACCACTGGGTGCCAGAAGTCGGAAGTTGGAAATAGCAGCCCAGTGATTTTCAAATAAATGAGCTGGAAAGAAAGTGTTACCACAGGTTAAAGAAGGTAAATGAAGTCCATCCATATGCCCTCCCCGCAAACACTCCGGAGCCAAGAACAGGATCTGGCGAGGAGAGGGTGCATCTCCTTGGCCCAGAGCTCTGGCCTCAGTGTCACAGAACAGGCGTCCAACCACCGTGGGTCAACCAGCTAAACGTGCAGTGAGGACACTGAGGCCCATGAAGACTTCAAAGCAGTCAACAATGGTTATAGACACGGGCTCAGATCATGTTTTGGGGAGTTGATTAAAAATCACTAACCTAAGTCCTACATTTTTAAGCTTCTGCTAACTATTGTGAATCCATTTCAACACAAACACCAGGCAACAGAATAAAGAGCGTATCTCAGCAAGTATTTCCTTAAAGTTACTAAAGCTGAAAATACAGCATGAGGCTGTTATAAAATTGTTAAAAATCTCAGCGTACAAATGTCTCCCAACCTTTGAATAACATAGAAACCGAGACCAATTTAAACCAGCCCACAGGCTTGGGCCCTTAAGGACAATACCGTGGTTCTATTTGCCTTCCAATGTTTTTGTCACTGGACCAAATACAGCACCATTCACGTGGAATCAAACCAGAATCTCCCTGCACGACCCACACGTTAGTCCATGGCTAGTGGAGGAGTGCCCTCCCCTCCCAGGCTCGCTGCCGTGCACTCTCACTCCAGATCACCCTCACTGCCGTGCACTCTCACTCCAGATCACCCTCACTGCCGTGCACTCTCACTCCAGATCACCCTCACTGCCGTGCACTCTCACTCCAGATCACCCTCACTGCCGTGCACTCTCACTCCAGATCACCCTCACTGCCGTGCACTCTCACTCCAGATCACCCTCACTGCCGTGCACTCTCACTCCAGATCACCCTCGCTGCCGTGCACTCACTCCAGATCACCCTCACTGCCGTGCACTCTCCAGATCACCCTCACTGCCGTGCACTCTCCAGATCACCCTCACTGCCGTGCACTCTCACTCCAGATCACCCTCACTGCCGTGCACTCTCACTCCAGATCACCCTCGCTGCCGTGCAGCTCACTCCACATCACCCTGGAAGCACAGGGTACAGCCAAGAGCATCGTACCCGTCGTCCACCTTCTGTGATGCCAAACAGAACTTCTGTGGCAGGGGCAGTGCCTAGACTGAACTCTGCTTACCACATCCAACCCTGGCAATGCCGCCCGGCCTTTGGTCTCAATCATTTCTTCCATCTCATGCATCGCATCTCGGAGAACAAATTTGATAGCGTCACTTGCAGATTCAGGAAACATCTGGCAAAGATGATATAAGTGCCTGTTAAGCAGAAATGTAAAGTCAGGAGAGAATGACTTTAGATAAGAAACACAGAAAAGCCCTGCAAGCCACTTTCCTATGCAGTCACCTGTTGACTGAGCAAGTAAGAACTGGATGAATCCGCTTTTTCTAACAGCATTCTTAAGAGTCTACACTCACTTCTGCCATTTCCTAAAAACTCGGCCATAACATTATGGACTGGAGGTGGTGGGAGAAACAGCTCGATTTGTGGTACAGACGTTGTTGGGGGCACCACTCTGTGTGGCAGCTGCAGCTGACAGCTCCAAGGCACTTTCCATATTAACTCATTTATTCCTCACGACAGGTACTTCTTTGATAGTGCCTCCATGCATGCAGAAGATGACGTGGAGAGCTCCGCGCGGCACAGGGCAGGAAGCTGGTGTGCACTCTCATGGATCCGAAGCCAACACACGCCTCTCAACTGAGGACTCTGCCCCTCTGGCATTCTTCCAGCCACCAGCCCTGGGGGCCAGGAGCCACTGAGTGGGTCACACAGCCTTAGAGGGCAACGAGGGCAGGAGCTCGCCCTGGCGGTCCCCATGCAGACAAGAGGTACACACTCCCTGGCATGCAAAGCCACCCAACTGGGTTTCACTGAAGGGTGAGGGGCGGGGTGTCTACCGTGCTTTCCAAATACCGCTCAGTCACCCAGAGCTTGAAACTTACAATGAGCCACCCCATCCCAGCCACAAATCTAAAGGGGTTCACTTGTTTCAAAATCAACTTGTTTGTGGTTAAAAGTCAGTCCCAGCTCTACAGTGGCTGGAGCGGCACGTGTGAGAAGCCGGCTTGCGCTGTGAGGCTCACAAGCCCTGGGTGACCACCTGCCCACTTGGCATGCTGACACCATCATTCCACCTACCTTAGTAACTCTGGAATGTATTTTTATGACTCTAAATGGGAGAAAAATTGTTCTGCTTAACCCCACATCCCAGATGACACACCATTTTTACTTACACAACCAACTTATCAATGACTGTGAGGTCTGGTGGGTCATCTGTAGCCAAATCGCCAACGTATTCCAAAAGAAAGCCAAACAGTTTCTGCAGGAACATGAATTGGGAAATAAAGCTCAGTGCTCAGCACCAAGAACAAAGCCACAGGCACACAGCTTCTGGATCACGTACATTCTGGTGACAACCAGGTGGGGCAGGGGAGCCCAGGGTGACAGACACGAGCAGCCTTCTAAAATGTAAGCAAATACACTGCTAGAACTTGCTAAGCACTAGAAGGTGTAGGGGGGAGAAAGCTAAGGGCAAGGCGCATCCTTCTACAGAACAGCTGACAACACACCACTAGGAAAGCACGACGAGGAACACGGGCAGCACGGCGTCCTCCTCACAGGCAATATCCACCATTCACTGAAAGAGGCACGATCACAGCCACCTATCTGCCACAGCAAAGTCTGGCTCTGCCACACGCTGGCTATGTGAACCCTAGTGTCCTCCCCTGTGAGATGAAGGTGAAGGTCCCCATGCCTGCCTCTGGCTGGGTCTGGCACGAGGCCTAGAGAGGGGCCAAAGCCAAGGGAGGCCTCTGCCGGTGCCATACCAAGTACTCCCAGCCATCATCATAGGTAACCATGTGACGGGCTGGCCCCATCTGGCCTGAGGCACACATGGCCGTTGCACAACTTCACACAATTCTGGCATTCATATACGGGGCTATGCTGACACTCCCAGCGCTCCACACACACTCAATCCACGTACTTCTAATTTTGCTTTGTTTCCTTCTGCGAGACTCGGGTGGTTGCACTTCTGAATTCTCTCCACCACCAAAAGCTGCTCTTCCATCGATCTTCCTAACAACAGAGATCTCAGTTCCTCATAGGATTCAGGGGCTATCAAAAACACAAAACATACTGCACATTTAACATTTATATATATGTATATATATTTATTTTTGAGATGGAGTCTCGCTCTGTTGCCCAGGCTGGAGTGCAGTGGTGCAATCTCAGCTCACTGAAACTTCCGCCTCCTGGGTTCAAGAGATTCTCCTGCCCCAGCCTGCTGAGTAGCTGGGATTACAGGCACTCGCCACCATGCCCGGCTAATTTTTGTATTTTCAGTAGAGACAGGGCTTCACCGTGTTGGCCAGGCTGGTCTTGAGCTCCTGACCTCAGGTGATCCGCCTGCCTAGGCCTCCCAAAGTGCTGGGATTACAGGCATGAGCCACCGCACCTGGCCCACATTTCACATTTAAAATGAGAATTACTTACATGTCTGCTGACAGAGAGGTAATTTTATATAACTATTCTACTTCACGATCACAACAAACCCACCAGCGTTTGCCCTGGTACACCTGGAGGGGTCTCAGCCATCCTGACCTGGGCTGTCAGGTGCGATCACGCACCTGGGAACAGGCTAATAAGGAAATGCCCTCCCACCTTTCCTTGATTAGGAATTTGCTAAAACACCCACAGTTTCAGAGCATCTTGGTGGCAGGGTGCTGGGTTTAGTGCCCAGACTGCTTCAGAAGGACCTGGAAGGAGCCACTGTGAGCCAAGCAGTGTCAGCTCAGGAGACTCTTGCCACCAGAGGGCACTTCACAGAGGCCAGCTTCACCACTAGCTTCTCCTCTGGAAGCGTCTGGCAGGCACAGAATAATTCGGCATTGCTTACTAGAACCTGACCATTTTTCTTTTCTTTGTTTTGAGACAGGGTCTTGCTCTGTCACCCAGGCTAGAGTGCAGTGGTGTAATCTCGGCTCACTGCAACCTCCGCCTCCCAGGCTCAAGTGATCCTCCCACCTCAGCCTCCTGACCAGCTAGGAACACAGGCACAAGCTATTGCACCAGGCTTATTTTTTATATTTTTGGTAGAGACGAGGTTTCGCAATGTTGCCCAGGCTGGTCTCAAACTCCAAGGCTCAAGTGACCCACCCACCTTGGCCTCCCAAAGTGTTGGGATTATAGGCATCAGCCACGCACCTGGCCTGGACAATTTTTCTCCACATACTAGACAAAACAACACTGTATATTCCATCTAAAATGTTACGTGGCCAAACAGGAGGCCCAGGTGGGAACATGGAAGCCTTCTCGCAGATGCTCACCCACCTCCCCAGCCCTGCCCCTCTGGTCCACCACAAGAGGCTGACCATATACTAAAAGGGAGGTGAAGGTACCACTAGAGAGAGGCGCATCTGGCCCATCGGGGGCCGGCCTACAGAACCACAGTCACAAACTAAGATGACCACTCACTCTAAGACCTGGATCAGCAGACACAGGGGTGTGTCCAGGCACTCCCAAGGGCATCCTTGGTCCCCATTCCACAAATGCAACCCCTGGGAGGGAGACGAACACACACAGCTATGGCCAGGTCATAAAGGTTATCCCAGAACCTGAGGAAACCCGCGCACTTGCCCACCTGCGAACGTGTAGGGCAGCTCGTCTCTGGTAGCTTTTCCAGCTCTTTCCTTGCCGCTTATCAACCCTTTCCCAGGAGTCTGCCTCTGCTCTTTTGCTGGCTTCTCGTTTTCTTCCTCACTCTCCACGTTGGATTCCAGGTCCAAGTGGCTATCTGGGCTGTCGCTCTCCTCTGTGTCCTCCCCGCCTGAACTGTCACCTTCTTCCTCGTTGCTCTCAGGGTCACTGGCTTCCTTGCTTTGCTCTTCCTGGACATCTTCCTCGACATTCATCTTTCCATCCTACCAAGAGCGTGGAAACCACAGGGCATGAGGACAGGCGGAGACAACGCTGGACCATCTCACAGCCACATCAAGAGGCTGCCCACATCAGGGCTTTCTACGTGGTTGCAAGGAACACAAACCTGTGTGCTCCATTTGCCCACTGGCACTAGGCCTCCTGCCCACCACCCGCTTCTAGGCTATTCGAGCCGCAGGAGCTACAGGCTGCTAGAGAACCCTGCGGCAGGATGCTGGGCGCGGTTCAGCTTTTGCCAGGGAGCAGCATGGGACTGGGATTTGGAAGGTGTACAGTGGCTGCGGGCTTTAGCAGGAGGAGTGTCTACAGCACCTTCTGCTCCTCCAGGTAACCTAGTGTTTTTATCAGTATCCATTTTCCTGTGTGGATCTCTTCTGCTTGAAACCTGTCCTGCCTATTTTTCTTCCCTGGACCCTGACTGATACACTCTTAAAACGAGAAAAGGGTACCGATTTATAAAGTTCGTGAATTAAAAACTACACCAGTCATGGAAACTCAATGACATCACTCAAAGAAAATTCACAACTCTAGCCTTGAGTTAGCTCCCTCAATAGTATGATGAGGTCATGCAGATAGAATCATACAGTTATTAACAAAAGTAGTTGATGTTAACCGAGTAATCAGTTTTATCTGTGTTCCTTTGAGACAGAGAGAGAGAGTGAGAAAGAGAGCGTGAGCAAGTGAGTGCACATACTATTGTTAAAGTCTTCTCTCTAAAGTTTTAATATCTGATATACCATAAACACCCAGATAAAGAACTTTAGAGAAACTGGTTAAAAAGATTTAAAATTCCCAACTGTAATAAATCCCTAAAATGAATACCAAAAAAATGTTTTTAAATTAAAAAAAGAGAGAGAAAGAGAAAATGAAGGCAAACATCTTACTTTGTAGGAAAGCAAACGCCTGTCATCTTTATCTAGCACGAAGCCATCATTCAGATCATCTGCTGACATATGTTTTGGTTTCTTAACATTTTCATCCTCATCCTTTCCAAGCATTCTTCGAAGTCTCTCAGCCTGAGCAGGAAGGAATGAGATGTCTTAGAGCACACTCTTCCAACATATGGTGAGGGGGCCGTGCAGTCCTGCCCTGGGCAGCGGGCTGGGCCTACGGTCCTCCCAGCTCTGAGGCTGGTGCATCCAGCCTGCTTTCTGCCTGCAGTTTTCAATCAGGCATGCAAACACTAGCTAAGCAGCACATTCCTCATTTAACAAAATCAACTGTTCAAACTTTGTGGCCAATACTCTCCAGTCACCAGGCAAGCCTATTATTCTGAGGCCTTCACAGCCCAATTCTGCTGGCCAGCCCCGACTGGGACTCATCACCCCCTGCACCGAGAGAATAGGAGCCAGGACGCCAAGAGCAAGCAGCTCCACGGCCTCCACTATTTGACCACACACTGGACACGGGAAGAAGCTAGTGATGTGGTTATGTCAAAACAGCCAGCTGAGCCAGCTGTGATGGCAGCCCACACCTGTAACCCCAGCACTGTGGGAGGCCGTGGTGGGAGGATCAGCTGAGACCAGGAGTTTGAGAACAGCCTAGGCAACATAGGGAGATGCTCATCTATACAAACAATTTTTGAAAATTAGCTGGGGCCAGGCGCGGTGGCTCACACCTGTAATCCCAGCACTTTGGGAGGCCGAGGTGACTGGATCACCTGAGGTCAGGAGTTCAAGACCGCCTGGCCAACATGGCGAAATCCTATCTCTACTAAAAATACAAAAATTAGCCGGGCGTGGTGGCAGGCGCCTGTAATCCTAGCTACTCAGGAGGCTGAGGCAGGAGAATCACTTGAACCCAGGAGGTGGAGTTTGCAGTGAGCCAAGATTGTGCCACTGTACTCTAGCTGGGTGACAGAGCGAAACTCTGTCTCAAAGAAAAAAAAAAAAAAAGGTATTCATGAATAAATATAAACTTTAAATAGACTAAAATATTCCACTGATCAAACAGAGTATTCTCTTCAGCCCATCCTGCAAAATGGAGCAGAAGGGGCTGTGGACGGACAGCAGCACAGCCCTGCTCCTGAGGTGCTGCCACCCTACCTCCAGCTTCCTGAGGTGCTCCTGCTCTTCCTTTGCCAATTCTGCCTCCGTCTTCATCCTGTTAGAGGGCTGCGCCTTCATTTCAAAGCCAAGCTCGCGAACCATCATGTCATATGCATCGGGCTAAGGTAGAAAGAAGAAATTCTTCATTTTAAAAATATATTTATTTCTTATTTTACAAAAAGAAAAGATCTAGCTTCCTGGCACATTCTAGTAATGGCTAGATAATGTTATTGAAGTAGCTAAGCCACATCTACGTCTTTTCTTCTAGAGAGAAAACTGTTCTGATAAGCCCTGAGGATTGCGAAATCAGTGGACATTCGGTCACAAAGAATTTGTTTACCCCTAGAAAAATTCTCAGAATACATCTGCTTTAACGAAAACAGGCCAGGTGCAGTGGCTCACGCCTGTAATCCCAGCACTTTGGGAGGCCAAGGTGGGCAGATCACGTGAGGTCAGGAGTTTGAGATCAGCCTGGCCCAACATGGTGAAACCCTGTCTTTACTAAAAATACAAAAATTAGTCAAGCATGGTGGCACGCGCCTGTAATCCCAGCTACCCGGGAGGCTGAGGCAAGAGAATCACTTGAACCCAGGAGGTGGAGGTTGCAGTGAGGTGGAGGTTGCACTACACTCCAGCCTGGGTGACAGAGCGAGACTCCGTCTCAAACAACAACAAAAACGCTACTTATCCAGGCATTACGCCCTAAACGTGGGAAACTAAGTAAAGTAACGGTAACATCAAGGCTGACTGACAAAGATGCACAGATGACCACATGACACTAATCTGCTGGGATCTAGACTTCTCTGAGAACGCAGTTTCTTAAACAAATGCAGCATTTTCCAATAGTTTCGACTAAAGAGAATGCAGTAGGAAACAACTGTTTACAGAGGCAAAAATAAGTAAATGTATATTAAATGTATGTATTATGTATCAACAGACAAACATGTCACAGGGAAGTTCAGACACCTATTCTAACGTGTCCACCCTGAAGTACTTCTTCCATCCAGAAACACCACTTTTTTCAGTTTAATTCACCTGCAATAGAGACTCAAGTAACTGAATCTACTTCCACCCCAAGATTACACACAGCAGGTAATTCAGTATCAATGTTCAACAGAAACTTGCCCTAAAGGAGACAGGTAGAAGAGCCGTCCAGCCCCAGCCCTTTCTCTGGAGAAAGTCGGTCACCCAAGCTCAGTGAGTGAAGAGTTTGTTTCAGTACTTGGCTCCCACCTTGGGTTTTTCCTTTTTGTCTCTGTTCTCTGACTTGGGAGTTTTGTGGGACAGGAGAGTCTGAATTTCTTTCCAGTCTTGGTCTAGCTTCTCCGTGAGCTCGAGGGCATCTTCTCGTTGAGCTTGTCTCTCCCTCTGGGGAAAAAATAACAGACACACACCACATACCGTTACTACTGGACTTCAACCCAGAGGCCCAATGTCAGTGCCAAGGACACACACAGTGATCACTCAGTTGGCACCAAACGTTTCAACACAGAAAAGAGGCCAGGAGAAATGAGTATTTTAAATGCAAAGCTACCAAATCTCATCAGACGGAAATCTTTTCCTGCCATAAACCATTAATTTAGATGCTCTGAGCAGTTCACTGCAAATGAATAAAAAAGTGATTTTTTGGGCACATGTCAGATACTAAAACCAGCAACAACAAAAAACCCATCCGCGCCAGGTGCAGTGGCCCACCCTGTGCTTTAGAACTAGGCCAAGGTGGGAGAACTGCTTGAGCCTGGTCGACACAGCACGATCCCCATCTCTACAAAAAGTAATTAGCTGAGCATGGTGGCGCCCACTAGCTACTTGGGGAGCTGAGGTGGGAGGATCACTGGATCCTTGAGCCCAGGAGTTTGAGGCCACAGTGAGCTTTGATCGTGCCACTGTACTCCAGCCCGGGAAACAGAGACTACGTCTCAAAATAAAACAAAACATAAACCAAAAAAAGGCAAAAGAACCAAAACCTGTCCGAGGTATATGCTTTATGTGATTTTTAAAATTCCTACTCACAATAAATGCTTTTACTGAACTCATATAAAATATTAAACACAGCCTAAAAAGGTACAGGAAAAAAAAGCTCAAACACATTTTGGTGAGCCTGTCTTACCGTGGAGAAGATGATCAAGAACACTCACTAACCCACCTTCTCTTGTTTTGACTTGGCAATGAGCTCTTCAATCAGCTCTTTCCGGGACTTCGGTTTCTCCCGCTCCTCGCCTTCCTGTTGAGTCTTCTTGTGAAGGAGCCCACCGCCTCCTCCAAAGTGGGCAGCAGTCAGCTCAGCTGGGGGCAAAAGGCAGAAAACCCCACAGTGAAGCCCAGCCCTGGCGTGGGAAGTGTTTCCTGTAGCACTCTGCCAGTGCTTCCCCCATAGTGGTCTGGAAAAGTCCACATTTGAGAAAAAAATGCTCACACGCAACAGCCTGGCCTGAGACCACAGGCACAATGGCACTTGAGAAATACCCAAGGTAAGCCACTCTGAGAAAACCCAGACCCATTACACTCCCAACTGGCCGTAACCCAAGTGGCTGGAAACACCCAGCACCTATTTTTGATTGTGCTGGTTCTAGCGAAGACTGGCAAACCCAGAGCAAGCTGACTCCAGGGTCTTGGTGGGAGCGTCGCCCAGGATCAGTGGTGCAATCTGTGTCCCTCCCACCTCCCTGGGCAGGGCCTGGAGACTCTAGTCACCTGTACCACGGCGCCCCCTCTAGTCACCTGCACGCCACGGCGCCCCCTCTAGTCACCTCCACGCCACGGCGCCCCCTCTAGTCACCTGCACGCCACGGCGCTCCCTCTAGTCACCTGCGCCACGGCGCCCCCTCTAGTCACCTGCGCCACAGCGCCCCCTCTAGTCACCTGCACCCCACGGCGCCCCCTCTAGTCACCTGCACGCCACGGCGCCCCCTCTAGTCACCTGGACCACGGCGCCCCCTCTAGTCACCTGCACGCCACAGCGCCCCCTCTAGTCACCTGCACCACGGCGCCCTCTAGTCACCTGCACCACAGCGCCCCCTCTAGTCACCTGCACGCCACGGCGCCCCCTCTAGTCACCTGCACGCCACGGCGCCCCCTCTAGTCACCTGGACCACGGCGCCCCCTCTAGTCACCTGCACGCCACGGCGCCCCCTCTAGTCACCTGCACCACGGCGCCCTCTAGTCACCTGCACCACAGCGCCCCCTCTAGTCACCTGCACGCCACGGCGCCCCCTCTAGTCACCTGCACCACAGCGCCCCCTCTAGTCACCTGCACGCCACGGCGCCCCCTCTAGTCACCTGCACGCCACGGCGCCCCCTCTAGTCACCTGCGCCACAGCGCCTCCTGGCAATGAGGGGAAGGCCACTCGCCCAACTCACACCAAGGCAGTTACCTCCAGTCTCGGGGAATTAGGATCTCCCCAGGGAATGCGTTTTATAGCTAAGGGTCCACGAGAAGTCTTGAACAATGAAAAGAGCAAAGACAAAGGCACAGAGGGGTTAAAATAACTGGCCATTCTCTTCACGCCCGTGAAGCCGAGCAGTGGCGGGGCCTCCTGGTGTGCCGCAGATGGCGGGTTCTGCACCACATGCTTGCTGCCCTAATTCCTAAGCCTTTTACCCCCTGGATTAGCCAAATATCAGAAGGCAGCCCCAGGCTTTAACGCCTTAACTTTCACACACTGACAAGACAAAGCTTTGAGAGTCAGTTTTAGATTTGTACACCTTTGTTCTGAAGATGCTGGAAATGGGACCTACTTTAACTTACAAGAAATGTCAAGTAATTGATGTCATGACTGCAACCTTATAAATAGGGTTCAAGACAGTCAGACCCGAACTGAATCTTAAACTCTGTTAACATTATTTAAGGCCAAAATTTATCTGTTTCATGTTGTTATCTACAGATATGAGGCTCAATATGATTTTCCTCAAACTGCTATAATTCCACAGTAGGTAAAAGCTAAAGGAACTACATCAATGCCACTGGTACAAATATTAGGCTGGAATTGATAAAGTAGGGGGAGCAAAGTAGTGCATTCAGTGAGGCACCTGGAGTCAGTGAGGTGGGTTCTCCCCACAGCTCTGACTCTGGCATCGGGCAAAACACCTTATTTCTCTGAGCTCATGGGTAGAACGAGCTATTTTGAGGTTCAAATAAAATAATGGATATCAACATGCTTTCTTGGCCCATAAAAGCATCTATCTACACACCATCTTAAAGTTCTGAAAACTTAAAAAAAAAACAAAAATACATAAAAACTGTCACTTGTGAAATTTGTAGAGAGGTTAATGATCAGTAAAACTTTCATGCAATAACTTTCTCTAGTCTCTAAGAAGAGCAGAAGGTCTAACAATGAACAGACTCTCCCTGACTCCACGCCCACAGGCCCGTGCACAGCACCCCAGCCTCACCAGACAACGTTCCTCGATCCTCAGCATCGCTGTCACTGTCCACAATGTCATTATGCTTCTCGATGTCTGCCAAAGACTGGCCATAATGAGTCAATTCTTCATCTTCATTTAGATTGTAGATGCTTTTTTTCTCATGATGTCGCTGACAGAAGAGAAAAAAAGTTTCCTAAAATTACCACTTCCATTTCACAGCAAAAAAAAAAAGATAAGGTAGATATATATATTTCCATTATATTTGAAATATGACAACGAATCCTAAGCAGCCTTAAAGAGTATTTTGGGTCAACTAAGCAATGATTCATGATTCAGACAGAAATGAAACTCATGGAGGGTAATTCTTTTTTTTCCTTCAGACAGAGTCTCGCTCTGTTGCCCAGGCTGGAGTGCGGTAGAGTGATCTGGGCTCACTGCAACCTCTGACTCCCTGGTTCAAGTGATTCTCCTGCCTCAGCCTCCTGAGTAGCTGGGATTATAGGCATGCGCCACCACGCCTGGCTAATTTTTGTATTTTTAGTAGAGACGGGGTTTCATCACGTTGGCCAGGATGGTCTCGATCTCCTGACCTCATGATCCACCCACCTCAGCCTCCCAAAGTGCTGGGATTACAGGCATGAGCCACCGCGCCCGGCCTCATGGAGGGGAATTCTTAAATAAGCCCAGGGGCCAGTTTCCACTCCAGCAATGCTGCTCAGCTGAGAACTCCTGTGCACACTGCTGCCGTGTAGTAGAGTTAAGGCATTTATCCATTCAGCTAACATTTGCAGAAGAGGTTGCTTCTCCTTTGGCCTAGCCAGATAAGGCACAGGATTCGAGGGCTATCCCCTGGACCTTCCGAGTGCCCAGGAACATGCAAAACATGCAGAGTCAGCCTTCTCCTTGGCCTTGACTTCCCTGTGAAATGTACAGCAAAAACCCTCCTCCAGTTTCTTTCCATACCTGCTGTTCCAGAGCAAACCTCTTCATCATCTTCTCCTCGGGGCTCATGTTGCTGTTGTATTCTCCGAAGCGTTTATCTCTGAATACATTGGATTTATCCCTTTCTTTGTACTCTTTTAGTAAAGTCTGTGTACGCTGGAAAACAGGTCAGAAACAATCTCACAAAAAATTCTTGTGATTTCCACTACAGGGGACATCAGAACAGTGCATACTTTAAAGTTCAGGGCTATGCACAGTGATGTCAAAGTTCACACCCAATCTGCTTTCATGCACGATAGGCTTTCTCTACTAATCACAGAATTTTGAGAAGAGCAAAACAACTTTCAAGGATAATGGGGCAATCACTTTCTTTTCTTCTTTAGAGTCTACCGGTGCCAAAAGGAAGGGTAAAAAAGAACACACTAGTCAAGCTCAAGGCATGAATGGCTCCCTCGGCTGTAACAGCTGCCTTAAGGTTTAAAACGTGCACATTTGGAAAAGTGGAAATGGGTTTAGACTCCTTCCGTCATGGAGGAGGGTACTATTTCCCATCAAAGGTACTCCTAAGAAATGTGTAGTTGTGAGTTCATACTAGACACAAGGCAATAAACAAGTTAGCGAGGTCACAGTTTAGGGGCTTCACCTTTATAACACCAAGAGGAGCAATATTTTAAATACGGTTAGCAAGTATCAAATAATTTGGTTATTTTCCCAGCAGCAACAAAAAAAGACCAAGTTTAACAGTATTCAAAGTTGGCTGTCCTGGAGGTTGAATTCCCTAAAGAAAGCTGTGAGAGGACAGAGATGGGTGAGGAACGAGTGGCCTCTGCAACCTGAGATGGCCACATTGCAAACTCTTTCTTGCTGCGGAACTTCTTCTATTTGCTAAGGAACTGCCATTACACTGGTGTTTACACAGCAATTCCGAAAGGAAATGGCATCAAGGCAAAATCTTGATGCCATGGAAGGCCCTTGGAATGATCCAATTCAGTGGTTTTACAAACCCACCACAAATCGGTGCCTCGGCAGACATTTGAAACCTCTCATCTAACCCGACTTAAGTGTTCCTTGCCTTCCTCAGGGATTCCTCTAATTTGTGAAGTCACTTTGAAAGAATGCGTGCGTGTGGCAGGAGGGAGCGTGTGGTGACTTGGTCACTGCCACTCTGGTTCCAAGTTCTGTTTCAGGAGGGGACAGGTCAGATTTTGCTCCAGACATAGGTCACTTCCCCAGGGTCGGAGATGAACTTAAAGGCTAAGAAACCCAGATTTAAGGTCAAAACCAGGAGCTGGAAGAGGAGGAAAAGAGAGTGGAAGGGGTTAAGAAGCAGCTGGGCAAGAGCAGAAGATGCTCCAGCAGGGACAGAAGCACGACCTGGCCCTCCTTTCCATTTAGAGCACATTCCATCTGGAGAGGTCAACCGAAATATTAATCATGTGGACAGGAGAAAAGGATGTGAAAAAACCATTTCTCTTATCTCACTTTGAAATGTGAAAGTGCTATTATTACACTTAAAATGCATGAAAAACCCCTCTGCTACCTGAAGAGTAGGAAACCATCCATTAGTTCAATAAATACTGCCAAGGCAATTTTCGTCATTTTCTTCAAGAATATTTCAAGAACCAATTTGTTTCAACTGACACACGCTGAGTTATTAATCCCTAGTAACTTCTAGTAACTTCCTACCGTGGCAGTGCTAAACAATGTTTGTTAAAAACACCTTTGGGGCCGGGCGCGGTGGCTCACGCCTGTAATTCCAGCACTCTGGGAGGCCAAGGCGGGCGGATCACGAGGTTAGAAGATCAAGACCATCCTGGGTAACATGGTGAAACCCCGTCTCTACTAAAAATACAAAAAAATTAGCCGGGTGTGGTGGCGGGCGCCTGTAGTCCCAGCTACTCAGGAGGCTGAGGCAGGAGAATGGCGTGAACCCGGGAAGTGGAGCTTGCAGTGAGCTGAGATTGTGCCACTGCACTCCAGCCTGGGCGACAGACAAAGACTCTGTCTCAAAAACAAAAAAAAACAAAAAACACAAACAAACCACCTTGGGTACAATTTCCTGAACCAGAGTCTAAAGACAGCGAGTGTCCCCAGATAGACCAGAGGGCTCCATCGCCATTGCTCTGTTCTCTCCGCTTCTGTTACGAGCCATTCCAGAGCGAGATCCTGCTGGATGCTGATAGTGAACCACACACAGTACTGAATCAGGTTAAGCTCTCTGAACCTTCACCATTCTTTATCCGCAGAGCAAAATTTTAAAACAACATCTCACTATTTAAATCACAAGGTCTAGCTGGCAATCAGATGGGAGCACATTACATGTGCTAGCCTGTACTGCTCGATGAACTCTGTACGGACAGAGGCTGCTTGCATGCTACACTGAGACCTTTTTTTTTTTTTTTAAAGATGGAATCTCGCTCTGTCGCCCAGGCTGGAGTGCAGTGGCACAATCTCAGCTCACTACAACCTCCACCTGCCGGGTTCAAGCAATTCTCCTGCCTCAGCCTCCCCAGTAGCTGGGATTACAGGCGCACGCTGCCACGCCCAGCTAATTTTTTTGTATTTTTAGTAGAGATGGGGTTTCACCGTGTTGCCCAGGCTGGTTTCGAACTCCTGAGCTCAGGCAATCTGCCTGCCTCGGCCTCCCAAAGTGCTAGGATCACAGGTGTGAGCCACCAAACCCAGCATACACCGAGAAGACTTCTGAGGTCTGTCCCTGCAGAGGGAGGGAGTGTCACTGGCTTCTAGCAGGAAGGGGGTAGATGGGGCAGGCATCAGCCATCTCTGCCTCTAAAAATATTAGTTCTCATTATCTGGAATATGATTCTATGGGTAAATCTTAGTGAAGAACAGCCCTTAGGCTATAAATACGTAATATGAGTTATTCTACATTATTGTGATTCTCTTTCTTTCTTAAACTATATAGATGTTGTGACATCATATGGAATTTACGGCATAAAATGGGGATAACAGTACTTCCCCCTCATAACGGTGAGGATTAAATGTAAACCGTGTGGCACAAGGCCTGACCAACTGTAAGGGACCAGTAACTATATTATTAATATAGTTACTATATATTATTATATTAATATTATATTAATATTATAATCACATTAATATTAATATATTAATATTATAATCACATTAATATTAATATATTAATATTATAATCACATTAATATTAATATATTAATATTATAATCACATTAATATTAATATATTAATATTATAATCACATTATCAATATATTAATATTATAATCACATTATCAATATATTAATATTATAATTACATTATTATTATATTATTATATCAATATTATATTAATATTATATCGATATTATTTTAATATTATATCAATATTATTATATTAATATTATATCAATATTATATTAATATTATATCGATATTATTTTAATATTATATCAATATTATTATATTAATATTATATCAATATTATATTAATACTACATCAATATTATATTAATACTATATTAATATTATAATAATATATTAATATTTTAATAATATATTAATATTATAATAATATATTAATATACTAATATAATAATATATTAATATGCTATTACAATAATATATTAATATGCTAATATTATAATAATATATTAATATATTAATATTGTTAGTATATTAATATATAGTAACTATATTAATAATATAGTTAGTATATTAATATATAGTAACTATATTAATATAGTTACTGATTTAAGAACTACATTAATATAACTTATTTTATAAATTATTTCAGAAATAAGGAAACTGAGGCACAGCTATAAAGCAATGTCCTGAGACTGGCACCTGGGGGCTGCCCTCTTCCTGCCAGACTGAGTGCCTCAGAGTGCTACAACTGACCAGAGGGGAGAAGCCAACTGAGGCAGCCTGTTTACTTCTAAGGGACTAACCCACATGAAAAGACCCAGGCCTCCTGCGCCGGCCTCACGGCCCCTACACGCGTTATCAAGCTTGGAGTCAACTGGACGACCTGCTGTCCCTCAGACAGCTGTGAGTGCCACACTTCACCATACCGGGACAATGTGCCTTTGCATGTGTGTCCTCTGCCCACCCTGGGCCCATGAACAGCTCACTCCCCTTGCAAAACTTGACTGTAACTCCCTCTAGAAGAATTTTTGGACTTTCCTAACTATTACACTTTTTCCTGACCGGGATCTCCTAAGGCACTCAGGTTCCATCTTTGATTTCTTCAAATATTTGTGTTTCTTCCAAGGGCCAAGCATTGGAGATCCAAAAAGGAGCAGCAATTCCCGTCCCCGTCCCAGGCCTTCAGCACAGGGCAGGGAGGTGGATCTGCTCAATACCAGAAGTTTGAGCAACCTGTCCTATTTGGGTTACATAGCTTGGGTGGTGAACCTGAGCTGGCCCTTTAGAGACTTTCGGAGGTAAGGCAGACCTTTTGGACAAACTGAGTTGCAAGAGGCGAAGCAAGGACAACAGCCAGACTGTGCGGGACTCGAACGACAAGCCAAGAAGGTTAAGAATAACAGTATTTAGAGAACACTTGCTGTGTGCTCTATGTGCTATCTTACTTAATTCTCACAAACCACCACGAGGGGTAGGATGTATACTATCATCTCTACTTTTGAAATGAGAAAACTGAGGCTTCAGTGGTGAAGACAAATGTGTCTCTTCTAGGGAACCACACTACCTTATTCTCCCACCCCGGCCCGGGGGTGTGTAATGAGGGACTCCTATCGAAGTCAGCTGTAAGTCTATCTTGCCTATTCATTATACAGGCTGTCGTCTTCGCGCAGTAAGGATAATATGTGTTTTGATTCAAAGACCATCCAGCTTGCACACTGTGATGAACAGAGATCAGGAGCTCATGAAGGCAAGGGCAAGTCTTATTTACCTTTATCTCCCCGAACCTAGAAGCGAGGTCAAACAGAAGCGCTCGGGGTAGCAAGAAGGCTTTGTAGATATTGAAATGTGAATGCATGCCCAGCCCTTACCAGGTGCGTGACCTTAGGAAATGCACTTGTCCTTTCTGTGCCTTAATTTTTTCACCAACCTGCTAATGTATGTTCCTCAGTGAAAATTTAAAAAAAAAAAAGTTAAAAAAACTAGGAAGCAATGAGTTTCCATAGAGTTACTTCCCAAGGAACAAGGTTACGCGCTTCGGGAGAGAGCCGATGAAACATCAAACGCAGCATCCTACACAGCCCCTATCCACCGTCCCCAAACCTGCAGAGCTCAAAGTAAACGCGGAAGGGTTAACAAGCAGCTTGGTCCAGGGCGCCGCCCGAAGTGACTGACTCGGCCTGACCCGGTTGGAGGAGTCGCCGAAATAACACGAGTGCAGGGTCTCCAAGACGGCGAGAGTTTCCAGGTCACTCCAGCTCAGAGAACAGCAGAGGCTTTCGGACTATCAAGTCAGTGCCGTGTGCCTGTCACGGCCTGTGCCGCTCAACGAGGAAACCGACGCACCGAGAAGGACGCAGCCGGCCGAGAGCAGCGTGGGGTCCAGATCCTGCCTTCCGGCTCCCCGTGCGCCCCCCGCTTACCTTCCTGAGGGCCCGTGCGCGAGACACCCCGGGCAGTCCCACGTCGTGGCGCGTCTTCCGGCCCAGGATCTGGAACTTCTGCCTGTTAACTTTCACCTCGAACGGATTGGAGTTGGCCTTCGCCGGGCCCCCTCGCGCTCCCGCCGGCGCCCCGGAGGCCTTCCTTCGCGCCCCGACCTTCTTCGCCTTCGCCATGGCGCGCGCCCCGCTGCGCCCAAGGGCCCGAGACCCGAAGAGAGACAGGCGCGCGCTACCCTAAGACACGTGCCGGGCCGCGGAACCGCTTCCTCGTCTCGCGAGAACAGCGCAGCACCTCCGACTCGCGAGAAGTAAACACCGCGCCCGCAGGCTCGGCTTACTCGCCGATAGGCTCAGCGACTACAACTCCCAGCAGGCCACGCGCCGCGGCCCGCCGTGTACTCTTGGCGCAGGGCCTTCTGGGAGCTGTAGTGCCCCGGCCGCGGCGGCGAGGGGCGCTCCCTCTTCAGCTAAGCCGTTAGCGCCGAGCCCGCCCGGGAGCGGGTCGCCGGCCGCGGCGGGCGCCCCTGCCAGTGAGCCCCTGTCCGAAGTGAGCCACGGCATTGACTCGGGGCTGCCCGGGGGCAGGGCACTGAGGAGGGAGTTGCGCGCGCGAGGCGAGGGCGATGGGGCCAAGAAGAACCGGGGCGATAGCGCGGCAGCGGTGACAGCTGGGACCCGCCGCGGTCGGGCTGCCCCCTCCCCTCGCCCCGACCGCTCCCCTGCTGGTGAGGGCCTGCGGAGGCGGCGGCGGCGGCGCCCTTGGTGGCAGTGGTGGCGGCGGAGCAGCCTCCCGGGATCGTGTCCGGAGCTCGAGGAGAGGGTGGTGCCCGGCGAGCTATGCACGGGGGCGGCGGCGTCTCCTCCTGTTCCGCCTCCTCAGTCTCCTCGGTCTCGCAGAATCCGCCGGCGGCGGCGGCGCCAGGACATGGAGCTCGAGAACATCGTGGCCAACTCGCTGCTGCTGAAAGCGCGTCAAGGTGGGTGCGCGGCAGGCGCCCCCGACCCCCCCCCCAGAGAACCCCGAATCCCGGGGAACCCTGGCCCCCCTGAAGGAACCCGACATCCCCGGAGAACCCCGATTTCCCTGGAGAGCCCCGACACCTCCCACTGGGGGAACCCAGATCTGCACGGAGCCGGAGCCGGGGTCTGTGCAGTGTGGTCAGGCTGCCCGGGCCAGGTCCCAGTCCCCATCTCCTGGCCCAGATGAGAGAAGTCTGCGCTTTGCTCTTCTTAGTCTTGCCCTGTGTCCTTGTCCTGTCCTCTCGGTGTGACCTCGGTGACAGTGTTGCTTCAGGATGCGGCAGGCAGTGTCCTGCTTGTGTTGGACAACCTGTCCCACCAAAAAAGAACGGCGTCTTTATGGTCTTAAGGGGGACAAAGAATAGCAGCCTGGGAACTACTCTGGGCGAGAACCTTCCGATAATGATTGTAGGGCAATGTTATTTTTAACATAGCTGCTTGGTTTTGAGGTTTGATCTGAGGCTCTATGGTGTGTCAAGTGTGCTTTAGCACGACGTGGTCACAGATGGACAAGTTGGCAAAAATTCAGCCTTTTATCATTATTAAAGTGAGGCAGAAATTTAAAAATAGTAATAAGTACTGCATTCATTCACTCCAAGAAAAGAAAAAGCCAAGGCCCAGAATGTGGCAAGGCAAGGGTTAAAAAGAAAAGAAGAACAAGTTTTCTTTTGCTTAGCAAGCTCACTTTAAGGACAGTTATAAGATAACGCTGTTCTGTTTGAGAAGTCGAATCCAAAGGAATAGGCTCCAGACACCCCCCTTCCAGAGCAGGGGTGAAGAAAAAAAAAAAAGAGGACAAATATCTGTGTTTAGCCAGTTCTTGGTTTTTTCTTTCAACGCAGCTACAAGGCCACCAGCTATGCAAGGCCACAAGTTATGCCAAGTCATCAGTTATGCTATAGATTATGTGACCTGTCATTATATGATTAACTGCCTTTGTTTTGCTTCTGTAAGTTTGCTTATAAAAATCCTGCTTAGTCTTTGTTCAAGGCTCAGCTTTTTGGATGTGAATCCACTGAGCTGGTGCGTACCTTAACATAAATATCCTCCTGTTTTCACCCATGCTGGTCTCTCTAGTCCTCTGCATCCCGCCACAAAAGCATCAGTTGGTCCAGCCCTTCAGCGGGAGACCCCCACAATCCTCTGTGCAATCCTCTGTCTCGGACCTCATGTCTCCCTTGCCTGCGTCTCAAGAGAGCTGGCGACAGAGCCTCGGACCTCAAGTCCCTGTGCTAGCCACGGTAGTTCTTCACACCCCGTCACTCTTACGGAATTGCTGATTTCCTCTATTTCCTTGCGTGATGGAGCAGCTCTGCTCGGACTGTGCTCCAGGACAGTGTAAATGCCGACTGAAGATGCCACAGCAGCCGGCGATGCATATTTAAAGGACAGTCTGGAGCCGAAGGTGGCGGCCACGCTTGTAGTCCCAGCTACTCTGGAAGCTGAGGTGGAAGGCTCACTTGGGCCCAGGAGAGTCCAGCCTGGGCAAAACACAGCAAGACCATCTCTTTAAAAAAGTCTAAAACAAAGACTTCATCTTCTCAGTATTTTTGTGCACCAACTCACACTATTTTGAATAGAAGAACTGAGAATGGGTGGGAAGAGAATGGGATCTTTTTCCCTTAAGATAATCAGGGAGTCCCAGAGCAGTATGCGTTCTCAGCAGCCATTTTCAGTGGAGCATTTGACTGTGCCTCTTATCCCTGACTGTGAACTCCAAATAGGTCATGGAAAATAATCATCCTTAGTGGAAGTCAGATTGAAGCTAAGCCAGTTTTCTTTTTACACTACCTTCCTATCTGCATGTAATTTACAAAAAGGAACTATACCAAGCCGCCTTCCTTATAATGCTGCAGAGATTAGATAATGAGATAAATACAAGTGCTCTATAAATGCTAAATAACATAAAACCAGATTCTGTCACAAAACCTAAGACCACAGTGATAGTTTGAAAAATGAAAGTTTTGGCCGGGCACGGTGGCTCACAGCTGTAATCCCAGCACTTTTGGAGGCCGAGGCGGGCGGATCACAAGGTCAGGAGATTGAGACCATCCTGGCTAACATGGTGAAACCCCGTCTCTACTAAAAATACAAAAATTAGCCGGGCGTGGTGGCGGGCGCCTGTAGTCCCAGCTACATGGGAGGCTGAGGCAGGAGAATGGCGTGAACCCTGGAGGCAGAGCTTGCAGTGAGCCGAGATCGCGCCACGGCACTCCAGCCTGGGTGACAGAGCGAGACTCCGTCTCGAAAAAAAAAAAAAAGAAAGTTTTAATTTTTTCCCTGAAATATCTCATATTAACTCCACAGTAGTGTGATTATGAGGCCTGTCCCCATTGAGTGAGAGTATTTGCTCCTGTGGTCAGAAAGCATCATTATGTATAGCTTGATTAATGGTTAGAGAAGTTGAATATATAATATTAGATATACATGGATACATGCTGAGTATTGGTTATAATTTAGGGCTTTTTCCCAAGTTGATGACTGTGTTTGTTACTTTAAAGTATCTCCCAGGAAGTACCAGGAGGTGTCTTCTTGGACACATAACTTCATGGACAGCTCCTTGTTTAGCTTCACTGGCTCATATACTAGAAAATTAACCTTTGAAATGAATGAACGTAGCACAAGAGTTATATTCTGGTCCTGAGAAGCGCAATGTTGATTTAATATTATTAGTGAGTCCGGTCATTTCCTGGATTTATTTCAAATAGAATCAGTCAGTCTCAATCCCCCCTCCCTCTCTGGTCCCTGCTATGGTCTGAATATTTGTGTTCCCCCAAAATTCTTATGTTGAAATCTTCACTACGAAGGGGATGGAATTAGGAGGTGGGGCATTTGGGAGGTGATTGGGTCATGAGAGTGGAACCCTCGTGAATGGTATTAGTGCCTTTATAAAAGAAACTAGAGAGACACCCCTCACTCCTTCTACCATGGACACAGAAAGAAGATGCCAGCTATGAATCAGAAAGTGGGCCCTCACCAGACACCAAATCTGTCTTGATCTTGGACTTTTTAGCTTCCAGAACTGTGAGAAATACATTTCTGCAATTTATAAGCTACTCAGTTTATAGTATTTTGTTAGAGCAGCTTGAACAGACTAAGATGGTCTAAACAGAAGATTGTTAGAGCCTTTTCCTTTCAGGAATGTTGGCAGATGATGCTGCACTGAAAGTGTTTGTGTGTCACTCTGCCAGGGACATGAAGGAAGCGTGAAATGATCATATTGGTTTGGTCTTATTTTGTTTCGTTTTGTTTTGAGACAGAGTCTCACTCTGTCACCCAGGCTGGAGTGCAGTGGTATGATCTCAGCACACTGCAACCTCTGCCGCCTGGGTTCAAGTGATTCTCCTGCCTCAGCCTCCCAAGTAGCTGGGACTACAGGCACCCACCATTCCCGGCTAATTTTTTGTATTTTTAGTAGAGACAAGGTTTTGCCATGTTGGCCAGGCTAGTCTTGAACTCCTGACCTCAAGTGATTCGCCCACCTCAGCCTCCCAAAGTGCTGGGATTACAGGCGTGAGCCACTGCACCCGGCCCGTATTGGGTTTTTGTTGGTGTTTTGTTTTATTTTTTTTTCCTTGATATAATTCATAGGTTCATAGATCATATTGTTAATAAATATAAAAACAATTTTTTTTTGAGGCGTCGTTTTGCTCTTGTTGCCCAGGCTGGAGTGCAATGGCGCAATCGTGATCTCGGCTCACTGCAACCTCTGCCTCCCGGGTTCAAGAAATTCTCCTGCCTCAGTCTCCCGAGTAGCTGGGATTACAGGCATGCACCATTATGCCTGGCTAATTTTGTATTTTTAGTAGAGACGGGGGTTTCTCCATGTTGGTCAGGCTGGTCTCGAACTCCTGATCACAGGTGATCCACCCGCCTCAGCCTCCCAAAGTACTGGGATTACAGGCGTGAGCCACTGTGCCCGGCCTGTTTTGTTTTTTTTTTTAATTTAGGATTTTTTCCCTGTATAATATTATTTGTTAAGCAACTTATAACTTTTATGCTTTAAATAAGCTTAAATTATTTCACATCATACTTCTGAGGAGACTTTAACACCGTCTTATCTCTTGGAGAAATTGAAAACAAATGCAGAGAGGAATACGTAATACGTGCATTTAATGTGGGTTTTGGTCTTATATATTGCAATTCTGTTCTGATTTCAGGCTGCGGTGTTATTGAGCAGTTTCTTTAACACCTGCAGCATGGTTAATATACCTGTTATTATTAATGCTGTCTCTTGCTGAGGCTTCCTCCCTAGAACTTTTGCTAACTTAAGCAAATAGGAAATTTATGGAGAAGATATTGGGTAGCTCAAAGAATCAAAGTAAGAACCTAACAATCAGTCTGGAAAGAACAGGATGTGGGACTCATTCATTCATGCATTCATTTGGCAGATGTGTGCTCAGAATGTTCCAGGTACTGTTCCTATAGCAATAAACAACATGTTCAGAAATTCCTGCCATTCTGGAGACCACATTCTTATAGGGGAGGCAGTCTTGAGGCACATAAATAAGACGTGTGGCATATTAGCAAGCAGTGAGTGCCACGGGAGACTACAGCAGGGATGGGGGTAGGAAGCGCCCAGGTGGCATTGGTAGTTGCAGTTTTGGATAGTTTTAGACAGGGGGCTGCTGATTGATAATCAGGTCTCCACGGTCACTCCTGTGACAGAGCAGGTATCTTTTTATTTTATTTATCTGATTTTGCCTCATGAATTTCATGATTCTTATCCTGGGAGAGAGCACCAATTGGCTGGCTTGGCTCTGGCCCCCTTCCTGCATCCGTGGCTAAGGGGGAACCAGGCAGCTGGAATGACAGTCCCACCAAGACATACACCGTGGGGGAGAAGTAAGGGAAGGGCTGCAGAAGAAACCAACAAAGGGCCATTGCAAGGGCCTGTTTACATGACATAGTAAGCAGGCATAGGCCATATGCGCTAGGGCCAGAGGGGTAGCTAGGAGAACGGAGAGGAAAGAGGAGATCAGAGAGATGCTGAAGGTAGAAGACACTGGATAGAGGAGCGATTGCAGAGAATCCTCAAAGTTGCCTTTGAAATTCCCTAGCTGAGGAAATTAAAAGACTGCTCTTTCTAGTCTTGAACTCCTGACCTCAAATGATCCACCCGCCTTGCCCTTCCAAATTGTTGGGATTCCAGGTGTGAGCCACTGTGCCTGGCCAAATTTTCTTTTCTTTTCTTTTCTTTCTTTCTTTCTTTTCTTTTTTTTTTTTTTTAAAGAGAGTTTCGCTCTTGTTGCCCAGGCTGGAGTGCAATGGCACAATCTCGGCTCACCGCAACCTCCGCCTCCTGGGTTCAAGCGATTCTCCTGCCTCAGCCTCCCAAGTAGCTGGGATTACAGGCATGCACTACCACGCCCGGCTAATTTTGTATTTTTAGTAAAGATGGGGTTTCTCCATGTTGGTCAGGCTGGTCTCGAACTCCCAACCTCAGGTGATCCGCCCACCTCGGCCTCCCAAAGTGCTAGGATTTACAGGCGTGAGCCATGGTGCCCAGCCTTTTTTTTTTTTAAAGACAGGGTCTCACTCTGTTACCCCGCTGGAGTGCAGGTGGGGAAATCATAGCTACTGAAGCCTCAAAGCCTTGAACTCTGGGGCCAAGCAGTCCTCCTGTCTCAGACTCCCAAGTGGCTGGGACCACAGGCATGCGCTGCCATGCACAGATAATTTTGTGGTTTTTGTGGAGATGGGGTCTCACTATGTTGCCCAGGCTAGTCTGGAACCCCTGGACTCAAGTGATCCTACCCTCCCACTTCAGCCTCCCAAAGTGCTGGGATTACAGGGTGAACCACTACACCCGGCCTATTAGAATTTTCAACAGCATGTAAGATCAAGTTTTCTAGAAAGAGTTATAAACTTAGTATTTCTTATCTGTCAGATATTTGAAGTAATCTATGTAGTAGTCAGCCAAATTATTTCTCTGCCAACAAAAGGTTACCCCATTTTCCCTAAGCAATAATGTCTACCGTCTGTTACTATCATTATGGTACAGCTAATTTGGGATGCTATCAATCAGCCAGGTTATTAGCAACCAGGTCAGTTTGGTTTTCTTATATTTTCTACTTTGTCTATCTAGATTATAATGGCTTTAAATCAGGATTTTTATTTCTTGGTCAGTGAATCAAATATTGGGTTATTGGCTTTATGCTACTTTAGGACCAAAAATATCTATACCACTGATACTATAAAATAATATTCTTGGCCAGGCACGGTGGCTCATGCCTGTAATCCCAGCACTTTGGGAGGCCAAGGCGGGCGGATCACGAGGTCCAGGTATCGAGACAATCCTGGCCAACATGGTGAAACCCCGTCTCTACTAAAAATACAAAAATTAGCCAGGCATGGTGGCATGCACCTGTAGTCCGAGCTACTCGGGAGGCTGAGGCGGGAGAATCACTTGAACCCGGGAGGTGGAGGTTGCAGTGAGCCGAGATCGTGCCACTGCACTCCAACCTGGCGACACGGTGAGACTCCATCTCAAAAAAAAAAAAAAATGTTCTTTTTTTTTGGGGGGGTCAGTCTCGCTCTGTCGCCCAGGCTGGAGTGCAGTGGCGTGATCTCAGCTCACTGCAAGCTCTGCCTCCCAGGTTCACGCCATTCTCCTGTCTCAGCCTCCCCAGCAGCTGGGACTACAGGCACACGCCGCCATGCCTGGCTAATTTTTTTGCATTTTTAGTAGAGATGGAGTTTCACTGTGTTAGCCAGGATGGTCTCGATCTCCTGACCTTGTGATCTGCCCGCCTCGGCCTCCCAAAGTGCTGGGATTACAGGTGTGAGCCACCGCGCCTGGCCAAAAGAATGTTCTTGAGCTTTATATTTTGACCCAAATTAGGCAATAGTTACCTTAAAGAAAAATGATACAGTCAAAATCATTTTGGCTTTATTAAAGCTCCTCAAAAAACTCTAGAATTAGGGCTTTCTTAAGTTACTTTTTAGCAGAAACATTTACGGTATTTTGTACATATGTGTGCAAAGTTGCTTATTAACATTTATGTCATGGTCATAAAGACTAATTTGGTAACAATATTCAGTCTCCAGTAAATATGTGGTTAATTGATATGCAAATTACTTCCAAAGTACAAATTAATAGTCTCATATTACATTTTTGTGCTTTGCTACCTTTACCTCAAACAAAATAATCTGTAGGATTCTTCATGCTTGTTTCAGCACCTTTTGCCCAGCTTTGCTTGCTTCATTGGCCAGAGGACTGTCAGCACCTCATGAAGCCCTTTATATGCTTCTCTGAGGTCATTTGCATAATGTTGTGGCCTATAGTAGGTTCTCAATAAATACCTGATGGATGAATGAATGAATAAGGATGAGGAAATGAACACGGTAGGTATGCCTGGATCTGAAGCAGAAGTGGCCCAAAAATGGAAGGAAAAGAAACTTGGCAGGAATAGCAGGAAGAAGAAAGCGGGGAGGACAGTATTGTGTGAGTTTGCTAGGGCTGTGTAACAAAGTGATACAAACCTGATGTCTCCCGCAACAGACATTTATTGTCTCACAGTCTTGGAGGCCGGAGTGCAAAATCAAGTTGTGAGTGGAGCTGGTTCCTTCTGTGGGCTGTGAGGAAGAATCTGTCGCAGGCCTCTCTCCCAGCCTCTGCTGGCTCGCTGGCAGTCTCTGGTGTCCCCTGGCTTGGAGGTGCATCATTCTGATCTGTCTTCATCTTCACGTGGCGTGCCCTCTGTGGGTGTGTCTGTGTCCAATTTTCCATTTTTATAAGGATACCAATCATGTTGGATTAGGGCCCACCCTAATGACCTAATTTTAACTTAATTGTCTCTATAAATACCCTATCTCCAAATAAGATCACTGTCTGAGGGTTAGGGGCTAACTGGGGAATAGAACTCTAACATAAACGTTTTTTAGGATGGGACGAATTCAACCTGTAACAGGTACCTCTGAAACAGATGAAGGCAGCCCATAGAGGGGATCCTTGGGCCTTCAAACACTGTGGCCCCACTTTACTGCCTGCTTTTGGGGACCTCAAAAACTTAAGAGGAATCCTCTGACAGTTTTCAACCCAGTATGCTGCCCAGACTTTAGTGTCTGTGGATGGTCCTCCTTTGAAATGCCTGTGGCCCTGCCGACCACCGTTGACCTCGCCATGGCCCCACGACTCATCATGCTCTGCCTGGTTCTTCACCTTCTGGCCTCCTTGTCTTTACGTAGTATTGACAGCATAGCCGGCCCACCTTTGAGTATGACCGGGCCCGGGCCAAACAGCGGGGACGTGGAACCAGACTGCTGTGCTGTGCCAGTGGAGACTTTTGGAACTGAGGACAGCTGAATGAGGGGTAGAGTGGCGCTAGGGTTCACCAGCACGTGTGCCCCAAACCTGCGGGGGGGGGCCCTTTCTTCTCTCTCTCTCTCTCTTTAACCTGTGACACTCTGTCCCTTAGACCAAGCCAGGGGACCTTTTGTAGCTGCAGTGTGCAGTGTGTGCTTCATGCCCCACCAGGTCTAGTCATATGTGGCGGGGGCGGAGGGGGAGTCCTGTGTTTAGAGGTGCACAGTGTGTGCGCTGCTGTGTGTGTGTGTTATTTACTCTTTAAAAAAATTTTTTTTTGAGACAGGGTCTCACTCTGTCACCCAGGCTGGAGTGCAGCAGCATGATCTCGGTTCTCTGCAGTCTCCACCTCCCGGGCTCAAGCAGCTCTCCTGCCTCAGCGTCCCGAGTAGCTAAGACTACAGGTGTACACTGCCATCCCCAGCTAATGTTTGTATTTTTTGTAGAGATGGGGTTTCACCATGTTGCCCTGGCTGGTCTTAAACTCCTGAACCCAAGTGATCTGCCCAACTCAGCCTCACAAAGTGCTGGGATTACAAGTGTGAGCCACTGCACCTGGCCTTGTTATTTACTCTTCAAACAAGTGTGGGGTCAGTTAGATGCTGGGTGCTGAGTCCTCACCTCCACCACCTCACCAAAGCCACCCTTGCCACATCCCAGGCATCAGTTCTTGGTCCTTGTCTTGCTGCCCCCGTGGGCTGCACTGACGTGGCACGTCATGCTTTCTTCCGTGAGCGTGTTCTGCATCATCACCCTTCCTGTTGCGCTGCTTGCCTCAGATGGCTTGGCTGGTCCCCCCTTATCTTCTAGATCTTTTAATACCAAATGCCCCCCGTCTTTGTCCAGGGGCTTCTCGCCTTCTCTATCCACACTCATTCCCTTGTGATCTTGTAGTACTATGGCTTGAAAGAAGCTCCTGTCACCAGTTCACGCCTGCAGGCTGGGCCTCTCCACTCAACTTGCAGCTCACTGTGCTGCTGCCTACCTGACATCGCTGTATGGAAGCCTCATTGGTACGAGAAAGAGCCTGTACCAGACCCCAAATACTCAACCCCAGCACCCCGATGTTTCCATCTGCACCTCAGTTAATGCTCATGTAGCTGCACTTGACTTACTCGCACCCCCACACTCAATCCTTGGACAGAGTGTTCAGCCCTCAACTCAAAACGCAGCAGATTCCGACCTTTTCTCACCTCCTCCACTGCTGTCACTTGGCTCAAGCCGTCAGCGTCTCACCTGGAACACCGTGGTCAGCTTCTGCCTTTTCCCCCTGACAGCCCGTTCTCAGCACAGCAGCCAGAGTGGTCCTATTAAAATTTAAGCCAGATTGTGTCGGCCCCTCCTCTGAACTCTCTTCATGGCTTCCCAGACAGCTCAGAGTGAAAGCCGTAGTCTCTGCAGTGGCCTTAAGACCGCCGCCCCAACCTCATCCGCCCTCTCTCACTCTGCCTCCACACGGTTTCCTCTGTCTCTTGAGAATTTTTTCTTACGGGGCTTGTTCTCTCACCTGAGGAATTTCCTGACCACTACCCCTTCCCTCATTCACTCTTTTTTTCCTTGGAG